>NC_000011.10:72570847-72873877 GCF_000001405.40 Homo sapiens
GGGGACAACTCTTGCTTTGTGTTTCAGGACAGGGAACCCAGGAGTGCAAACCTCAGTCAGGTAAGAGGCCTGCCCTGACATCCTTGATCCTCCCACACCACCCATGCTGCCTCCTCCCCTGATTTCCCATGCCCCTTCCTTCATTCCTGCCCCAACCCTGATTCTCCCTTCTCTCCCCAGGTGCAGTCCAGAGCCTGTCTTGAGCATAATGGCTGCTCTGCTCTGCCCCCGACCCTCACCACCTCCAGCGGGGTTCATCATCCCAGTTTATGGACAGAAAAACTAAGACTAGAGGGGGAGGGCTTAGCTCCTGCTCGGAGGAGACCTTCAACTCCTTCACCTGCCTGGACTTGGCACCCTCCCAAGAGACTGCAACCAAGGTTATGAAAATAGCATCTACTCACCATCCTTCCTCAGCACACCCCCAACCAATCCACCCCTCAGTCCCACCCCTGTCTCAAGGAGACTGAGCCCCGAGAAGCACAGCCTCCTGCACCTCCTCACCTCCCAGCCTGCCTTCCTGGTCTATCTGCAATGTCCTCAAGTCCTTTCCCGTCCTCCTCATCCAAACTCCAAGACCTGCCTCACCTCACCCTCCTCCAGGAAGCCCCCTTCATGGTCTGGGTTCACTCCCTGTCATGACGTCCGCCCTCACCAGCACAGCACCAAGCCTTGCAATGCTCTCTAGTAGTTATTTCCTGCACAGAGAAGGGGTGAGGGAAGCATCATTTCTGCCTATCCCTGTTCACACGCAAGGCTGGCTCTGCCTTCCCAGGGACCGTTCTGCAGAGGGAGACCGCTCATCAGGCAGGTACCACCTCCAGGGATCTCACTAAGGTAGAACTGATGGGCCTCAGTTCTGTTCAGAGAACAGCTATACAGGCTGGAGGCCTCCAAGAAACAGTTTCCATTTTCCCTGAGGAGTCTGTATGGATGTGTACTGTACAGGGTATAGGCTGTATGGAGTCTGCAGGTAAACATGCCTGTGTGTCAAAGAATGAGTCTGTATGGGTGTGTACTGTACAGGGTATATGCTGTATGGAGTCTGCAGGTAAACATGCCTGTGTGTCAAAGAATGAGCATGTGTGTGTGTGCATGTGTCAGCATGAGAATGCCTCTGTGTTTGTGAGTGTGAGAGGGTCATATAGGTGCAGCATTCTGTTGATGGAGAGTCAAACTCTGTAAAAAAAAATTTTTTTTTTCTTTAGATGGAGTCTCACTCTGTCACCCAGGCTGGAGTGCAGTGGCGCGATCTCGGCTCACTGCAACCTCCGCCTCCCGGGTTCAAGCAATCCTCCCTGCCTCAGCCTCCCAAGTAGCTGGGATTATAGGCACCTGCCACCACGGTCGACTAATTTTTGTATTTTTTAGTAGAGACTGGGTTTTCGTCATGTTGGTCAGGCTGGTCTTGAACTCCTGACCTCATGTGATCCACCCACCTCCGCCTCCCAAAGTGTTGGGATTACAAGCGTGAGCCACTGCACCCAGCCTGTAAAATATTTTAAGAGATTTATTCTGAGCCAAATATGAGTGACCGTGGCCTGTGACACAGCCCTCAGGAGGTCCTGAGAACATGTGCCCAAGGTGGTCGGGATACATCTTGGTTTTATGTATTTTAGGAAGGTATGAGACATCAATCAAATACATATAAGAAATACATTGATTTGGTTCAGAAAGGCAGAACAACTCAAAGCGGGGGGCTTCCAGGCTATAGGTAAATTTAAACATTTTCTGGTTGACAATTGTTTGAGTTTGTCTAAAGACCTGGGATCCATAGAAAGGAATGTTCAGTTTAAAGATAAAGGATTATAGAGACCAAGTTTTATTGTGCAGAGGAAGCTCTCAGATAGCAGACTTCAGACAGAGCAAGTTGTAAATTGTCTCTTATCGGACTTAAAAGGGTGCCTGGCTCTTACTTAGTTGATTATCTCCTGGATCTGGAAAGAAAGGAAGGAAAACAAAGGCGGAAGGGGAATCTCTATAGAATGTGGATTTTTCCCACAAGAGACTTTGCAGGGCAATTTCAAGGTATGGCACGGAAATATATTTTGGGGTTAAATATTTTTTTCCTTGTCTCATAATGTTATGCCAGAGTCAGATTGAAAAGTAAATCACAACATATAGGGTCAAATAAAACCCATCTGATGAGAATGTATGGTTTGTAGGGCATGACTTCCTAGACCTCTTAGGTAGGAATCTGGGTAAGACAGAATATCAGACTTAGTCCTCAATTCCTAATGCAAAGTTCTGAGATCCAAAATGCTCCAAAATCTAAAACATTTTTTAGCACCGACATAATGCCACAAGTGGAAAATTCCACACTTGCTTCAATGTGCACAAACTTTGTTTCATGCATAAAATTATTCAAAATATTATATAAAACTGCTTCAGGCTGTGTGTATATAAAACATAAATGGATTTCCTGTTTAGCCTGGGGTCTCATTCCCAAGATATCTCATTATGTATATGCAAATATTCCAAAATCCGAAAAAAATCTTAAATCTGAGACACTTCTGGCCCCAAGCATTTTGGATAAGGGATACTCAACCTGTAGGTGAATGGACAGGAGTGAGACTACCAACCACCGTCCCCCCCGTCCCCGCCGCGTCCCCCTCACCCCACCCCACCCCCTCCCATATCCTTCTCTGACCTCTGGGGAGGTGAGGACAGCGAGGGCTGGACACCACCTGGTGGCCCTGAGCTGCACTACAAGCCACCACCACCCCACTCTTTTCTCCCTGCCCCCTACTCCAACTCACACACACACAGACACACACATGCACACACACAGTTGATCCCAGCTCTCAGCTCTTTCTCTGGGGCTTCAACCCACTTTGTGCTCACCATCCCAATGCCCTACAATAGTCTTGCAAAGACTGAAGATGGAGACCCCGTCCTTCTGAGTCTCCTTTCCCTATCCCAGAGGAGGAGAAAGGAATCAGACAGCTCTCGGAGGGGAATCAGACAGGTAGGGCTCAAATCCTAACCTTGGTGCATTACTTAACCTCTCCAAACCTTAGACAACTTGGCTGCAGAATAGACTAATGGTATCTGCTAGAATCATTGTGAAATTTAAATAAAATGCAAAATGAAACCATTAAGTTGGGAGAGCAGGACAGCTACAGGAAGCCAATGGGGTCAAGCCTTGTGTTCTGTAACCTGGTGAGGGCTGTCCTCAGGCTCTGTGCAGAGCCTCCTCCCATCTGTCCTCTCTCCCTTCCTCCCACCTCTCCTCCCTGGGCATCCTCAGATAGCTGTTTTGCTCACCTTTGCAGGGAGCTCACCCCTGCCAGAGGCTCCACCCAATACCTGTTGTGGGTGAGGGTGATGCTGAACAGAGCCCCCACAGCTCTTCATGGAGTGGCATAGACCCCACCTCCCAGGGCCCCTCCAAGTCCTCCCTCTGCATCCCCCGACCCACTGGTCACCATGTTCTGCCAACCTAGCATCTCCTGAATTCCTCTCCTCGCCCAGCCCAGGGCACAGCACATCACCCATAGAATAATCCCTGCCCACCCTCTCCCCTTGCAGTCACTTCCCTGCTCTCCAGGGGGATCTTTCTAAAATGCACTTCTGAGTCACTCTCCTACTGAAAACCTTTCTCTGGTTCTCCACTGCCCACAGAATAAAGCCAAACTCCACAACCTGGCATTTAAGGCCCTTCAGGATCTGGCCTTGCCTCCTCCTCCATCTCTCGGCTCCTCCACCTGCCAGTCCCTTCTGTTCTCGAGGCCTTTGCAAAAGCAGTTTCTTCTACCAGGAGTGCCTGTCCCCTTTTGCCTATAAACAACATCTGCTCATCTTTCAAACCTCATTGTTGTTCTCAGGGTTATGATCCTGCCTGGAGCCCCATGGCCGGGCACCCCACAGCGTTGTCATGGCCTGCATCTGAGTTTAGATCTAGCTCTCCAATCAAACTGTGAGACTTTCCAGAGCAGGACAAAGACAAAGCCCTCAGCCCTAGCACAGGGTCCTGCGTGCACAAGGAAATATCTGTGGTTGTTCCCTCCATTTGGTGAAAAACAGGGATGTGTCACAGCATGAGCCTCAAAGGAGGGCTGGGCTGGGGACAGACAGATGCAGGGTCAAGGTTCTCTTTGCCTGAAGAGTTGTGGAAGAGGAACACGCACACACACTCAGGGTCAGGGGTCAGGCAGAAGAGCAGCTACATCAGCCCACAGTGACCCTGGGGTCAGCCAGGCACCATTAGAATAGCCATCTCTTATTGGCCGTGGGCCACAAACTGACCACTCCCACCCCCACCTGGGGACCCACTGGCCAAGCCTGGGTCCTGTGCTGTGAGAGGATAGAGACGGACTTGGGGAGCCCACAGCAGGAGCTGGGAATGGGAGGAGCCTGGAGCCCCATGACGCTAAGGGAAGCTGGAAACCTGGAGACCATTCAGCCAGAGGAGCAGATTCCAAACCCAGACAGGCTAGTGGGGCAGGGGGAGCTGCAGAGGAAGCAGATGGGCTCTGTGGTCCCAAAGGCAAAGCTGGCAATGGCTGATGGTCACAGGATGGCCCTGTCCATCTCCTTCCTGCTCCCACCAAGAAAGGAGACCCCAGTGCCCACCCTCTTAACACATCAACCTTTACTGACCAGGAAGAGATGAACACGGAGAGGAGCTCAGAGGGGGGTAGGCAAGTCGGGGACAGGGTCTGGAGACTGTGCCAGGCAGAGCCTCCGCGTAGCCCCAACCTGCAGTCTGCCCATCTTGGACTGGGCGGAAGTAAACACTCTCATGCAGAGGAACAGACACAACTCCTCAGACACAACCCGGGGCTGGATCTGGTGTGGAGTCTGACTCAGGGGTGCACCTTCGGCAGGACTCAGAGTAACTGGGATGTGGGACTTCCTGGGACACAGCCAGGCATCACTGCAGCTAGAAACAGAGTTCAGAGGCCTAGGCCCTCGCCGTATGGGCACTCATGACCAGGGCAGGCCAGCGCTGGGAGGGTCTAGGACAAGCTCCAGGCTACCTCCTCCAGGCAGCCTGCCTGCTTGCCTCAACCTTTGTTTTTCCTCTATTCTACAATCTCTGCCAGCCAACATGTCCCATCACTGCTCCATGGCCAGGCCTTCTCATCTGCCACCCACCCCTTAGCCTCCACGATCTGGCCTAGGGAGTACCCCAACAGGTCTATGACTTCCCCAGAAGGGGGGCTAGGCACCAAGGGTGGAGGACCCTGGAAGCCATGGAGTTCCAAAGGGCGTTTGCCTCTCCCAGTTCTATTCCCCCCCTCCACCCACCCCAAGCACAAAGTCTGCAAACAGCCCCATGGGGGAGGACTGGTAGAAAGAAATAGATTTATTCTCATGTACAAAGCGGTCAGCCCACGGGACCATATACGACAGTTGCACAGAGTCCTAGAAAAACGCATCTCTCTAAAGGCAACTCAGAAAGGTAAGGCAGGTGGACCCCCTCCCCCACCCCACAACGCACACAGAATGAAACAGAGAAAAAGAGAGAAGCCAGTGGCCGGGCTGACCCAAGAGTCCCGGCCCTATGGGGTCTCCCAAGCCCCAGGGCACAGGTGGATATGGCCTTGAAGAGAGAGCCCTGCCAGGGCTGAGGCCAGGTCTCTCACTGGCTGCAGGAATGGGTAAGGGGCTCAGGCCAAGGGGAACACTCAGGGGGCCTCTGAGACACTCAGGGTTGGGCTCTCTGTGCCTTAGGGTTGCAGAAACATTCCATAGCCTCTGCTGGGACTCCGCAGAGCGATAGAGCTATTTTAGACATTGATCTAAAATGGATCTTAGAGCATGGATTGTCTTACCCGCTCCCTGTTTGGCCCAGACAGGGGAAGAGACTCGCCCAGCGTCACACAGGCAGGAGGAAGCATGGCTGGCTCATTCATACCTGGGCCTGTCTCCCAGTGCGGGGATCCCTCCTGCCCATCAATCCCATCCTGCTTCTCCCCAGGGCCCCTCTCTGCAGAGCACTGAGCTGCCCCTCTGGCAGCTTCTTCCTGGGGCCCCTGTATCCCCCAGGTCCCAATCCCACCATCAGTATAGTAGTGGTCCTCAGGGGGCCTTCGCCCCGCGGCTGTTTCTAGTCCTCCCACAGAACTAAGGACTGTTTCCAAGATGCCACACTCTGCTCACTCAGATGTCTCACCTTCCCCTTCCATGAGGATCCTGGAGACCCCAAAGGGTGGGAGTCCTCAAAGGGAAAGGAGCAAAGATCTGGTGGGGCAGAAATGGGGCAAGGAGAAACCATCAAGCTGCTCAGACAAAGAATGGCTTGGGAAAGACTTGCCAAGGTGTGGTCAGAGGTGCAGAGTAGGGCCCACTGCTCATTGGTCACCCCTGTGCTCTCAGAAAACAAATTACAAAGTCTCCGTGAGGTTGGAAGTCTTGCTTCCATTATACAGACGAGAAAGCTGAGGCCCAGGAAGGTAGTACTTGTCCAGGGTCACACAGGAAGTCCTGGTCTAGGACCCAGGACCCGTGGCTCTGTTCCCAGTGCATCTGGCCAGACCAGTGGAGGGCTGTGGGAGGTGGCCTGGGCAGGGAAGTGTCCCTGGAGGGGATCACTCAGCATCAAGGCTGCAGCAGCCATTGATGGGGGCCCTAGTGCCATCCAGATCAGGCACCTCGTACTCCTCATCCAGGAAGTCCAGCGAGTTGTTACTTGGGAGGCCGCGGATGGTGAACTTGTGGGACACCTTGGTCCAGTGCTCACGGTTGGAGGCCACGCGCTCGTACAGCTCTGCCGCTTTGGGGAACAGGTCCTGCAACAGCCTGCGGGTGCATGGGGGGCAGAGGGCGAGAGGCCAGAAATCAGACCATGGGCAGCAAGAAAGACTAGGGCTACACAACAAATAGAACTTCCACAAGGGCCAGGTACGGTAGCTCACGCCTGTAATCCCAACACTCAGAGATGCCGAGGTGTGTGGATCACCTGAAGTCAGGAGTTCAAGACCAGCCTGACCAAAATGGTGAAGCCCCATCTCTACTAAAAATACAAAATTAGCTGGGCGTGGTGGTGCATGCCTGTAATCCCAGCTACTTGGGAGGCTGAGGCAGGAGAATCGCTTGAACCCAGGAGGGGGAGGTTGCAGTGAGCCAAGATCGTGCCATTGCACTCCAGCCTGGGCAACAGAGTGAGACTCCATCTCAAAAAAAACAAGAACTTCCACAAGAATGTGAGACAGAGGAGGACACCTAGGAAAGCATGATGGTCTCTTTCCACTGAGGACCAAGGATGAAGTGAAGGACCCACTGAGGGGCACAGCGGGAGACAGTTATGCCCAGAGGCAAGGGGATGAATCAGTTGGACCTGGGCCAGGCCAATCTCAGCACCTGTGTTTCCTGTGATGTCCCCACTCCAGCCTACCCTCTCTGTGCAGGGTGCAGCTTGTCCCCATGAGCTCACTCACTTGTAGATGGGCATTGCAATGTGCTCCATGAAGCTGATTTGCAGCTCAGGGATATAGGCCTTCTCCCGGTCCATCATCTCCATCGGCCTGTTGCCCATGGCCTTCTCCTGCAGGCATCGAGTCGTCAGGCCTGTCCCTCTCATTCCTCCATCGGGTACCAGGGTCAGGCTAGTTCAAGCCCTCCCTGTCCCAGGCCAGGAACCCTCCCCCATCCTGGACATCCTGGGGTCACTCCACACATACCAGGTCTCCCTGGGAGAAGAATTCTTTGTAGATCAGCTCCTGAAAGGCCAACACTCTCATCACATCCTCTATGTAGGATACATCCACCCAAGCTCCTCTGACAGCCCGTTCCCAGGAGAGAAAACTGAGGCCCAGGGATTCAGTCCCAGCTCAGGAGCCGTCCCCACCAGCCCCAGCTTGGCAGTGGGATGGCCTGAGGCAGGGAGTGGCTGGGTTGGGGCCCACCTTCCACCAGCCACTGACTTGCTAGGTCTGTTCCCCTCTCTGAGTCTCCATTTGTCACCCTGAGATGGTCTAGGTTTCTGTCTCCCCAGAACACAGCCAGGCTGAGCTGAGCAGAGAGAGGGTATTCAGGCACAGGGGGCACCCAAAGCTGGGCAGGGTGGGCAGCCTGTGCCTTCCCAGGGAGGACTACACCTACCGCGATCTTTCTCGTAGTCTTCCAGCCCTTGGTCTGGTCAGAGAGGTCACAGGAGGTCATGAGGAGGCAGAGGAGAAGTCTGTGGTGCTGCTTGTTGTTTCGGTCGTAGCCCACTGTTGAGGGGAGGATGGGGTCAAGGAGCGGGGCCCAGCCTCTTTGCCCTTCTGAGGACAAGGCTCCCAGGGCCCAACCCAGAGCGGTCCAGGGAATTGGGCACCCTTGATGGGAGCCAAGGGGCCAGTGCTGGGTCTGCCTGGGGGGGGCCGTGCAGCCAGAGAAGGGTTGATGTTGCAGGGGATGGGTCTGCACCCTGGGAATGCTCCCCTGGCAAATCCTTCCCCTGGTTGTTCCTCCCCAGCCCCAAGGACTGGGGCTAACAGCAGTCACCCTCAGCCATCTTCTGGAGGTCCTTGAAGATGCGGAGATGGTGGGCCAGGTCTGTGGCCAAGATGATGTCCCGCATCAGATCCAGCATGCGCTGATAGTCCTGAGGCGAGGGCAGGGGTGTCATGCCCTCCTACTGGACACCCCCACCCATTTGCCCATCCCAGTGAGCCTCCACTCCTTGGCTCCTTATCCCACCTCCAGCCAGCTCCCAGCTCCCCCTCAATCCCCACCCCACCCCCAACCCCATCACCTTCCGGGAGAAATGATCAAAGATGTTGCAGCCGTGGGTGTTGAGGATGGCGATGGCCTGAGCAAAGTGGTGCCTCTGGGGGGAGAGGAGTGATGGGGGCCCAGCTGGGGCAGATGGGCTCCCTTACCATTGACCCCAAGAGAGGAAGCAGGGGCCTCGTCCAGCTCCAGCCCCCAGGTCAGCAGAGCAGTCAGAAAGGGGGAGTCAGGGGCCCCAGTTCCCTTTCTGAGCTCTGTTTCAACCCTCTGTGTGACCCAGGGTGAGTCCCTAGACCACTCTGAGCCTCAGACTCCTCAGCTGTCACATGCAGGGACCCAACAAGGTAAGCTCTGGGGTCCCTGAAAGCTGGAACATTTTTGAAATGATCCTTTGGAGTCCTAGACACCAAATCATGCAGAACACATTTGTTTGCTGACAAGGAGAGGCAGTGATGAGGCAAGGGCAAGGCCCCCATTTCCGGATGCTGAAGGGCTGTCACTCAGAAAAGGAGCAGCTTATCTCAGGGGGGCAGAGGGCAGAACCAGCACTGCCACCAGGCCTCCTGGGAGAGAGACAGAGAACCTCGTCTCTGGGGGTGTGCAAGCAGGGGCAGCCTCTGGAGGGGTGTTGTGGGAAGTAGCATGAGGCAAGGTGACCTTGGAAATGTGTCTCCTACTCTGTGCCAAGCCCTGTGCCAAGTGCAGGGAACTCAGAAATGGCTCAGACCTTGTGCACGAGGAGGTAGGCAGACCCAAACCAAACAATCTAAGGTGACGCTAAGTGATGGGAGTGGAGCCCATCCCAAGTTTGGCAGGAGGGGGCTGAATGGGGTGTTCCCAGGCAGCCAAAGGGAAACACGCTGAACACAAATCCTTGCTATCATCCGCACCTGCACCCTTCCAAGCCCACTCCAGGAAAATGAGCCAGACATGTCCTAGGTGTGGCTGCAGCTCTCGCAGCCTGTCTGGAGAGCATGGTTTGGGAATAGGAGGAGCTGGGTCATAACTTTGCAAGTCACTGGCCTTAAAGGGGAAGAAGGACGGGGTGGGACAGAAGAGTGATACCTCCATGACGGAGCCCTCAGAGCTGTAGAGCGCAGCCAGCACAGATTTCTGGAAAAGCCCAGGAAAACTGTGGTCACTCCTCACATCCGGATCCAAGTGCCACTGCTTTAGGCTGAGCAGTGTCCTGCCCTTCCACCTTTCTCCCCTCCTCCCTATCTCAGAGCCAGGGGCAAACCCTGGGGGAACCTCCTCCTGTGTCTAAACCTGGCTCCTGGTCTCACTCGCTCCCACCCATCTTCAGGCTGGGAGAGGATGAGACTCCCAGACACCCCATGGAGGGTCCCCACTGTGAGCAGGGCAGGGTCTTACCGAGGCCACCTGGAAAGAGTTGTTTGTGCCTCTGTGGTCCAGGTCATGACACATGCAGGAAATAAACAAGGCAAAGATCTCGATGTCCCTGGTTGAGAGGCAGAAAGGAGAAAAAAAAGAGGTCAGCCCACAGTTCCCTCCCTAAATCCCCAAGAGGACAGACAGGAGATGACATGCCCAGGAGCCACTGGGACAGGAGGTTGGAACACCTGGGTTCCCTTCCTGGAAAGAAGCACTGGTTTGGAGCCCAGCAGACCCGGGTTTAAATCAGGCTCAGTCTTCACTAGCTGCTTGGCTGTGAGCAAGCCCCTCCTGGAAGATGGGGCTCACAGCCTTCCCCTCTAGTCCCCTGGGGCTA
This sequence comes from Homo sapiens, assembly GCF_000001405.40. NCBI lineage: Eukaryota > Metazoa > Chordata > Mammalia > Primates > Hominidae > Homo > Homo sapiens. The sequence continues at coordinate 72,581,244 of NC_000011.10, forward strand.
AGAAGATCCCATGAGGCAGTGCGTGTAAAGTGCCTGACACACAGGGGGTGCTTCCCTGTCCCAGGGAGGGGACCCCAGTGGCTGCCAGATGTGGGGGAGATGCAGCCACTCACTCGAGGTAGTTGGTGAGCTCCAGGTTCTTGTAGAGCAGGTAGCAGAAGTGGGAGACAGAAAAGGCGTGCATCCAGTTGTGGTAGGGGGGATCCCGGTAGCCCTTCTTCACCATCAAACAGAACCTGGGGGAGGGAAGAGGGCAGAAGAGGGGCCTCAGCCTCTCCTCCTCCATCACGGCCCCATGATGGCAAACTACATGTCCCCTCCATCCCTGAGGGACCCTCCACAGCCTTCCTTGATGACTCTGTCTTAGCAGGAAGTTCCTATGCACATCTAACTTAAACCTCTGGCTACACACTCTCGGCCTTGCCTCCAGGCTTTGCCTTGCCTCATTTCTTGCCTTTATTGACAGTTCAGTGTCTAGGAATTGCTTCTCATTCATGGATCCTCCCCACCCCCATAAGACTGGGTCTCCCCAGTCATCCTTAGAGAGATCCTCTCCAGAATGCCGGGGGCAACGGATGTGACAGTAGAGGAAAGAGGGAGGCGAAGACTGGGGCTGTCTGTGGGCGCACGAACCGGGCCAGGGTCGGGCAGTCAATTTTGTAGTTGTTGATGAAATTCATGTCCTGCAGCATGCTCAGGATGGCCTGGAGAGGGCAGAGGGAGGTATCAGAGGGGCTGCCAGTATCAAGACGGGGCCCTTGCCTGGGTCCTTCTTCAAGCTCCACACTCAAAATCTGGAGTCTTAGAAACTTACATCTAAACTAGAGAACCACAAAATAGTTGAAGCAACCGTTCTCGGAGCTATGCATTTTTAGAGATCTAAGAACTAAGAACTCTTGAAACCAAGCCCACACAAAATGTTAGAAAAACAGGGTTGGGAGGGATGCAAACCCTGAGGTCACATGCCCTGGGCATGGTTGGTCCAAGAGCAGCCCTTGGGATCATCCAGTCCAGCCTCTAGCCCCTGGGCAGGCCCTATGGCTTCCTGATGGCAGACTACAAGCCCCTCCATCTCTGAGGGACCCTCCACAGCCTTCCTTGATGACTCTGTCTTCCCAGGAAGTTCTTGATGCGCATTTAACTTAAGCCTCTGGCTACATACCTTCGGCCTGGCCAGTCAAGTGGAGGAGAGCAACTCACCATGGACGTGTCATCCTCGGGCAGGGAACGAGGGGTATAGGTGAAACTTGCAAAATTGGAGTCAATGGCAGCCACAGGCTGGATCCCATCATGGAGAAGTTTGGTATACTCATCATCGGAGACCTAGAGGAGACCAGCCAGAGCATTAGAAGACAGCCTTCACCCCATCTGGTGTCTTCACCCTCAAATTCCCATGGCAGGTGGGGGATCCGTCACCCAGAATGTACCACAGTTGGGCCACCACGCTGTGGACTGTAACTGGGCAGGAAATCACCACCCTCCCCTCACAGCCCTGCAGCCCACCCCGCGCGCCTCCCTGCAGGTGACCACCCTTTATCTGTAACAGCATAACCTTGGCAAAGATCGACAACACCCCTTCATGACACCCCCTAACCATGGCAGCATTTCATACACAGTAACTGTAGCAGTCCTCCTTTTGTGGAGACCTTTCTACTCTCTAACCTTAACTCTTCCTACTACAGTTTTGATCCAACTCACAAGGTCTGGGCCTCTCTGGTTTGGACACAGGTGAGAGGAAATGTCCAAATGAACAGCGACTACCATATACATGGAACTAAGCCAGCTTTTGTGACCCAGGGTAGGGAATGGGATAGATTATCAGCAATTAAGACTGCCCAGGGCTGCATGGGCATTGTACCTAGGGAAGCCATGGGGACGGGTCCTGGGTGAGCTTCCTAGCCCTCAGTAATTCCCAAGATGGGAATTATTCCCTGAACATGGGGAATACCTGGCTGAACCAATTACTCCCTGGGCTGGTTCCTCTGGCTACTTCCAGCCTTGGGACTGAGCTCAGAAGCAGCTTGGAGGAGAGGTCTCTAAGCAGGGGTGGGAGCTGCCCCTAAGGAGGGCAGGAGGCCTGCTGTGGCTCTGGGCCTATCCTCTCATCCTCAGTAGAGATTGATCAGGAAGCCCTGCCTGGCCCTGGGTCCCCGGGGAATCTGGGAGGAGGACCAGAGGTCTCTGCAAGCCTCACCTTCATGTGGTACATCATCATCTCATTGGCCAGGTGGCTGCGATACTGAGCCTCATTCACTTTTTTGTATAGGAGAGACTAGGGGAAAGAGGGAAAGATGGGGCTCAAGGAAGGTGGCTGTGAAAATTTAGCAATGCCCAGGACTGGGATGAAGGGGTCAAAAAGACACCCCACTTCCTGTCCCATTCTGGCCCCAGTCAAAACCTTCAAGCTCCAGTCCACAGTAAAGACCCCACCCCCACTTTCATCCAGACCCCGCGCCGGTTCCTCCTCATCAAGTTCTCCCAGCATTTGGTCTGGCCCTTTGCACTCCCCCACACCTGATCCAGGCTTCAGTGATGGAGCCCAAGGCCCATGGCAGGGAAGGAGAAGCAAGGAGGGGATCATGTCAGGGACCTTGGGGCTGGATTCCCAGGCCAGAGCGCCAGTAGGCCTGGACACCGAGACCCAGCACTTCCAAAAAAGCACTCGGCTTGGGTTGAGACTGCTTCCAGGGAAGAGAGGAGGTTTTGACAACGGGAGTTTCTCATGGTCCCAGGAGGCTGAGTGGACAGGGCAGGAAATCGTATGCCCAATTTTTAGATGGGAAACTGAGCCCAGAGGTGGCCAGCGTGTCCTGAAGGCTGCACCCCAGCGGCGGGACTCTGAGTGCCAGACCAAGGGATCAATCCACAAGGAGAGTCAGTCGGAGGAGGAGAACCGAGGGTCCTTCGTGGGCCCCGCCCCCTATCACCCCACACCCCACTCCCAACCCCGCCCTCACATGGGCGATGCTGATGCCGCAGTAGATGGAGAAGGCCGTCGCCAGGTCCTCGTCGAACTTGCTGAACCATGGCCCATTGATCTTGTTCACCAGCTCGGCCACACCGATGACCTCTGGGGAAGGGAGAGGGGCAAGGAACCACCGGTGGAGGGAGGGATCGGTTGGAGGGAGGGATCCGGCCGGGACCTGCCCTCGCAGTTTCCGCAGGTTACGTACGTCCCAGGCATGGAACCCGACTCCCTTATGCTCCGGGACGCTGGAGGCGGTGGGGAAGTGTTGCCACCCCCGCTCGCTCGGACCCGCCCCGCCCGGCGCAGGCCCCGCCCCTCCGCCCGGGCCGCCACGCGCACCCTGGTTCTCGTTCTTGATGGGGAAGCAGAGGATGTTGCGCGTGCGGAAGCCGGTGCTGTCGTCCACGCCGCGGTAGAAAAGCGGATGGGCATATGCGTCAGGGATGTTCAGGATCTGGCCCGTGGTCGCCACGTGTCCCGCGATGCCCTGATCGGCCGGGATGCGGATCTCATAGCTCTGCCGGAGCAGAGATGGAGTCGAGAGGAAGAAGTTAGTGACCCGGCCACAGAGGGGACTGTTAAACCTCGGGCCGCTCCCCAGCGCCGCCGGCGGACTCCCGGACACCCCTAGGGCCACATACTCCCTCCACACCCTCTCACCTCATCATCCACCACGCCCCCGTCGAACACCTTGGCCACCAGCTCATTCTGATCCAGCAGGAACACAGAGCAGCTGTGGAGGGAGGGGTTTGGTCCTCTGGGGCCTGACAACCCCCTCTGATCGCCCTCACGTCCCATAAGGAGGCAAAGGCCGGATTTCCGAGGCCTGGGAGGAGTGCTCCAAGGTAAGACACTCTGCTCAGGGCTGGCTGGCTCCAGAAACGTGTCCATTCAAGTGTTTTGTTTTTTTTTTTTTTTGGAAGCACCTACTATGTGCCAGGCACTGTGATAGGAGCTGAGGATCCAAAGCCAGCCCTGTCCCTGCTGTATTGGAGCCTACAGTCTAGCGAGGGAGACAGGCATGAAATAAAGGATCCCTCAAAAGGTGATGAAGTCCCGCAGAAGGCAGAGAAAGGGAAGTGGGTGGGGCAGGAAAGGAGATGATGGGGACTGAAGGCCACAGCCTCTCTCGCCCTGTCCCCTGGGTAGAGTCACTCACATCTCTGCGTTGCTGAGGTTTCTGGCCTCCGTGATGATCTCCTGGAGCAGGACAGAGACGTCATCTGGGGAAGGGAGAAGACCAGGCAGGGTGAGACCAGGCTGCCAAGACCTCCCGCCTCTCCTCTGCAAATGCCAGCCCCCATGCCCACACACAGCCAGGCAGAGAGAACAGTGCACTCACCCAGGTGGGTGAAGAGGTTCTTTGCCACTTGGAGAAGAGCCTGGAATGAAGGAAATGGAGATCATAGGGGGGTCGGGGTGTAGGGGTCACCCTATCCAACCTCCTGCCTCCAACAGCACCCGGGTCTTCTCCTTCCTTCCCTAGGGCTCACTGGACAAGCCAGAAACTGTCAGTGTCTAATTATATCATTTGGCTACTAAGTGAAGGAGTGAGGGAATAGCCCCGGTGCAGGTGAGGAGTCTCCTGAGTGTCTCAGCCGCCTTCACGCCAGCTCTAGCTGCCTAGGTGTTGCTGTAGTGCCCAAATTGAACACTAGAGGGCGATCACATACAGTGCCTGCGGGCAGTGGCGCGGGTCCTGAACAACTGCAAGCCTTCAAGTTATGAGGTTATGGAGCCACCTGGGGAAGGGCTGCCACCAGTCCAGAAAGACATGGGCATTTCCCTTCTGAATGGCTCTCGGGGCTGAAAACTGAGCGAGTCGGTGCCCGAGAGAGGCTGAAGGCAGGTCACTCACCTGGCACTCACACTTGAGTTTCTGTTCCTTCTGGAAGGCCAGGGTGCTGGTGAGCACGGTGCTGGTGTAGTGGAAGCAGTGCTGGATCACATGCTCGTCCTCGTCGGTGAACCTGGAGGAGGGGGTGGGCTCACTCAGGAGGGAAGGGAAGACTGGCTTCTCTCCCCACTCTCCTTACTTCTGTTCCATCAGAAGCCCACAGGGGTACCCACCTGCCAACTATATAACCACTGCACAGGCCCTTGGAACAGCTTCCCACCCCCATGACCCTGCAGACTGGGGGCTGCCCAAGGGGAGGGCTCCAGTCCTCCTTAGATGCTTGAAACCAGAGCCATACCTCCCGTCTCTGATTTGGGATTTACCCAGCCCAAAGCTGGGTCTCCTCCCTCAGACTAGAGATTGCCTGGGCTCAAGCTGGTGTTCTGCTCTTCCCCAGGCACACCTCCAGCCTTGGGGAGGGGCGGTGGCACTGCCCTATCTTGTGCAGCTCCTGTCACTACCCCACTCTCCCTGGACTCCGCTGGCCCTGATTCGGTGCCTCCAGAAATCTTAGGGTGGTGGTGTGGAGAGGACTGCTTGCCCTGCTCATGGAGCTAGCTCTGGTGAGACAAGATAAGCCCCAAATCCTGCTCACGTCATTCAATCTGGCCACCAAATGATTTGTCACTGGGGAGCTGCATGGGGCTGGGTGGACCAATGGTGTGGGTCATGGGAAGAGCCTGCCTTAGCCCACATCACGCTGCCCTGAGGTGTCCCTGCCTAAGCCCTTCCCCACTTTTTGGCTGGCCTTGGTGCTCCACCCTGGTGGGGCATCCCCCATTCATGCTTGCCATCCAGTGATTCGGATCTAGATCCCATCCCCACCATCCTGGGTCTGTCTGCACACCTTTCTTACATTTGTGGTCCCTCAGCTAGCCCCACCCACCTGTCACCCCTCAACCCAGAACATCTCTCAGCTTCAGCCACACAAAGATCCTCATCATTCTGAGAAAACCTTGGGCTCTTTCACACCTTCATGCTTTTTTTTCTACACTGTTCCCTCGGCCTAGAATACCCTTCTCACTCTCTTCCCTCTATGCCCTGAAAATGAGCTTCGAGTCTTATGAAATGGGGCCATGACTATATCACCCATGCCCAGTGCAGAGCCTGGTACAGAGGAAACACTTCGGAGGTCTTTGCTAATGTCGTCAGTGTATCCTATCCCTGGCCTTGCCACCAGCCCCATCCCACTCACAGCTGAAGGGCTTCTGGAGCCCCTGTTCTCTGGCTACTTAGCTGTGTTTCAGGAAGCTTCTCTGTAGTCACTGCACTGAGCTGAGCCCCACCCTGGCTCATGCAGTCATTCAACACTCACTCCCTGAAATGCGTGGGACACAGAGATAGCCCTGCCCCTGCCCTGGGCCTCAAAGCTGCCACCAAGGCCCCATCCTTATTTCCTGCTGATACCACCTCTTCTCCAGCTCTGGGGCCATCCTAGAACCCAATCTCACAGCCAGCAGCAAGAAGTCATGGCCCCTGCTGGACCCCCATTCACTCTACCTTCCCTTCCCCAAAGGCCTTCCCAAGGCCATCTGGTCAGCACTGGGATGGCAACATTAAGTGCTCAATATTTGTTTGCTGAATGGCATAAATTCTCCCACCATTAGGATGCCCACAAGTTCCAAATGCCACCAATCCCACATTCTCCCTGCCTCAGCTGATTCTGCCTTGCCCCTATCTTTGTTTCTCCAGGCCCACCCAACTGTCAACACAGTTCCATGCTGGTAGGTTCTGCAGCTCAGACCTAGGACTCCTGGATCTCCACCCTACCCCAGCAGACCTCAGGCCCGGGCTCTGACACCTACCTAGTCCCAGGCTCTCTAGTGTCCACCTCCTGCAGGAGCTCCAGGCCCTGAAACCCAGCCTGTTTGCTTGGACTCCAGAGACCAGCATCCTATCAGCATCTCTTTGCATCAGGACTCAGCCCCTCATCTGTCTACTTCTCCCCACCTATGTGACACAGCACAAACTGCTCATCCTGCCAGCCCAAGTGTGAACCTGCACCCAGGACAGAAATGGCTCATCAGACGCAGCACTGTTTCTCCCTGAACTAAGATCCATTTGCAATAAAATTCAGGCACCTACTGCCTGTTTATGAGTTGGTGTAGGATATGAAATTTATTTATGACACCATTTCTAGACCCCAGGTTTGTCCTCAGTTCTCGAGATATCCTTTCCAACTAAGCCTCCAAGCCTGCTTTCCTGTCCACTGTGCCCTGCCCACAAAAAAAGAGATTTTTGTGTATCATTTTTATAGCTGCCCTGTCAGGGGCTCAAAAGATCCACAGCTTTTCCCAGTCCCCAAGCATATTCCCTTTAGCCACTGTCCACTGTGTTGATGATGCTTTGTGGGTCCCAGAGGGTTCATCCAACCCAGAGCACACCCACCCCTCCATCTAGCAGTTTATAGCAGTAATGCAAAAACAGGGATGGCAAGGGAGGGAACCCAATACCCCAAGAGCAGATTACCCAAACTTCAGGAAGCAGGAGAAGAGAAGAGGAACTAGCTTGGACCTCAACATGACTTTCATTCTCTTGCACTAACACACTGTTCAACCCACTGCTGCTGAGACAGTAGCCCCTGCCCAGTACCCATCCCACATTGTTACCCTCGTGGAGCCCTAGCCAGCCTCTCAGTGACATCTCCTGATCTGCATCATCCCACAAAGACTCACAAGTCTCCTTCTAGCTTGTTGAAGGCGCAGGCCAAGGCCACCACCTGGTCAGTGGCCCGGCTGATGACAGGGACACAGAGCATGGCCTGCAGCTCACAGCCCAACATGCTCTGCAGCTGTTGTACATCCTCCTGCAAAGGCGAGGCAAGTCAGGGCAGGGAAGCAGGGCGCAGTATGCTTCCCTCCTCCAGCCCTCCATCACATTTTGCAACAGGCAGTTCTAAGGGACTCATGCAAGGCTGGAAGCTCTGTGTCATGGAGATGGGACAGTAGAAAGTCCCCAGGTCTTATCTGCCCCATTCCTAGGCTGCTCTGTAACAGAGACCCTGGCTCTAGGGGCTGGCAGTGGGGTCTCCTCTTTCCCCTCTGGGTCAGCCAGGCCATGACTTACGGAGGTGAGGTCCTTCAGCTGGATGGACTTCTTGTCTTCCACCACCTGGCCCAGGCATCCTGTCAACTAGGGGGTGAGGAGAGACTGAGTCAGGGCCCAGTACTCCCCAGGTCAGGGGATCTCAACCTGTCCCCACCCTCAAATCTGGAAGTTTCAAAGAACCCTTCAGTCAGTCCAAATGGTGGACAGGGTCAGCATTGATGAGCAGAGATGGAGGGGAGTCTGGCAGAATTCGCTATAAAGGACTCTAGAGTCTTCCCTAACTACGAGAGAGATAAGCAGACTCCAAGGATTCTCGTCAACAGATTCTAGCAGATCCATATCCAGAAATACTCCAACAGAAGTGAACAGGTCCCAGGTAAGCCTTTCTGTAGATGCTAAGAGATTCTTCCTAATAGAGCCTGCTGATCACAGGTTGTGATCCCTGCAGCATTTCTAAGTAGTCCCAAGATCCAGATAATTCCATCGGATTCCAAGAGTCTAGAAGATCCAAATACTCCAGGCAGATCCCAGGAGTGTCTACCCGGCCTCAACCGCCCCTGCAGACTCCAACGAGAAGACAGACGCGGGACTCACGGGAAAGCTGACCTCTTCCCCGAGCACTTTGTCTCCGATGACCTGAGGAACGGAGTGCAGGGGGCTGGTTAAAGGAAAGGCAATGGATTTCCCCCTCGGAGACCCGAGTTCCTCGCCCAGCCCCGCCCCCGCTCTACAGTGGACCTGGGCCCTCACCTTGCAAGAAAGCTGGAGATTGTCCTCCGACACCAGCAGGAGGCAGCAGCGGGATGCCCGGGTCTCCTGCTGCAGCTGAGAGAGGGACAGGCAGGGCGAGGGGGTGACCGCGGATCCGGGTCACCCCACTCCCCACCTGCTCCCCTCTCCGGGGCTCTTCAGGCGGGTGGAGGAGAGAGGAAGGAAGGACATCGTAATTGGAACTGAGATGGAGGGCTCAAGGGGAAGTTGGTCCCCGGAGGGAGACAGGACGGGGAGGTGGCCGGCAGGGGCGCAGGGACTCACGTATTGGAGCACTTTGAGCTGCAGGGAAGAGGCATCCAGGTCGTAGAGTTCCCCTGCAAGGGCCAGGCGCCGGTCAGAGAGAGGGCCCCTCCGCACCTCCGTGTCCGGGTCCCTCAGGCGCCGCTCAGCTCCGCGCCGGGCCCGCCGCCGGCTCCCGGGATCGCCTAACCCGCCCACCTCCCCTCCAAGTTCTGCCCGGCCCCGCCCTCGTGACCTGTCCAGGCCGGGCCCTCACCGCACAGTTGGAGGATCTTGCGGTCGCGGTCGGTGTACGCCGCCCCGCCCTTCTGGTCTTCCGCCGTCCCCTCCGGGGGGTTCTGGACGGCTCGGGGAGCCTCCCTGGGCCCGCGCTGCTGCAGGACCTGCACCCTCCGCAGGGCGACCAGGGTCTGGGGCAGGCCGAGCGGTTAGCGCGCCGCTCGCCCCAAGCTCGCTGCGCTTGCTGCAGCGGGATTCCTGCCTTTGCTCCCGCCGTTCCCTCTGCCTGCCGGGCCCAGGGACCCCGCCGCCGTCCCAAACACCTCATCCCTGGACTCTACCTTCCTGAGGGCTCCCCCGGGGGCTCCCACAGCCCCTGGAGCGTCCGGCGGTCCAGGAACAGGAGGGTACAGGGTCTATCTCCATCCCTAGCCCCTAGATTCTTCCAAGACAAGATGTCAGATTTCTGTCTCCAGCCCCCTCAGGAAGTCGTAAGTCCTTGTTAAAGTCACAAAATCATAAAGTCTCAGGCATGAAAGAGCCTCAGTATCATTATGTGGAGGGTTCTTTCTAAGTACAGATGCTCCTGGACTTAGGATAGGGTTGCTTCCCCATAAATCCATCAAAAAGTCGAAAATTGTAAGTTGGCAACCGTGTGTATTTACAAGATATTTGACCAGTTTTGTTTCACCACTGCCCTAGGTCAGTCGGTGCTATCATTATCCCCATTTTCAGGTGTGAAACTGAGGCCCAGAGACGTTTAGTGACTTGCTCAAGGTCACACAGCTCAAAAGCAGCAAAGCCGAAGCTGAAACCCAGGTCTGTCCAGCTCCCTGGCCAGGCCATCTTCCCACCAGCTGTGATAAGGGTCTTCAGCCTCATTGCACATGGCCCCACTCCCACTCACATGCTTCTCCACCGCCTGCAGGCTCCATTCCTCATTATCACTCAGCTGGCCACAGTGCACCTGGAGGGATGGGAGAAGGGAACTAGCTGTGACCTCTCTCAGTGTCTGTCTCTGCCAGAGTGCCCTCCCCATGCGCAGCACACACTGGTCCCCACCAACACATACACACTCCAGTCTGTGGGCCTCAGTGATAACCCCATCTTTCTGACCACTCAGACAGCTCCAGGAAAATCCCTCCTGTAGGAAGTCTCCTAGGACTAACCTAAGGACGTGAAACTTTTTTGTCTCTGCCTTTTCAATCACTGTCTCATCAAGAGCACAGTCCGGGTGTATGGTTCAGGGGATGGAGGGACCTTAGACCCCTTTTTAGCTCACAGATTATGGAGCGCTGCAGGTCCTGATTTTAGAATTGGTGGTATTAGCCTCAGCCTCCCGGCTCTATCCTGTCTGAGTTAGGGTTTGAGCTGCCCCTAAGTCTTGGATAAAGGAATGGGCTCAGTATGATGCACCTGCCATGGTGAGGATGGACGGGTGAATGAATAAATGGATAAATGGGTTCGTGAAGTGCTTTGCCTTACATGTGATTCTCACCACTGTGATGCAAGCCTCCACCTGGCAGGCAAGCCATGGCCAGAAAAGTGGAGTGACTTGCCCAAAATCACATAGCAGAAAGTGGCAGAGTGAAGACAGCACCACCCACTCCCTCCCGTTCTCTGCCCACACCTTCCCCCCTCTAGATCCACTCTCTCCACCACCCCCATCATCCTGTCCCTCTCCAAGCTCCCTGTGCCAGTCACCAGGGAACTCAGCCCATCTTTCATACTCTGTGAAGTCCCTTCCCCCACTCCTACTTGGGTGCTTGTCGAGGAAAATGAGAGACGGTGGGGAGGGAGGGTGGCAGCCTAGGGACCCACTACAGGCCCTGCCAGCAAGGCTCCCCACCTGCGTCACTAGCTTCCGGAGCTTACTCAAAGCTGCTCACCACCTGCAGAGCTCCCCACAGCGCCTGCACTGGGGGCTCCTCCTTCCTCCTCCCTCCCCAGTCAGCAGCCAATGCCTGCCTCAGCTCTGGGTCTCCTGCCAGGAGCAGATGGGGAGGAGGAGACCAGCAGGTTCTCGGGAAGCTCACAGTCTGTCTGGGGTGGGACGAGTGGGGAGACATGACTGGGAGGAGGTGTGGAGCCTCATACCTGAGGAAGGAGAGAGAAAACTAGGTGGGTAGCTCAGAGGGGAGGACATTTGGAAGGCTTCCTGAATTGGCATGGGGAGGACAAGTAGACCTTGAAGAGACCAGGACACTGGCGGTAGGTGGTGCGGGGAGATGAGGATCCAGGTAGGGGTGTGGTCCATGGTACCACAGAAGGAAGGGCCTTGAGTGCCAGGCTAAGAAGTTAGACTTTAGCCTGAGAGTACTGGGGAGCCATGGCAGACTTTAGCATCTGAGGGCCACTGTCTGTGGGGTGTAGGGTGAATTTGAGGGAGGGAGATTGGAGGCAGGAAGACCTGGAAGAGACCTGGGCTGTCAAGGATGGTGTTTAAACTTAAGCTCTGGATGAGGCTCAATCTGTGACTCCTACAGGACAGCGGGGGCGGGAGGGAGGAGAAGCTGGGGCTATGGTTCATTTGCATATGGCTTATATAAATATGTTGGCATTTTACTGTTAGCACATGGAGGAGGACGTGGTTCTTGTTCCTTCCACCTGGTCCCATCTCTCAAGAATAGAGAAGGCTGGGACCCCTCTAAGGCTGTGGGGGCAACCAGTTCTCGGGCTGCCTTGGCCTACTTGCACCCAGCATGTGCACAAACACACACACCTACACTCTCATGAAGAACGTCAGGCCCTCACACACATGCACTTACACTCAATCTCCCATGGAGGTGGTACACACACACACACACACACGGTGCAGTCACAGACACAAAGACATCCACACACCCACCCTTACAGTGTCCACAGCATCCCCACAGGCACATTCATGCCTGTACACAGGAAATAGTTCACTTACCCAAAAGCCATGCACATGCACCTGGCGCCCCCATACACAAACACACACAATCACCCCCACACACTCATGGCTTTTTGTTCGCCAACAGGAACACACACTTACACCTGCTCTTGCTAATCAGGGCAAGTGTCTGGGACCCAGTGGGAACACTCAACATTGGGCACTGTGGCTGTAAGAGAGGGTTAAAACCCAGCACAGCCCCCAGGTCCCCACCCTAACCAAGTTCAAAATGGTTAATGGCATGAACACCCCATCCCCGTGCAGGGAGCTGGTGTGGCTGGTGCAGCTGGGGGAAGAGTGGGCACAAATCAGGCATCAAATGCCAGAGACCAAGGGCTGCCACTCCTCAAAGGGACTTATTATCCCAGGATTAAGGAACAGAGCCAAAGACTTTCCACACAAAAAATTTGCAATCAAGGTGCTTTGAGCAGTGAGCTGTAAAGGCCCAGAAGTCAGCCACACAGCCCTGCACCTGGCCAGCATATTCCTCAGAGAGCCCTCGCTGATGGCGTCGCCACTGGACCCCAGCATTCCTTTGCAGGACTCCCTCGAGGGGTTTCCTTGCTAGCACTTGCCATCACGTGTGATCCTATCCTTATTTTGCTCACTTGTTTTGCAGTATTTTTGTTATTTTTATTGTCTTTAGAGATGGAGTCGCACTCTATTCTCCAGGCCAGATTCAAACTCCTGAGCTCAAGGAATACTCCCAAGTAGCTGGGGTTATGCTCACTTTAGTGCTTCTCACCACCAACCCTCCAGACCATATGGTCTGTGAAGGCAGGGCCTGTCTAATCTGTCTTGGTCACTTCTGTGTTCCCAGCACCTAGCACTCCATGCCTGACATACAGTGGGTACTCAAGAAATAGTTGTTCAACTGATGGATGAGGGGGTGGATGGGTAGGTGGATCAGTGGATGAATACTAAGAGCAGAGACTGAGAGAGGGGAATGGGGCTTGTCCAGGAAGGAGCTGGTGACTCGGCCTTCCCAAAAGATCAACCGACCCTGTGGCTCTCCATCTTCCTTCTGCACCCTCTGCCCTCAGGATCTGGCAGCAGCTGGGAAGTCTGGGGCTGCCTGTGCTACCTCTGGGAGGCAGTGAGATCCTGTGAGCCAGGGTGCATCTGTCAGACATGTATGCCTTGGGGAGGGGGCATCCTAGGGAAGTGCATTTACACATGAGTGGGAAGGTGCAGGCTTAGAGGAGAGGCAGATGTGAATAATCTAAACACCTTTCAAGAGTTCTTCCCTGCCCAGGGTATTTGAGGAGGTGAAGGGACGGTTGTTGAAAACTCCTGGCAGCCAGAGCCCAGCTGGCTAGCATCCTGCTCAACAGCATGCACCCCTACTTCAGCTTCCCCAGGACCACACTCTCCCCTCAGCACACCACCCCTTCCCCCGGCCTCCTTCCTGCCTTGCTCACATTCCTCCTCTGCCTAGAATCCCCTTTCCCTTCTTCCCTGCCTGTGGACCTCCTACCTGTGCCCCAAGGCCCCACACAAATGCTTTCTCTGTGATGAGGTACCACTTGCTGCTCCAGGCTTTGCCACCAGAACACCTGCTGGCAACAGTATTTCATCTGGCCTGTGGTGGGGAGGGTGTCCCTGCCTTCCCCCAGACTGAGAGCTCCCTGAAGGCAGAGTCGGCTCCAGCACCCAGCCTGCCGCAGGACCAGACCAGAGTTCTACTGGGTGAGTTAAGTGTAAGTGATCTGATCCCACCAGCGTCCCTGAGACACACACACACACACACACACACACACACACATTGGCCTCTGGCCCAGCCTGAGCCAAGGTGAGCAGCGGCCATGGCAAGCATTCCGCCCACAAGGGAAGCAACCTTCCAAATGTCTTCCCCTTACTTCCCTCCTGACCCAGTCCTCATAGCCTCAATCTAAGGAAGTCCTTCTCAGGCACCTGGCACCCCAGGCCCTTTGCCCTCAGCAGAGAAGGAGGTGCGTGACCCAGCCACCACCTCCCAATCCCCACCTCTGCACACAGCCCCTCACCTCAGTGCCCCTCAAAGCTGACCAGCCCTGGGGCAGACCAAGAGCAAAGAATAGGGGGAGGCGACCCCCTGAGAACTCCGTGCAACAGCAGCTCCGTTCCAGAAACCGGGGGTGGGGGGAGCAGCTTGCGGAGAAACCAAGCAGCGGCCTTGGCTCCCTCAGTCAGGAAGATGGGTGCAGAGGAGACCCAGCCAAGTACCCCTCCTCCCCTCCCCCCTCTCCTCCCCTCTCAGCCATCCCTGACTCCCACTGCCCTCTCCTGCCAGCAGCTCAGAAAGGTCAGGCGCCTGGGAAGCGTTTAATTCCATTTTAATGAGCTGGAGAGGAGTCCCCGGGGAACCAACACCTGCTCATTTATCTGTCCATGCCCCCAAGCCTGCCCTTTACTGGAATGGCAGCCCCCTCGACAGAAGCAGACCCCCAATAATAGCAATTTGGGGAACTCATCCTTTGGTTACTAGGATAGAACGAGTTTGAACCCCCACCTCCATACAGGAGAAGAAACGGAAAGAGCGGCAGAATCCCGTCCCCACAGGCTCTGCACTTCCACAATCCCCTCCACGGAGCAGAAACCCTGGGAACTCCTCGAGGGGCTGCAGAGGGAGGCTTGTCTGGGTTCTGGGGCTCTGGCAGAGCATCCACCACTTCCCACTAACACTCCTTCCTCAGCCACTCCAGAAAGCCCCCCTAGCTGCCTGTCTTCCGCCCAGCCTCAGCCCTGGGTCTGGCTGGCCTGACCATGGCCTTTCTCTCCTCAAGGCCCCCAGCTCCAGCCACTCCAAATCTCTGGCTAGTTTTCCACACTATCTCTATTGGTCAGGCCCTTATGTCCATCTGTCCCTCCGCAGCATCTCTCTTCACACCTCACTTGGTTCATGCCCTCCTGGACATTATCCCCACCCCATCTGGAGGATCCCAAAGAGAAACCAAGGTTAGTGCTGCGTACGCCAAAGGCTGGGCCTTCTAACCTTATGGGGGCTGAGAGTCCAGCAGGGGCTTGCACACCCCTCAGAAAGCTGCTGACTGGGCCAATGGCTTCATCCTACCTATTCGAGGTGGGGCAGAAGGCTGGGGTGTGGGAGATGCCCCAACTCCTCCCACCCCCACACCCCCATTTCCCCTCACTCCATCCTCGCTTATGGCTCCCATCTCTCTCTCTCTCTCTCTCTCTCTCTCACACACACACACACACACACACACACACACACCCTGGACAGGCTCCATCCACCACTCCCTCCCATGGTCTCCTCTCCCTACATCCCACCGCCTAGGCAGGCTCTTACCAAGATGACAGCTGCCACGGCCCCAGCCTCCTTGTCCGCTAGCGGCATGACCAGCACTGAGGGGGAGAGGGCAATGAGGTGCTCCTGCAGGGCTGGCGAGGCTCAGAGATACCGAGCCGGGACCCAGGTGGGGGAGACAAAGATGCAGACAAAGAGAGGCCAGGACAGAGACACACAGAGACCCCAAAACCCACAGAAACACAGAGGCGGGTCCTGAGGCAGCAACAAAAACAACCACAGCAACAGCCTCTGCATGGAAGGAAACCCCTTCACTCACAACCTTCTTGTGATCCTCCCAGGGTTGCAGGGAGGAAGGCAGGTGAGGCTGAGCACCTCTATTTTACAGATTGGGAAACTGAGGTCTAGAAAGGGGAAGTGACTTGCCCAAGATCACACAGCAAGTCAGGTCTCCTGACTCCCAGTCTTGTGCACTTTCCACATCGAGACAGAGGACAGAGACCTAGAGAGACTGAGACACGAGGCAGAGAGGGACATGGCGGACAGGAGGCATGGAGGAGAAGAAAAAGAGAAATAGGGCCAATGACAGTGACAGAGAGAATGTGAGAACAACTACAGCCCCATCCAGCATCAGGCACAGGCACATCACAACCACAGCCACGGGCCACTGAGCCCTCGCTTGTGCCAGGCCCCTAACATGCATGATCTCACTTGCACCTCCTTGAAACACCCCCTCAAGGTAAATACTATTGTCCCATTTTATAGTCAGGAAGTTGAGGCTCAGAGAATTTAGTAGTACAATAGAGAGAGAATTAGATGGAGGGACTGCTAGAGACACAGAGCAAGAGAAAGAAGGAGACAGAGATGAAGAGGAATAGAAGACACACATGACCTGGAGTGCAGGGGCCACAGTCCCTCCCTGCCCCTGCCCCTGCCCCTGCCCAGCCCCTAGCCCTTACCTTGGGTATCAGGAGCCAGTGGAGCCACCAGCCTGGCCAAGGGCTTCCCTGGCAGGTCTGAGAAGCCCAGCCCATTGCAGCCCAGCCGCTTCTGGGAGATGATAGCCTCCCTGAAAAGAGGACATGATGCCACCTTGAGAGCCCCCGACTCAGGGAGGAACGAGGCCTGGCCTGGGAACACAGGACAGTTTGGACCCTGCACATGTGCAAGGATCTGGGCAAGCTGACCTGCCTCAGGTTGGACACGATGACAGCACAAGTAAAAAAGTAGGGGACCCTGGACCCTATGTGGAGAAACAGGCAGCCACAGTTTGGCCTCTGGTGCCCCTTGCTGGTAAAGGCTCGGGTGGGGCCCAGTGCAGATCTTCCAGGCAGTGGGAGAGCAGAGGAAGTGAATGCAGGGGCTCAAAGCTAGGCTGCCTGCTACAATCTGACCTTAGGCACATGACCTGACCTCTCTGATCTTCCCAAGGAGAACTAGGGTGGAGAGAGAAGAACCCTCCCTGTCACCATCCTCAGAAAACAATTGTTGATCAGCTTTTAGTGCTAAGCACAGGAGGTAATCATCATAACTAAAGTTTATTGGCCATTTCCTATGTCCCGTGCACAGCCCAAGCAACTCACATAGATGAACTCAGAATTCCCAGCAATTCTATGAATTAGATATCTTCATTTTCAGATGGAGAAGCTATGGCACCAAGAGGCTAATTCACTTGCCCAGGGTTACACAGTGAATAAGCGGTAGAGCCAGGATTTGAACCCAGGTAGGTGGCACCAGGGCTAGGTCTAACCACTATGCTGGAACCTTCCCAAATACCTGTGGAGGTGTGAGCTTTGAACAGGGGGCAGGTGTGAGTGGCAGGGTATGACAGTGGCAGAGGGGTGGTGGGAACCAAGGCAGGGGAGGTTGGTATGGGAAGAATGAGTTTCTCTCTGTCCCACCACACAACCCACCTCCTCTACCCCCCAGCCTCTGGCTCATCCCGCTTAATTAAGCACCTGAGTTTGCACCAAATGTCACTCCTTGATGATTAATTGTCCTGGGTTCTTCATCCCTCATGCTGCCTCCACTTAATTGTGCTTGTAGGAACTGCCTGGCCTGGACAGAAGAGAAACTTGGGGAACTGTGTGCATACAGGGTCACTAAGGGAAGCCCAGCAAAGGTCACATGAGGAAAAGGAGGGGGTGGCCTGCAAGTCACGAGATCACTAGGTCAGAGACTCTAGACAAATCGAGGACCAAAGAGGTTGAGCATCTCGTTCAAGCTCACGCAGCATTCTGAACCAAACCCATTCCTTCCTGGCCACTTTAAGTAATCCAGGATCTACAGGAACCGGTGGTGTCTCCCACCTTCCAGCCCCTACACCCAGGACCTTTAAGGTTCCTGAAGTGCTGGGCTCCAGTTCCCGGCTGTCCACATTGCCAGTCACCCCGGGAAGGAGAGGGACGTAGGGTGGCAGGAGGGCAACGGGAGCCACGTTTCCTGATGATTAAACTGATGAAGGCTGAGGCTTCACGGAGGCAGGGGGTGACCCCTGGCCAAACCCTGCCCAGCTCCTTGGCCTCAGACAATCTGGTTAACCGGAGGCCACAAGGTGGCACTGGTCCTTGCGTTGCTGGTCAGTGCGCACTGCAGCCTCATCCTGCCGACTCCCAACTATTTCCCCTCCCACCCCTGGACTGGAGCTGCTTGGCCTCTCTTTCCCAGGACCCTGATGAAGGAATCTGTCCTCAGCCTTTCTTCTCTTTTGCACAAAACCCCTCCTCTGTGCTCACGGCCTCATGACTCTCCAGCCCTCACTCATGAGCTCCAGACCCCAGATACCCAAAGGCCACCTGGAGCCTCCCCACCACGTCCCTGAGGTGGCCCAGGGACCCCCATACCATCTGAATTATTATCTCCACTCCCTCCACCTCACAACAAAGCAGCACAACCATCCACCAGGTCCTTCACGGCTTGTCCAAAAACCTGCCTTCTTTCCTCACCTCCCCCATCCGATCAGTGAGTCACCTCCCAGTTGTCTCTCACAACTGTCCTCTGCTCTCTATGCCCAAGCCACTGCCCAGCTCACATGGAGACACCTTTTCCCTGAACCCTGAAGCAGCCTCTCCCCAAGCCTCTAGCCTCCTAGCTGGGTCTCTTCAATCCATTCTCCATGGCAGAGCAAGAATAAGTGTTCTAGATGAAAAACCTCGGGGAGCATTCTACTTAAAGTCTCTCATTTCACTGGGTCCTTCTGGGTCAGGTTCAGTGCTGAGGGCTGAGATGAGCAGAGGGGTCAGACATATGCCTCACTTGAGGAGGCCAAGAACACGCAGAGATCAACGTACAGACCCACGCTTCAGTCGGGAGATGAGAGCTCTGCCAAAGGCAGGAAGAGCAGGCCCCAGCCCACTCAGGTGCAGGGTGTGATGGAGTCAGAGAAGGCTTCCTGTAGAGGGAGACATCTGAGTTGAGTCCTAAAGGACAGGCAGAGGTTATCGAGGCAGACAGGAAAGGATGTCCAGGGAATTGCAATTGTGAAGGCTTGGAGGCGAGAAGATTGTGTGCCTGCTGAAAGGTATGGCCACAAGGAGGTTGGTGTGACTGGACAGCCGAGAGCAAGGCTAGACAGGGGCCAGGGCCCTATGGAGCTGGGCTTGAGCCTGAGGGCAGGGGGTGCCCTGGGAGGGATTTGAGCAGGGACGGTAATGGTCAGGTATGATTTCAGAACGATCATGCTGCCTGGGTAAAACTCTCCACATAAGGAGACTGTGACACTGGAAACCTGGTCTCAGTGAGGGTCCTATCATCTTAGTGGCCCTGGACAAGACAGAGGCTGAGCTGGGATAGACCAATCTTGATAAGCCGAGATGCCCCCAAGCACTGGGGCTTCCAAGGACCCTCAATTCTTAGGCAGCCTCGGCACCTTGCTCTGCAGCCTGCCCTCCCCCGGCTTTGCGGGACCCCATAGCCCACACTCACCTCAACCTACCCCCATGGGAGCCCCTTTCCTCTGCCATAGCCCTCCCAGAACTGCTGTCCTCCTGAAGTCTCCAAAGATGCCCACAGACTGCGAGGGGGAATGTGCCAAGGCTGAGTCTCCCCCACCCACATGGGAGCGGGAGCTTCGTCCACTGCTCAGACCCCCGATAGCTCCTTGCTCAACTCAGAGCCGCTCCCTGCTCCTCTCCAGTTCCTCCCTTACTACTACCCCACCCCCACCCTGCCTTCCAGGCTCATGCTGGGGGTTGTGGGGAACTCCACAACCCAGGGCCAGCTGCCCAGGCGAAGGCTAATGACAGCACTGGGTGCCTGGGTGGTCATGGCCTGCCCCACTGAAGATAAGGACAGATGGGCACAGAGTGGAGAGAGGAACAGGCGTGGACTTTATGGCAGTTCCGTCCCTTTAACAACTATTTGTTTAATGGAAAAAGAATCGAGGGAAAGGTTCTCTGCTGGTAGGGCCAACAGCCTGGAAAGAGCTGGGTCCCCTGCACTTCTCTGAGCCCCTGTGTGTGTCCTTCTCGCGTTCTCTACTTTGGAGAAGCCCCCCTCCAACACCCACTAGGTCCCAGGCATCAGTAAGCAGCCAAGCCTGTTGCTGAGCCCATCCTCCCACGGAACCCCATCCCCCCAGGGAACCCCCACCCTCACTGAGCCCCCCGACTCTCACTAAGTCTCCATCCCCTCACTTAAGTCCCTACCCCCTCACAGAGCCCCTCACTCTCACTGTGCCCCAATCCCCTCACTGGGCCACCCCACTCTCACTGAGCCCTCATATCCTCACTGGGCCCCCATCACCTCACTGAGGCTGCCCACTGTCACTGGGCCCCCATCCCCTCACTAAGCCCCCCACTCTCACTGAGCCCCCAGGACCTGGACCCTCTTCTTGCCCTCCTTCCCCCAGCATGTGAGGATCCCGAGATGGGAGCAGACCGTTCCCGGTGTCCTCTGAGACAACCCCTAGGGATGGTCAGATTCTGCAATGAAAGAAGACCTGGTCAGCTTAGGGGAAGAAATTTCTTAGGGATGGGCCCTGGGGACCCCAAAATGGTAGCAGAGGGAGACAGCCAGCCTGGGCCGAGGTGGGCGGTGGGTGCTTCAGTTGCAGCTGAAAGGCCTGAGATTTTTGCTGCACTCAGCATCAGGTAATCAGAGGCTTTAAGATAGCAGGAGACACAAGAAGAGGAAGGCGGCAGAGCTGGGGCCTGAAACAGTCTGGGAGATGGAGGTGGGGCACCAACAAGAGGGAAGTGAAGCCTCCTTTCAGGAAGACCCTGGCCCAGGCAGCCTTCCAGGATTCTCTCCTCTCCAGCCCCAAGGTCGTTTGCAGCCCTTACAATTCAGAGCCTCACCAGCCCTCAATATCAGAATGTTCAGCGTATCATTTTACAGAAGGGCATATGGAGGCCCAGGAAGAGGGCATCGGATTGTGATTGCAGCCATGTTGTCCTGGATCCCAGGTCTCTGACTCCCAGCCCAAGGTTCTTCCTGTGGAAGAACCCTAAGGGAGGCCAATATGGCCCAGACCCCTTTTCTGAAACTTGGTTCCTTCTCAGTGTCAGGGAACTGTGGAGCAGGCTTCCCCAAGACAGCTTCTGGTCAGGCCATGAAAGATAATTACAATGGGATTGGCTGAGATGAAAGTGGAGCAGGGACGGTCTTTGCAAGGGAGCAAGCAGCCCTTACAAGCACAAGAAGACAGGAAAGCCAAACACACTGGGGGGATGCAGCTGGGCATCTGAGAGCCCAAACAGCGGCAGGAACAGGGACAGGTGGGGCTGGGAGCTGGCGGGGGCCTCCTCACTCCCGCCTTGACCCTTTTCCACCCTGTCTCTCCCCACACTGCCCTGATCCCATTCCCTGCCCATTGCCTCGGGCCTCCTTATCTGTCTCTATGATCCAGCCTCCACGCCACACCTGCTGCTGTTTGCCCACAGTCCAGGGTTTCCTGGAGTAGCACCCTCCCCACACCCCCACCTCCTCGGGCACTGCTAGAGCCTCAGGCTCCACGGCAGCCTGTAGGTCAGTCCCTCTCCCTCCTGGGGGGACCAGAGCCACAAAGGTCACCATCGGAAGGACCCTGTACCCAACCCCACCCATTTCACAGAAAAAAGGCCAGAAGAGAAGTCGTTTTCTCAAGGTCACTCAAGGCTAATCATTGGTTGGGACTTGGGAGTGCAAGTAGCAATCACTGAGCTCCTACTGTGTGCTGGGCACTGTGCCAAGCACTTGGCCCCTGTTACCCCATTAAGCCAATAGACCGGGCCTCAGGTAGGAAAGCAGAGAGACAGGGAGGGGGCTGAGCTAGAATCCAGACCTGTCTGAATCCCATTCCAGTGCTCTTCCCTCGTCCATACACCTGGGTCTCAAGTCCCCATCCTGCTGGGAGCTCCTGAGAGCAGGGCCCAGCCAACCCTGGGGCCTCTCCGCCCTAACTGTGGAGATGGGCTCACCACCAGACACCAGGCACAAAGGTGGGCAAGCAGAGCTCAGATACCAGAGAGAGCACTGGGCCTGGGCCTTCCCCCAATCCTTTTTCAGGTAGCAGCTGAGCCTGGCAAGCCACTCACCTTTCACAGGGGCCATGGAAAGAATTCCTGTTTGGGGATGATGACGGGTGTGTCCTGATGATGGGTATGTCCCCTGGGAGGTCCTTGCTGTCCTCACTCTCTTGCCTTCTCATCCCCTGGCCCTCCTCCTGGAATCTTCAGCCCCTGTCTACCAGCAGGCACTCACCTCCCCATCTCCACTGAGCTCTGGGATAATTGGATTTGAATATTCACTTTTAATTGCTTTTTTTTTTGGTATTTTTTCCAAAGGCCTTACTGAGTCTGAAGTGGTTGGAAGGAGGATGTTGAAAGGGCAGCTGATGCCAAGGATCTGAGCCCTCTCAAAAATGCCTGGACCGCAGATACGCACCCACTCTACATGCCCAGACAGCTGAGGGGAGCATGTGTGGGTCCTAGGGAGTGAAGCAAACCTGCAGGCTGCTCCCCGCTGCCTCCTGAGCCTGTTTTCCTGCATCCCTCCCAGGAAGGCCTCCCAGGCTGCTCCGAGGAGCCTTCCTGGAGGAGTGGAGCTTATATGAAGCAAAGTTCTTTAGAATTAGAGGTGGGGGATGCTGGAGGAGAGCGAAGTTCTTTGGAATTAGAGGAGAAAGGGGGACATGACCACATTTTTCCCCTTAAGGTTCTAAAGACCTTTCAGACCATCCTCTTACAGACGGGACACAAAGGCTAGAGAGAGGTGGTAATGGCTTTGTTCCCATGCTCCTTGACGGAGAAGTTGTTAGGGGAAGGTGAAAGGAGCTCAGTGGGAGAATAGGAAATGGGAAGGTGGCTATCAGAGCAGAACCAACTCCTTCCACGGGAAAGGGCTGAGGAGAGACCAGCATCCTAGAAACCAGGGTTTCCAGCACAAGGAGGGGCCTCAGGACCATGAGTCCAGCATCCTCAAACAGGAATTCTTTCCATGGTCCCTGTGAAAGGTGAGTGGCTTGCCAGGCTCAGCTGCTACCTGAAAAAGCCACATCCCTGGACCACCTGGCCTGCTGGAAAAGCCCTCCTCACAGGGGTAGAGAGCTGCCTTCTTGGGACATCCCCACTGGTGCCCACTCTGCCCTCAGCTCCTGCCCAGTGCTCCCTGGGCCCCACAATGGCCCTGCATTCAGTGCTTAGCAGGCAATGGCCACATCCTTCAGAGCCTGCCTCCTCCCAGCAGCATGCCTGCCCCCAAGGTTTTCTCATCTGATGAGTTCCACTTCCTCTCACTTTCCCCTAAACAGCCAGGAGTCAGAAGACCCGAGTCCTAGGCCTGGCTCTGCCTCATACCTGGCATGTGGCCTTGGTCATGTCTCATGATATCCACCCATCTGGAAGATGAGGAGGCTGAATTAAATGGGCATCAAGGTATCAGGGGGCCAAGTGCCCTGATCCCATGATCCTGAAGTCAGTGATTCCAGCATTCTCTCACAATGGTAATCCCCAACAGACAGCCCTCACCATGGATCAGGCCTGATTTAAATGCTTTACATGTGTGACACATTTAATCCTCCCCACAATCCTATAAGCACCATTATTATCACCATTTCATAAACAAAACTGAGGCACAGAGAGGTTGTGTCATTTGCCCAAGGTTACACAGCTAGTAAACAGGGAGCTGAGATTTGAACCCAGGCAGTGGGGCTCCAGAACCCTCAGCAGGACGCTGCCTGTGATCTCCCTGTTCTCAGATGCAAGGAGTTGGCACTGTGAGCTCCTGCAGGCCCAGCATGCTGGGATTCCAGGTCCAGCCTCGCAGTAGTTCTCACAGCATGCCGGTGTTCTAACTGATACACCCCATAGCCCCAATGTTCTGAGACTCTGCTCTGAGGAGGCTGCAGCCATTTAGAAGCAATTAGAAGGAGAAAATTTACCATCAATTGGTATTTTCTCTGTGCCTATCCATTTCCCCAAGGAAGAGAAGACATTGCTTCTGCCCTTCTGTGCTGGAGTCAGCAACCTGGCCAAGGAATCCCACCTGGCAGGGAGGCGGGGATCAATGTTGGAAGGGGAGGGTCAGACCAGATGACCTTGGATGGTGCCTCAGCCCTGAGAATCCTTGGCCATGCAAGAGGGCAATGGGGGTGCAGAGAATGGCTCACCGGACTTTCCCCTCCTGGGGCAGCTCATGTGGGGGGTCCTCACACACCAGCTGGGACTCACCATCCAGTAGGTAGGTGTAGACAGTTTCCTAGGACAGAAGGCACTTATGAGACCCTGTGGAGAGGCCCTCCCAGCTGCCCAGTCCCAGCCTGTACACAGGGGTCTGTGGGGCAAGGTCATGGAACCTGTGGGAGTGGAGCTCTGGCAATGATCTGTTTGTTTTTCTCTCCAGGTGATTCTAAGATGCAGCCAGGGCAGCAAAACACCCGGTGAACTAAGCACCTCGTCCTCTCCTCTTGGACGGAATTCTAAGCAGGCAATGATTCATGAACCTATGACCTTTTTTACCACCCAAAACCCAATGTGCCAGGTAAAGAGTTTCAAGGACTGAGGGTGCAGACAAATCACCTCCCACCTGGGATATTTCCCTGCCTGACTCCAGCCTCAGGCATTCAGCAAACAATAACTGAGCATCCACTCTGAGCTGTACCAGGGATGGGGCTCAGAATGTTCTAGGAAGCATCCCTCCTTCACCTCTACAAGAAACCACACACCCATAACCCCAGCCAGGGGAGGAACACAGAGCAGGGCACTGCGCCATCCTCCGGTGGGGCTGGAGAGGGCTTCCTGGAGGAAGTGACCTTTCAGCTGTCACTGAGTGGGAATTAGACACATTCAGGGAGTGGGCAGGGTGCAGAATGGGCTCCCAGGCCTTATAGCAGGTACACAGGTAGGTCCAGAGGCGTATAAAGCATGGAGCATTTAGGAACAGACAGTGAGGGAAGGGGCACAGGGGCTGGGCCCAAGGTCAGTAGGGCTGAGTGGGATGGGCTTACGAACAGAACTGGGGCAGGGCAGGACGTGCACAGGGAGACGTGAGCAGATTTGTATTTTGGACCGATTACTCCTCAGAGGGAGATCAAAGCTCTTGCTCTTTAATCCTCCCTCCCCAAGGGCCCAGAGCAGCTCTGGCCTCAGTTCCAGGCCATGTCTTGGCAGAAGTAGTTGCCCTCACTGACCTACAGGCAAAAATCCACATTCCTTCCAAGCAGAACTGGCAACCCTTCGGGATCCCTGACCAACCCCCATGCAACGCAGCCTTGTCCACAACTCTGCTGTTTTCTCCGCAGGAGGATGGAGAAGGGCTTGCCTCCCAGCTGAGGGTATCCTGGAGGGCTTTGGGAGGAGCTGACAGTGGAGCTACGTGTTGAAGGCCCACCCTCAGTAAGTGTGGAATCCTTCCCAGAAGAAGCAGTTGCCTTCCATGACTCTGAGAGCGTCCACAATCCTGCCAGCCACTCTTCTTGTCATCAGCTGTCGCCAGCCAGCCCCCACCACAGGAGATGCCTGGCCACTACTTCCAGAGACACTGAGCCAGGTTCCGTGGTGGGTGTGGCATGGGGTGGGAATGATAAGGCCTGAAGGGAGTGAGAGGGGCAGACACCCTCTTGTTTGGCTGGAAGGAAACCTAAGTGGGATGTTCAGGGATAAAGAATTCAGTGGGAAGGAGGCCGCCCACTCTTCGGCTATATCTAGCCTCCTTGTCATCCATCTCTTCCAGCAGCCTGGGAGGGGCCTGAGTTATTTGGCCCAAAGAGGTTAAGAGACCAGCCGGGGTTACACAGAAAGTCCTGCCCAGGCAGAGGGAGGGGTGGGTAGTCCATGGGGGCAGAGGGGGACAGATTCTCGCTTCACTTCCGCATGTCCGTATGTCTCCCACCCCCTTACTCTCAGCCCTCTGGGTTAAAATTAGCTGAGTCTATTGGAGAGAAGGAGGGAACCATTTCAGACACATCAGCACCATCTGCATTCGGGGCTGCCTGCCACAATGGGTGCTGATGAGGAAGCCAGGTGCCAGCAGCTCTCCTCCCTGGGCGGGGGTCCCCTCCCCATCTCTGCTTCCCTCCCTGGGGGCAGCAGAGCAGACCTCAGCTCCCTTACCTCACTGGGGGCTGAGCCCCTCCGTGCAATCAAGCCAGGACTCCCGAAAGTCAGGGCTTCCCTAGCTCCTATAGGGCTCTTGGGTGGGCCAGGGCTGACATTTCCCACTGTCCCAGGAACCTGGACCACAGCTGTCATCCCAGCCCCCAGCTTTGGGGAGACAATTAATCTGTTGCAGAGCATCTAGGCTGGCACAGCCGCCAGGGCACCCTGCCTGTGAAACAGAGCCAGTCACTTCCTCCTCCCACCCTACGGCAGCCTCAGTGGCCACAGAGGCTCTCGGGGCAGCCCTACAGAAACCGACCTGCCAGTTTCCACCACCCTCCCTTTCCAGATGTGCCTTCACCCCAGCCCAGATGTTGCCTTAGTCCCGTCCTTCTCCAGGAGGATTTATTTTTGGGCGCCAACACACCACCCACTTCCTACCAATTTCACACTCAATAAAGCTCACTCATTAGCCCTCCTCCTGGGCTCTGAACTTCTAGGAGGTTTGGGGAAGGCAGAGCTGAGGAGAGGGAATGGGGCTGCTTAGATACCAAGTCCCATTTATCCCTGTCATGCTGTGTGACCTTGGGACAAGTGCCCTCTCTCTCTGGGCCTCCGGTGGTTCATCCATCAAGCAGATTCAGGGACAATGGGCTCTGGAGGGATGGGAAGGTCACATTCTGAGTTGGCCATATTTCCTGGAGCAGAGGCTGCCCTTGGCCGGGTTTAGAGTAGGGAAGAGGACATTCAAGGCTATCAGGACTCAGTTAGGGCATCTCCTCCTCCAGGAAGTCTTCCATGCCCCTTAGGCTGGATCAGACTCCCTTCTCCAGGCTTCAAACGTCCCCTGCTTCCCTCTTTCTGGTGCAACTAACACCCTGCTACTTTGGGCCTCAAGGGCTGGTTTACCCATCCTCCTGCCTAAGGGATGAACAGTGGCCATTGAAGCCAGGTAGGGGAGTGGCCTGGAACAGATGATGAGGGGCACAATCTCCCCAGTAAGGCACTCTGGGCTCAGGCAACCATGATCACCCCAAACCTGCCCCAAACCTGCAACTCATCCATGGTATTGGGATGGGACAGAAAGAAAGCTGCTAAAAGGCTGCTAGAGGCCATTTTTCCAGCCTCCCATCTCCAGGCAGGGCACTTTAACCCAATGCATGTCTATTCATCAAAGCTGAGCCCTATTCTAGTACCTCCCAGACCTGGCTTCCAGGAAGTTCTTCTACATGTCTACCCTCAACTTCTCCTGCTGCATGTATTCCAAAACTCAGCTGGCTCCACCACGTCCTGTTATCCTAGGTGAATCCCTTTCATTATCTGAGACACAGCTTTTCCACTTAACCTCTAAGGCCCCTTCTGGCTCAGCCATTGCAGGATTCCTATGCAAGTTCATTCCTTGATGCTTAGCTTCAGGCTTCCTCCTCCAGAAAGCTGTCTCAGAACACCCATCCAGACCCTTCACTTCCCCATGAAAGTCCTCTGGGCAGGGACCCTGCCTCTTCCTTCCTCCTTGGCCCTGAGTGAGGTACAGCATAGAGCTGGTCAAAGGATTTGGGGGTGGGGTGGGAAGCGTGGGGCAAGGGCGGGCACCTACCACTCGGGGGAGCACAGCTGACAGGGCCTCCTTGACAGCACGTTGCAGGCCTGAAATGTCGATGACAGAGCCCAGACTCAGCAAGGCGTCCTGGAAGAGAGGAGAGGGCAGTGAGAGGCTTTGCCAGGCAGGCCAGGGCAGCCCCATCTGCCCAAAGGACTGTGAGCAAAACCCCCCAGCTTAGTCCAGAGCCCGAGTCTTTCAGGCACAGGAATCCCAGGATCTTAGGATCTCAAAATCAAACAGTCTTAAGGCCACAGAATGTCCAAGTACCCTCATCTTACAGGTGGGGAAACTGAGGCGCAGAGAAGGGCCAGGGACTTAGCAAAGGCCTCATAGTGAGTCAACAGGTCAAGCCTGGCCTAGACCCCAGGTCTCTTGTTCTCTAGTCGAGGACAATTCTGGCACAGTAGGGAAACCACAAGGCTCCAAATTAAAACAAAACAAGCAAACAAAAAAACACCCAAATTTGAATCCTAGCTCCGCTGTGTATGAGCAGTGAGTGTCTTGGTTCAGTCACTGAGCCTCAGTCTCCTATCTGTAAGTTGGAAGCAGCTGGGGCTATTGCCCCCTACAGGCTGACATGAAGATAAAATGAAATTGAGCCCTTAAAAATGAAAATAAAAATCAGAGTCCTAAAAGTGCCTCACAGAATGCCCAACACAGAGTAGATGCTCAGCTGAATATTCGCTGAAGCTGGGTCCCGCTCACTTTCCCCAGAAGGAAGGTGGTCTCACCTAGTCTCATTTTCCAGCCTAGTGAGGGGCTGGGTTGAGAGTAGCAAGAGCCTATGGGGTGCATAACCCATAAGGTGGGAGAACAGCTGGGCCACCCCTGGCAACTATAGGAGGAGAAGGAGACGTCAGCCTTGACTGTCTCACAGCCTTCCCATCCCAGGAACAGAACTCGTCCTTGCAGAGCCGGAACGGAGACAAAAGTCCCTGCTTCTCGCTCTATTAACTTGGCCAGAGCCATGGGGATCAAAGAGAAAGGTAACAGAACAAAGGAAACGAGGGCCAAGGCAAGATCGTGACTCATACCAGCCACCAGCCATGCCCTCCCGCAAGCCCTTGGAAGTCCTTTCAGATGTCTTCCCAGTGGAAGGTTGGGTCTGTGTTCAGAAAGCAAAGTGATTAACTGCAAGATGAAGGAGACATGGCTGGGTCCCCATTCATGTGAACATGATATGAGGTTGAGGGTCTTAAAAGACCACAGTTCAGCATGAGCCCACAGTGTAAGCATGACTGGCAAGAAATAAAAATGCTCAAATTGCAGGCCATATTAATAGAGGTCTGTTAACCCAATTGGGAAGATGACAGTTCCCCCACTTTTATAGTCTAGTTAGACCATCCCCTGTTCATTGTGTCCCAGGGGCTGACAAGATGACACTCATCCAGAGGAGGCGACCTATGAAACGAGGGAATTGGAAACCAAGTTTTGCATGTGACTAAGACTGGATAACCCAGGGATGCCTCATCTAAAGCAGAGGAGACCCAGGGTTATCAGTCTCCAACTCCAATCTCTCAGACCCTCCTAGATGGGGGATCTGAACTCTGTGGCCCCATGGACAGCCTGGGGACCCATAGGATTTCACAGGAGGCTGGCCTTGGTCTAGTGGGCTGAAGGACCTTCTTCCAGGTAGGGCCATGCTACAAAGGCATGCCACAGGTCACCAGGAGAGAGGGAGGAAGTGAGCTTCCCATCCTCAAGGGTGCACAAGAGTGGGCTGAATGCCTATTTGCCAGAAAGTTCCACGCTGGGCTCTCAATGAAGACTTGCATCCAGGCTTCAGCTCCAAATTTCACTCCTGGGTCTTCTTGGCTGCAGTTTCCTCCCCTTCCCCCACCCAATCCAGTGTTCCCAGGAGGAGGGCAGTAGTGGGCCTTCTCCCCAGATGCTTACTCAGCATCGCTTTCCCCAACCCCCAGGCTTCCTTGGTCCCTCCCACTGCTCAAGGATGAAGACACATATCTTGGTCATGGGAAGATGTCTACCCTCAGACATCAGAAGCTACTGATTCCAGACAACACAATACCCAAATTGGATCACTTGTCTTTTGACCCTTAGGCACTCCTCATCACAGCACAGACAACTTCAGCACCACACAGCCACAGATCCCACGTCCTCGCAGACATCCCAGCAGGCCTTCAGACACCATCCATGTGCGCACACACACACACGTTCTCACTGGTACAGTTCCTTAAAGATTCACAGGGCAAGAGCTCGAGTGATACCTGTGCACAATACACGCAGGCTATTATGGCCTTCCAAGGTCAATTCTGAAGACTAAAAAGGGGAGGAAGAGCTGATGCCCCCAGTACTCCCAAGATAAAGTCTTCCAGATGCACGCTCCCCAGACGGGGGCTCTAAAGACAGCACAGAAGGTGGTGTTGGTTTGTGTCTATTCCTTCTTGGAGGCAGAGGAGCCCACAAGCTGACTCCTGAGAGGCCCTGCCCTTGGTGGAGTCTGATGCATGTGATGTGGACTTGGGGAAGAGAGACCCAGGTGACGGAGTGAGCCTGATACAGGGGGAGAAATTCTTCAAAGCCACAGCCTTCAGAGAGCTAAGTCTCCCCATTTGACCGATGAGGAAGCTGAGGTTCAATGAGAAGCAATGATCAACCTGTGGTCAGACAGCCAGTCAGAGCAGAGCCAGGTCCAGAACCCAAACCTCTGGATCTCTAGCCCTGTCTGGTTCCTGCTCAGCACCCGATCCCCAGCTCCCACCCTAGGGTGCTCAGAAAGAACAGTCTGTCCTTTATTCTGATTGGTGGACTCCTCAACCTGCCCTTTGCTTCAATTGGGGAATGCCCTCAACTGTCCTTTACTGGAATTGGTGGGTGCCTGCCTGACCTTTGCTCTGATTGTTCAGTTTTCTGTGACTTTTCAGGCCAAGTGCAGGATAGTAGCAATAAGGAGAGCAGGAAAGGAAAGTTGGGGAGAGTTGGGGCAGCAGCAGGGAAGGGCTTCCCATCTGTGCTAGAGCGGACTGGATGGTAATGTGACTGATGAAGCCCAGGGCTCTTTGTGGGCATCCTTCTGTCAATCCACCTCCTGGTCCTGCCCAGCATGCCCCAGGAATGGAGGGTGTTGGGTGCAGGAACTGCAGCTGGGAAGGGCCACTTCAGATCTGGCACTCAAAGGGGCCTTCAAGGCTTGCTCAAATGCCATCTCCTCCATGAATCTTCCTCAGATCTCAAAGCAACTTCACCCCCATTGCACCAACTCAGGGGAGGAAATAGCTCAAATTGCAAAGCCCATGAGGTGTGGGCTCAGAGGGAAGAGTTGCTGCTTCAGTGAAGGAAGGAGAGAATCAGTGGGGAGCAGCTGCTAATGGGAAGCAGGGAGATTCCTGAATTGGAGGCACAGATGGGGAGCAAGGCTCAAGTCAGGGGGCTTCGATCTTAAAAGGAAGAGGAAAGGAAAAATACAGACACAGCTTTACCTGCTCACATGCCCATCTACACATGCCACACAAATACATATTGCTACGCACTCCTCTACTCATACGTATATGCACAGGCTCTCACACAAACACGCACACAGACAGATCAAAAGGCAATCATATATTCAATGCATATACAAGGTTGCACTTAGACATGCACATCACATCCACACACACACACACACACACACACACACACACACACACACACACAGAACTCAGGCTCGGGATGGGGTGAAGGAGGTCACATTTCCTGCCTTCACAGCTTTTTGGAACAAATATCAGTATAGATATCAGCATAAAAACCAGGCAATTTCCCAGACCACAGAGGAGAACTTGTGGTGTGTAGAAAAGAGCCGCAATTTCCAATCCTGTACCAGACTGACTACAGAAGTTCTGTGTGGCCTTACGCAACACCTTTCCTCTTCTGAGCCTCAGTTTTGTCATTACTAAAAAATGGATCTTTCTAGCTCTGCAGCATATAGTTCTATGGTTTAATTCAATGAGGCTGGATGGATGAGTGGGTAGGTGGATAGATGAATGGGTGCAGGATGGGTTGGGGGAGGGATGGTGGATGGATGGGTGGGTGGATGGTGGGTGGATAGGTAGATGGGTGGCTGGGTGGGTGGGTAGATGGATAGATGGAGCCTTTCTGCTCTCTCCAGCTCCACCTGCAGCTCTGTAGTCCAAGGTAAGGCCAGTCAGCACCACAGACAGCACCATTACCACGGACTTAGCTTTCATTCACCCCAGGTACCAAGAAAGGGGAGCCTGTTCTGAGTCAGGCCTCCTCTGAAGCCAGGGTTGGGGCTCAGCCGTGGGCTAGATCTGCATTTCTGCACTTATCTGGGGAGAGGAGAGGGTCTGGACTAAATTACTTCTAACTCGTTCTTAAAGCCTAAGATTCTATGAAACCAGAGACCTTGGTCTTATCCCCTTTGGAGCCACAAGCACAAGACCAACGCCCTTCCTGAGGGTTGGGGTCGCTGCCATAAGATCTTTCCTGTTTCATCTTCATGAGTCTCTATGCCTTTCCCCATCTCCACAGGTCCTCCTATGGCTCACCCCACTGCCTGGCACTGGCTCCATGCCTCCTTCTCTGGAAGGAAGCCTCACAGTGCCCCTCACACTGGCCTACAGGAAGGCAATAACATCAAACTCAAGAGTCAAGTACCTCCCAAGGTCCGGCTGTGCTCTTGGGACTGTCCGTTCACACTGATTCATGCAACTCTGCTTGTGTTAGGTCCTCTGTGAGGCCCTCCTCTCTCTCTGGGCCTTGGTGTCCCCTTCTGTAAAGGGAAGGGTCCTTCTAGATCCCCCAGGACCTCGGAGCCCTCTCATTCTCTGTCCATCATCCCTTCCCTTCCTTTCGGGTGGACCTCCCTGCCTTCCTCCCTGCCTCCCCCGGCCGACGTCCACCTCTGTCCCAGGCTGCACTCCTGTTCCTCTCCAGGAGTCTTGACGTCTTTTCCCACCTCCGCGTCCTCTCTTCCTCTCATAGCTTCTCCTCCCACTCTCCATCTCTCTCCTGCATACTTCCTGCCCCCACCTACTCCTGTGTCTCCAGCCCACTCCTCCCACAAACCTCCAAATAGTCACCTTGAGAACACTGGGAGAAAGCACCTAACTCAAGAGAAGCGCCCACAGAATGGGAAACCCAGGAAGGCAGCTAGAGGGGAAACAGGGGGTGCCAGGCAAGTGTCATCTACGCCTCTTTTGCTTCCTGCCTCCTGTTCCGGTGGGCAATATACACAGCCTCTTATCTTCCCAGAGGACAGGGCCCTTCAAGAGCACAGGAGAACGTATCGACCTCTGTGCCTAGCATGGGTCTGGCACTAGCAAGCACAGCCGCCCAGTCAGGGTGACTGGCAGAACTGCCCCAAAGGAGGCATCCTGTAGGCTCAGACCAGAGAAGCCCGCTTCAGCTGAGCCTCGGCCCCTGGCCTCAGCCCAGCACCCAAGCTGACTCTATGCCTCCTCGCAGCCTTACAGCACCCCCAGCCTGCAGAGTCAGAGACAAGAAAGCAGAACAAGGCGGTTCCTCCTCCTTCCTCCCCACACACCCACGCCTGCCACCTGGCCAAGGAGACGCCTCTCAAAGACACTGGTGCCTTGGATGTGCAAAGAGGAACTGCCTGTGAGTGCGAAGATCTTGCAGCCCCAGACTTCTCTCAATGAGGCTGAGCTGGATCAGGGTGAGGAGAATAGAGGAAAGAGGCTTGGCAACCCTTGGGAGGCTTAGTCTGAAGGAGGAGGCAAGACAGAGACCCAGAACGCAGCTGAACTAGCCCAACTGTCAGTGTCATGCTTGAGTGAGGCATCAGGCTTTGGGGAGGGGAAGGTACCTTTCCCAAGCACCTCCTGTGGCTAGAGGTTTCCACCAGCCGTTCCCCAATTTTCATGTGCACCAGAACCACCCAGAGTGCTTGTTAAAGTGCAGATTGCTGGCCCCACCCCCAGGGTTTCTGATACAGTAGGTCTGGGACGAGGTCCAAGAACTTGCGTTTCCAAACATTCCTAGATGACACTGATGCTGCTGGTCGGGGGACCACACCTCGAGACCCACTGACACTATCTTGGATCCTCCTACAAGCCCAAGAGGTGCCTGTTTGGGTCATCCCATTGTACAGGTGAAGAGGCTAAGGACTGGAGGGGAGGGGCCTTGCTCAGGTGAGAACAGCCAATGAGGGGACGCCCCAGGGAAGGTCCCAATGGAGGGGAGAGGCTGGGGGTGGAAGGACAGAGGGAGACTAGTGGTGGGGAGATATGGATAACAAGGCAGTATGGACGGGGCCACTCGCAGCGCAGGAGCCCAGTCTTAAAGGAGGGACCTGCCAGAGACCTTTCCTCCTCCCTCTTTCTCTTCCTCCCCTCCCTCCTCTACTTACCCCCTCCCGCTCCATGCCCCCATCCCTCCACCCTCCTGCCCACCCTTCGCAGACTCCGGCTTCAGTTGTTACTCCAACAGGGCCGCGTCTCCAGCCTCCGAGCCACACTGGAGACACGTGCACTGTAGAATACACCTGAGCCAGTCCCAGTGCCTCCCAAGGGTGTCCCCATCCACAGGAGCCTGACCCCACACTGTTGGCTCCTCCCTTCCAGCGCCCACAACCAGCTCCGCCCCGGCCTCTCGCCCTTCCCAAGCCAGTCCCAGCTTCTATTCCAGCTCCTGCCTCCTCCAAAATGACCTCCCGGTTGTCCCCCGCACCCTTGGATCCATCAGGAGCTAGGTTTGGGGGTGGATGAAGGAATGGGAAGAGGGAAAGAGCAGGAGAAGGCAGGCAAGAGTTGCCTGCACGATCAGTTCCCTGAGGGCCTGACTCACTGGAATCACCTCAGTCCCTCACCCAGAGTCTGGAGTCAGGAAAGGAGGGAACAGTCAGAGTGGGTAGAGGGAGGGAGGCAGGAGCTGAGTGTGGGGAGGGGGAGGATGGCCCTGCAAGGCAGACATCAGATCAAGCGGGGCAGAGCCAGCTCAGGTCTCCTCCCACCCCCTCCCACCTTCAGCTGCTTCATCTACAGGGAAGAACCGAGAGTGGTCCCATTTCTGCTGCCCACATTCTCCTGGACACCACAAACTTCCTCCCAAACACATCACAGCATCCCCCTCTCCATGCCATCACAGTCATCCTGGTCACCTGGCATTCTAGCTATCCTTGTCCTCTGGCCTGGGGCCCACGAGGCAGCTCGCGGCAGTCACAAGGAGGCAGATTTGGGCACACTGTGAATCAGAGTCGCGCCACAAAAGAGAGCCTGAGCAGGATGGATGAGGGGGCTCCTAGTCCCCAAGGGTGTGCAAGCAAGGGCCAAGGCCCTGCCACCAGGGAGCCTGTGCCCTGAGAAAGGCCCCTGGTGAGGTGGCAGGCCTCCAGCTCTGAGTTTGGTGACCCTGAATGTCTGTACACCCTCCTCAGCCTCACCCCCTCAGGGTGGGTTGGGAGCTGAGCAAAGCAAGTCCAGGAGCCTCCAAGAGGCAGGCATGGTGGCTCAAGCAGGAGAGGAGGAGGACGCTGAGTGTCCCGCTGGGTCAGTGTCAGAAGAGAGTTTACATCCCTCAGGAAATGATGGCCAAAGGAATAATTGAATGGGTGGATGGATGAATGACGAATGAATGAATGGAGTGATCTCCCTTCTCTGGATCCCCTCCAGGGAGAGTCTGTTGTTGTTCTCTCTCCAGGCAAGTCTGACCCTCCCACCTGGGGCTCCCACTGCCCCCCTTTCCCCCACCATGGCATGCACTGTGTGCATCAATGCAGTGCCACCCTTTCCCGTCTGGCTCCCACAACAGACTGGGAGCTTTTGGAGGGCAGAGATTGTGTCCTGCCCCTCTCCAGGTCTCCAGCATTACCCAGCCCCTCATAGGTGTTGGTAGGCGTTTGCTGAGCTGTAAATGACTGGGTAAACTCCTGTGTGCCCAGGACTACTGTACTGTGAGGGCTACATGCCATCAGGGAGAAGAGGGGTGTGGAGGAAGGATCTAGGCAGGGGAGATAGCTGAGACCTCTCAAAGCCTCCCCAGTCTGGCACAGTTACAGTCTCAGAGAAGGAGCCTGAGGAATGGGGTGTCTCCTACTGAGAGCCTTTGGCAACCTCTCCCAGGCACCTCTGCAGGCCGGGAGGCCCTTTGTGCTTCAGGATCATCTCCACGTGCAGACCGGGTGGGGGCAGCAGGTCAGGATGGAGGGCTCTTCCCCAAGAGGAGCACTGTCACTATCACCTTCTTTCATGAGTGAGGACACCTCCTCCAGGAAGCCTTCCTGCGTGGTCACCTGTCCCCCTCCCAGGCCTTCTGAGAATTCCCAGGGACCAGGGGCTACAGGGCCTCAGGCCTCATGTAGTCCAATCCCAAGCTTGATGGGGTAGACTAAGGCCAGAGGAGGCAGGGAAGGATTCACCCAGGCTCTCATCTGGAGCCAGGAGACCCATGCTTCAGCCCAGCCCTTTGGGCCACACTAGGACACCTTGTCCCAGAGTCCTGCTTGTCTTTGGGGCCCCTCTAATACCTGCCTTGGCCAGGGGATGGGCTGAGCCCTCTCAGATGTCGGGTAAGGCTGAGTATCTGCCTCCAGGCCAGAGACTGGGTCTCTTATGTCCTCACTGTGCCCATTGTGTGTGGGAGGTAAATGCTGAAGGAGGCGGCCTGGCCTAGGGTTAGTGTGGGCCTGCAGAGGGCGGGGAGGAAGGGCCAGCCTGGGGTAGGGCTGGTGGGGTGGATGGCGGGAGGCAAGCCCAGCCATGCTGGTCTTCTTAGGGACAAGATAGAGAGCAGGGCACAGAGGCTGGCTGCCCGGTGATGCCTGCCCTGGGGCTCTCCCTGACTGTCCCAGCGTGTTTTCTCCCTGCCTCTCAGCCTCCCTGGGCGCTCTCTCTGTGCCTGGCCACCTCTCTCTGTCTGTGCTCTGCGGCATGTGTGTATCCCACAGCCTCCCGCTGCTTTGTCCTATGACTGTATTTGGCTCTCTCAACAGAGCTTGGCCCATCCCAGCTGTTCCCCAAACCCCAGGGGGAGGGGGAAAGTGGAAGTATGAGAAAGAGAGACAGGGACAGAACAAGTACCAATTCAGAAGCAGAGGGATAGACATAAGAGCCGGTAGGGAACCCCAGGGACAGGCGGAGGCTGGAGAGGCAGGGCTGGCTGGGGAAGCCCCTGAGGAGAAGTCCCTGAAGACCAAGGCAGAGTTGGGAGAAGAGCGGGGTCCACCCTCTTCCTCTGCACTGACTCCTGCCCCCTTTCCCTCTCTCTGCCCCTGCAGGAATGTGTGAGCACTTTTATTGTTCCTAAAAATAGCCTTTCTCTTTGGGGGGTTGGGATAAGCAATCTTCTGAGTGGGGTCCGTCTGGGGCACGCCTGCCCTCCGGGGTCCCAGCCACCATGCTCCCCAGGGCCGGGGTCTCTCAGCTCCTCTCTCCCAGCGCAGTGCTTTGTTAAACATAAATGTGACCCTGTCCCTCCCTTGCACAAGACTGTCATAGCTCCTGGGAACACCCCCTCCCCTCCTCCAGAGTGACAGGCTCCGAGCAAAGTGCTCAGCACACAGCCTGGAGCAGGGCTCGTGGTCACCTTACCTCATCAAGGAGCTGAGGGTGAGGAGCTGCTCGCTCCCTCCATCCAGGCACTGCCTGCTCTGGCCTCAGGCCTCTTCGCAGCGCCCCAGTCTGATTCCCTGCACCCCTCCAGCCTCCCCACTCCCAGCCTTTGCTCCTCCGTTTCCTGCACTGTGGTGTCCTCTCTTCTCTCCTGCTCTTCCTGCTCTGGCCCTCCAGAAACCCCCAGCCCTCTCCCCTGGTCTTGTCCTCCCCCTATCACTGGGACTCTCATCCTTCTCCCGTCCCCCTCACAGAGCAAGCAAGGGGCTGAGCCACAGGGCCCTGGGCAGGTGGGGCACCAAGGCACAGAGCCCTCCTCCAGTGAGGGAGAGAGTTGGCGGAGACATGGCAGGCTCTGGGGCCCCACGCACTCCCCTGAACCCAGACCTTCTTTGCCCCCCTTCATG
Organism: Homo sapiens; assembly: GCF_000001405.40. Classification (NCBI taxonomy): domain Eukaryota; kingdom Metazoa; phylum Chordata; class Mammalia; order Primates; family Hominidae; genus Homo; species Homo sapiens. The sequence goes on from NC_000011.10 coordinate 72,618,602, forward strand.
TGCCCTCCCCAGCTTTGGTTGTCTTTTCTGGACCCCGGGCCTGAGTCTCTGTCTCTCTAATCAGTCTCCAGGAGAAAGCCCATCCAGTCTCATCTCCTTCCCACCTCCATTTTTCAGATGAGAGAGCCAAGCCCCAGAGAGGGGAGGCGATGGGCCTACGAGCCCATGGGACGCTGGCCATGGGCCTTGGTCACTCTGCCTCATTACACAGGGTCCCGGTCAGTGGGGCCACAGGGGCTGAGGCAGGCTGTCATACAGCCCACCTCCCAACATAAACAGCCCACCTCTCCACCCAGCCCGCCAGGCAGGCAGGCTGACATCCAGAGTTATTTTCCTTTGAAGGGCCCAGGAAGCCAGAGAACAAACATCCGGAGTCTCTGGAATCTCTCCTACTTTCCTTCCTCACATCCCGAGGATCTGGGAGCCAGCATGAGCATGCACACAGCGTGCGCACACACACACACACACACGCACACACTGGGCTGGGTAAATATGTCAGCCTGGGATATCTTGTGGGACTGTTGTGAATCTGTGGGTGCCTTAGAACCCCAAAGCCTTGAAAAGATGATGATGCCCTCCCACCAGACCCTCGGACCCTCTATACAATTCAAACTAAATTTTATCTTGGAAATGAAAATTAAAATAGTTTTTGTGTGGTTTTTCTGATTGCAAAATTCTGGATACACTCATCAGAACTGACCTCTCCTCTCACTCTGTGCAGAACTCCCGCTTTGCTGGGGACCTAAGCATGTGTGCAGCCTGCCCATTAATGGTCCATAGTGGCGAGCCCCTACGGACCATCACATCATCATGGCAGACTATGTTCCCTGGGTCACTGGGAGAATTTCCTTGTGAAAGTATGTAGGTCTGTGTCTCTGTAGGAATCTGTAACCCACATGGGTCGTGAGAGTGTAAACATGTGTGAGTACCCTGTGTCTATGTGTGTGCACTGGCCATCTGCACGTGGGAGTGACCATGTGGGCCTGCATCTATGCATATGTGATTCAGGTCATTGATGTCCATGTGACAGTGGTATAGTCAGTATGTGGCTGTCTGGGGTGCTGTGAATGCGCTGGTGGTTAGTCTTGTCTCCAAATGAGTGAGTGAACGTGTGGCTGAGAGTGGTGGAATCTGAGAGGGTCTAATTCTCCTCCTCTGCGCACCCCTGTCACTTCTCCCATCGCCTCCCTCAGATGCGGGCTCATCTGCCTGCCCTGCCACACACCACATGTACTGGACAAGTCTTTGGACCTTCCTGGGCTCAGTTCCTCATCCGTAAAATGGTCTCTTCCCCCAGAGCTGCTGAGAAGATTAAGCTGAGCCATCAAACCTTGCCTAAGCTGACTCCCAGCAGGGGGCTGGGGCCACCTGTGTGCACATTAGAAAGGAGGGACCCCAATTCTCTGGGCAGATGCGGGCCTGAGGGGAAAGGCTTGGTGAGGGAGAGTGGGCTCAGTTTCAGCACCACCCCACCTCTGCTGGAGCTCCTGTGCAAGGTATAGCCTGCACGGTTAAGAGACTTTGGCCTTGCAGGTGACCAAGAAAGGGCAGCTTCCTTTCTTCCTGCCCCACCTTCAGGTGTGCAGCCTGGAACTAGAGGGTCTCTGATTATAGGACTGGGGTAGACACATTCCAGATGAGACTCAGAGGACACTTACCCCTCCTCACTTCCCTGGGGCCCTGTGCTCTCCACCTACCCCTCAGTGCTCCCTCCCCAAGGCCCAGGAGAAGGCCCCTCAGAAGCCACAAGGGGGACTGACCAGAGCTGGGATGCAGAGCTAGGCCAACTGGGGCCTCTGAGACTCCCCAGTTCCACTCCCATTTTTGGAAAGGGAGACTGAGGCCCAGAGAGTAGCAGGGACCCTCCCAGGAACACAAGCGAACCCAGGAAGTCCAGACTCCTGTTTCAAGGCCTCTGTAGTTGGGTTTGAGAAGACCCAAGCTTTGGACTCTGTTGGCTCCTGAAAGGAGCCCAAGGAAGTGGGTAAAGGTCCCAAAAGACAGGCACTTTGACACCTGTGCCTCAGCTGCGGGTATGGACTCCTATCCACCCCCACCCTCCCGACCGGGACCAGATCCCCTACTGGTGTGATTAACCAAATTATGGGGCTTTTTCTTGAGCAAATTGCATTGGCCTAATTGGATGAGGCTGCAGGAGCCTGGGCTGGAGGCTGACAGTGGTAAGGACGGCAGGGGAGAGGAGGGGGCAGGAGTGAGTGGGCAGGAGGGGGTATCGCTGACAACACCAAGCAGGGGACAGAAGTTGGGGGAGAGGGAGAGAGGAGGGCTGTGGGTGTAAGAGGACACCTCACTCAGCGCACCTTCACTGTGCTCCTACTGGTGCTCCTGTTATTTGGGGACCTGGGGTGCAGGTGTTGAGGTTGCTGCTCCCCAAGAGACCATAGAGTATTTACCAAGTGCCAGAGACTGCATGCATTGGAGCACTGCTTCATGCAATCCTCCTAAGAGCTCCCATTTTATACTTGAGGAAATTGAGGCTCAAGAGATAAAATGACCTGCTGAATGTCAGAGCCTAGACAGGGCTGTCTGACACCACAGGCCCTGCTCTTAATCAGCACCTACAACATCCTGCTGAAGTGCCCACATCCTGCCTCCAGGAAGCCTTCCTGGGTATTCAGAGAAGGGAGGAGCTCGCATCTGGGCACAGACACCATTTCTGTTCCCATTCAGTGTTTCTCCTCATCTACCCTACAATGTCCATGCTCCCTCCCATACTCAGCAGCTGAAGCTGGGGCTGAGCCCACTTGAATCACATGCAGCCCGGTCACCTATAGCACAGCTTCAGTCCCTCTTACTCCCATGCAGAGTCCTGCACTGTGTCACACTCATCAACCAGGATGACACAAGAAGACATGACACCTGTGGCCTTCACACAGCAGGTCCCACCTGCTCGGTGACACACAGTCATTTCAGGGTCCACAGCGTCCCACTGTCCCATGTCACTGGGTGTCACAGGGCCACACACACAGTGATCTCTCACTGTCACCCTCACTTGGAGTCTCCCATATCTTCAGTGTTGCACCCATGTTCCCAAAGCCACCATGTCACCCTCACACAGCATCAGACACAGTTCCACACTGGCTCTGTGTCACTGTTACATTTCAGCATCATCCAGGACCTCCTAGCCTTAAAAAACAAAAATCCAAAGTCACATCTATTTTAGAATTTGTCTAGCAGGTTTTTCAGTCTTCACCGGAAAGCTCCCCCCACCAAAAAAAAAGTCTACCTTTGGTGAAATGACATCATGTCTGGGATTTGCTTTAACATATTTCAGCGAAGCAACCTATGAAATGGGAGAAAAATATTTGCAAAGCTTTTATCTGATAAAGAGGTAATATCTGGAATATATAAAGAACCCCTGCAATTCAATAACAACAAAAAAGCAAACAACCCAATGTTTTAAATGGGCAAAGGACTTGAATCAACATTTTCCCAAAGAAGATATACAAGTGGCCAACCAGCACATGAAAAGATGCTCAACTTCACTAATCATTAGGGAAATGCAAATCAAAACCACAATGAAATGTCACCCCACACCCATTAGGATGGCTACCATTAAAAAATAAAAGAAAAAAAAGAACAGAAAATAACACATGTTGGCAAGGATGTGGAGAAACTGAAACCCCTGTACACTGTCCGTGGGAATGTAAAAAGATACAGAAAACAGTATGGCAGTTCCTCAAAAACCAAAAAATAGAATGACTGTGTGATCCAGCAAGCGTACTTCTAGGTATACATCTGAAAGAATTGGAAGCAGGATCTTGAAGAGATATTTGTACACTTATGTTCATAGCAGCATTACTCACAATAGCTAAAATGTGAAAGCAACCCAAGTGTCTGGTGTTGGATGGATGTGGTCTGTCCATACACTGGAATATTATGTGGCCATAAAAAGGAAGGAAATCCTGTCACATGCTACAACATGGGTAAAACTTGAAGACGTTATGCTAAGTAAACTTAAAAACCAGTCACAAAAAGACAGATACTACATTATTCCAATTACTTGAGGTATCTAGAGTAGTCCAAGTCATAGAGACAGAAAGTAGAATGGTGGGTGCCAGGAGCTGGAGACAGAGGAGGATGGGGGCTGTCGTTTAATAGGTGCAGAGTTTCAGTTTGAGAAGATGAAAGAGTTCCAGAGATTGGTTGCAAAACAGTGTGAATGTACCTACCACAACTGAACTGTACACTTAGAAATGGTTATGATGGTAAAGTTTAAGTTATGTATATTTTACCACAATTTAAAAAATTTTAAGCTTAAGCAAAGGAAAATGAAAGAACAGATAGGGGGCAAGAGAGGAAGAAATGAGGCCAAATCCCAGCAACTGTTGAACTGGGGTGATGAGTATATGGCAGTTTCTTATATGCTTCTCTCTGGTATTGTGTCTGCTTAGAATCACCCATAATAAAAAAATGTAATCTCCCTTTCCAGCGATCATGTCCTTCTCTGCAGCCCTCACAGCCCAACGTCTCCAAAGGGCTCTCCAGGCTAACGTCTTCACCTCCCTCACCATCCTACACAGGCCAGTCTGACTTCTGGCTCCAGCCCATCACTGAAATGGCTCCCATTAGCCTGACTCACCCACAGTGCCCAGCACAGCACAATCTTCCGGTTCCCATCTTACCTGTGGGCCAGCACCATCCACACACCGACCCTCCCTCCCACTTGAGCCTCTTTCCTCCCTTGGCTTCTGGCTTCACACTCCTGGTCTCCTCTGCCTCCCTGGCCCTCCTCCTCTGTCTCGTTGCTGCTCCTTCTCACCTCCCCGGCCTCTAGACAATGGAATATTCAGAGTTTAAGGCTCGGTCCTCAGTCCCCACCTCTTCTGTTGCCAAGCTCCCTCTCTCCATTATCCCAGCCAGGTCCACGACCTTAACAAACCCCCCATGCCTGTCGACTCCCAGATGTATCCCTAGCCTGGCCCCGCTGCCCACTGCACACCTTCACCTGGATGCTTCCCTTAACACATCCAAAACAGCTCACTCGGTTTCTGCCTCCTTGTCCTCCCACCCCACTAGTGCTGACCCTCCCCCTTGCCTTTGCCCATCTCAGAAACATCTTCACCATCCATCGCTTGGTTCTTCAAGCCAGAACCCTGGAAATTGTTCTCTGGTTTTCCCTCTTGCTCATCTTCTCATTTATCAGCAAGTTCTGTCATTTCTGTTTTCAAATATCTCCAAAGTTGCTCCATATCTCTAACTCTTCTGCCATTCCATTAACACAGGCACCACCATCTCCTGCCTGGGCAGCTGCAGGAGCCTCCAGTTGCTCTACCCACCTTCTCTCTGCCTCCCCCTAACTTATCTCCCCTCCCCTGCCACGCACCATGCACACTCGCACACATACATATTCTGCAACCTGAGCAATCTTTTTCTTTTTTTTTTTTTGAGATGGTATTTCACTCGTCACCCAGGCTGGAGTGCAATGGCTCAATCTTGGCTCACTGCAACCTCTGCCCCCTGGGTTCAAGTGATTCTCCTGTCTCAACCTCCCGAGCAGCTGAGATTACAGGCGCCTGTCACCATGCCTGGCTAATTTTTGTATTTTTAGTAGAGATGGGGTTTCACCAGACTGGTCTTGAACTCCTGACCTCAGGTGATCCACCCAGCTCAGCCTCCCAAAGTGCTGGGATTATAGGTGTGAGCCACTGCATCTGGCCAGAGCAATCTTTTAAAACCATCCTTTGGACGGTGTTACTTTCCCGCCTGAACCCATCGGTGCCTTCCCATGACAGTGTCCTACACAGCACTGTATGTGCACATTGCATACTGTTACAACCATTACAGAGCATCACACATGTAATGTCAGGCCCAAGATCACACAGCATCACACGCCCACTTCCACACACTTGCTATCACTCCATGTCATGCCTTTGTTTACACACTCAGCCTCACTAGATCATATGCTTGGGACACACTCAATGTCACAATTCAGTGTCAGACACTCGAGCCACAGACTCAGGACCATACCTGCTACTGCAGCGTCATTTGCTCACGTTTCTGTATTTGATTCTCATGGAGACACACCCTCCATGTGCTCACTGTCACTTTCAGTGTCACACACGTGGTAGCATGCAATGTGCAATGTCACACACTCGGTGTCAGCATCACACAATCAATATCACACAGTGTTACACACTTGGTGGCACAGCCACTGTACACATCTGCTATCATGGAGTGCCTCACAGCCAGTGTCACATACTCAGTGACTCACCCACACTCCACACAGTACCCTATGATCATGGTCACGTACTTGATATTACACGTCATAAGCTCCGTGTCACATGTGCAGAACGCCCCCTGTCCCACAGTGTCTCAGTGTCCCTCTTGGCATCACCCTGGGTCCCACAAGCTTGGCCCCTCGTCCCCACCCCAACTGGGCACAGTCGCCAGGGCTGTTGCCCCATGTCACGGCTGTTTCCTGTTGTTGTGCTCAGAGTCCTCAGCCTCTGCTTGTTCCTTCAAGGATTTCCTGTTGTCAGGGCCCCTGGCAGGCCTGGCCTGTCTGGGATACACACCCCTAAGCCCAGAGGCTGGCCAGCAGGAACCCTGGGCCCTCTGCCTCCCCACTCCAACATTCCGGCTGGATCCATGGGACTTTCCATCCTCCCCTGGTCCACCAACCTGGATCCCCCATGTGTCTGCACTGGTGCTGGCTCTACTGGGATGGACAGAGGAGATCAGCTCCGGGCCTCGCCCCAGCCCCAGGGTGCCCAGACCTGTGCTTCCCAGAACAGGGCTCCAGGGCAGCCTGCACAAGCTGTTACAGCAACTGAACAACTGTGGACAGGACCAGCCCAATGCTCCACGTGAAGCTGCTGAAAGCCTGAGGAGTGGGAGATGGAGGGCAGAGGACAAGGGTTCGAGGGTTTAAAGTTGAGGAAGACTTCCCAGATGGAGCGGCTAAGAGCCAGGAAACAGGGAGGAGGAGGAGGAAAAGGCAGCCTGAGGAGGGGACACCAGGCTGGAGGCCGGAACCTGGAGGAGACAGGATGGACCAGGAAGAAGAAAGGAACATGAGAGAGGTGGAGGGCATTTGTGGGGTTTGGAGAAAACAGGCTTCTCTCCCATCTGCTCCCACCTCTCCCTCAGCCAGCACTCAAATTCAGGCTCTAGGCAGGGGCCTCTGGCACACCCTTCCCTCCTAGCCCCACAGACTCCCCCCAGCAAGGGCGCTGCCAAGCTCCCTCTCCTCCTGCCCCAGCCGGTCTGCAGGAAGGACACACGGAGGCCAGTGCACACGCTCTTCACACAGCCTGAGATAAATATTTCCCGGGAAACGGAACTTGTTCTCTCAGTGTTTACAGCCAAAGGCCAGGCAGGACGGTGGGGGGTGGGGCCGGCTGGAGCAACCTCAGCCCGGGGCCGCAGCATCTGGCCTGGGCACTGCCTTGGACCTGCCTGCGCCTCTATGCCAGCTCCTGCCTTTCCCTGAGTCTCAACTCCAGGCCCTTGACGAGGCTGGCCCTCCCTGGGCCTAGGCCTTGCCCGCGAGCCTGGCGTGGTCTCAGCATGTGTCTTCTCTGGGTATAAGTCCCCGGTGCTTTATGCCTCCTCCTTTAGACTAGGCTTCTTTGATGGCAGGACCTGCGATGCCCATCTCTCTCTTTACTCAGTCAGCCAGGGGTGTGGACAGTGGATGGGCAGGCAGAGAGACAGGCTAGAGTGGCAGCTGAGACCGCCTCCCTGGTCCCAGGTCCCTGCACGCCCCGGGCCTGTGCAGCCCAACAGGGGCACAGACAGATGGCAGGGCCTCAGGACCCCCATGGATGCCAGATGCTAAGGCCAACTTGTTGGCAGCCACTCCCTTGGGGCCATGGGGCATTGTAGAGGCCACTGGCTCCTGATGTGCAGAATCCAGGAGGAAGTAGCACATCTGGCAGCTAGGAGCACTCACTTGAGAATGTTAGATAAGGGCCCGAAAAGTGCTGCCTACAGCGCGGCCCCTCCAGCCTCACCCCAGGACTTGCTGGTAAGCTATGCTCGTATACTCGGAGCCTTCTCCCCTCCCACTCCTGCCCACACTCTCGCACAAGCTGCTCCTTCCCCAGCGAAGCCCTACTCCACCTGCAGCGGCAATGGCAATACCCCCTCCAACCTGGCTCCCGCCCCTGCCTAGTGCTACCCCCGCAGCTGGGCCCACATATTCACTGGTGGCCTCAGCCTCACCCTGACTCTGGCACCAAGCCTTCCTCAGCCCAGCACTCATGGGCAGAGTGTTTTGGAGCCGGGTTCTGAGCATGAGCCAACCTCCTGCAGCCTCCTCTGGGGCTGAGTCCTTGCTCCAGCCTCCTCTATCTGCTTTTTCCCAGTCCTGTTCTGGTCCTGGTTGTCCTTAGCTGCTGCTGTCAGAAGCTGACCTCATGGACCTCTCTGACTGCCTAGCTGGTCCCTGGCTTCTTCGGTTGGTGCCCTTGACCCTCTCCATCCTTCAAAGTTCTAAGGTTGCCTCCTCCAAGTCTCCAAGACCGCCCAACCCAACTGTGCCCCTTCTTGGAACTACTCCAGCCCTACTCACAGCCACTCTTGTTCATTCAAGAAGTATTTATTGAGCACCTACCATATACCAGGCCTATACCAAGCACCACATGGGCCCAAGAGAGACAAAGGAGACTCAGTCTCAGCCTCTGCCTCCTGGGTGTTTACAACCCCATGGGGAAGGATACACTACCCACAGCACCCCGTGGGGTAACAGGTTTCCCAACTGTGGGCTCAGGGAAATGGGGACTGTGAGTGCCCAGGGAAGGGAGGAGACTGGCTCGGCCTGAGGTAGAGGGACCAGTCTGAGGAACGTCACAAAGGAGGTGACATTTCATCTGGGCCTTGAAAAGAGAGTAGGTGGAGAAAGAAAGGAAAGGTATTCCAGACAGGTGGTCAGTGTGAGCAAAGGCAGGGAGGCAGGGGGAGCTGCTGTGTGCTGGGAGTGAACACAACAATGTGGCTGTAGCGCTGGCTGTCTCAGGGCATAAGGGGACACAAGGGGACATGAGGGGACCCAGCAGGCAAGGCCAGCAATGCCCTGCCAAGGGGTGTGGTCTTTGTCCCAAGGGCAGCAATAGAGGAGCCGGTGTTGGGCAGTGCATTTCAGTACTTATTGTGGATGTCAGTGCCCTCATCCACGTCCGCCTCTCCCCATGCCCCCATCCCAGCTAAGGCTCCCAAGCCGCCATCTGGGCCCTGAGAGCCATCACAAAGAGGGCATTGACTCAGCATGCTCAATTCACCAACTTGAACTGCCCCAGACCTGACTTTCAGAGAGACAGTAATGATGCAGAGGCCTGGCCCTGAAGGAGGATGCCAGGCTGAGCTGGAAGAGCCCCTCCTCCAAGTCAGCTGCTGGCACAGGGGCTAGGTAACCATCCCAGGAGGGTGTGCTGAACACACGCCTGCTGGGTGGGGATGGGTGCTGGCAGCTCTGCTTTCTTGGCTGCTGCCCAGCCAGTGCCAGGAGAGTGTGCCATGCCCATAGAACTTCCATAAGCCTCAGCCCAGCTCTGCAGAGCATCCTGTCTCACAGGGGTACAGCCTAGTCCTGGCTCTAAGGATGTCATCCTTGAGGGAAACAGAGAGGAGGCTAACTCTCCCCAAGGATCTGCCATGTGCCAGGCCTGCGCCGGGCACCCCACACATACAGTCTTTGTAACTTCTCCCAACAGCTCTATTGTGGTAATGTTGAATAACAGTGATTACATCCAAGAATGATAGAGGTTCTTTTTTTTTTTTTTTGAGATGGAGTCTCACTCTGTCACCCAGGCTGAAGTGCAGTGGCGCGATCTCGGCTCACTGCAAGCTCTGCCTCCCGGGTTCACACCATTCTCCTGCCTCAGCCTCCCAAGTAGCTGGGACTACAGGCGCCCACCACCACAACCGGCTAATTTTTTGTATTTTTAGTAGAGACAGGTTTCACCCTGTTAACCAGAATGGTCTCGATCTCCTGACCTTGTGATCCACCTGCCTTGGCCTCCCAAAGTGCTGAGATTACAAGCGTGAGCCACCGCTCCCGGCAGTGATAGACGTTCTTATCCCGCCTGGCAGGTGAGGAGACTGATGCTCAGGCTGGTTAAGTGACAGGCACAAGGCCACACACCTAGGAAGCAAGGGAGTTGGGACTTGAACCCGTGCTCATCTGACCCTGTGGCTTGTCCACTATATGAGGCCATCTTGGCTTCCCAGATCCACCCTGACAGGAGGGCCCCTCAGGCTCCCAGTCCCTTTTCCCTCCAGCTGCCCCTGTGGTCTGAGCAATGCCCTCGGGTCCCCACTCTCTCCAGTCTTGCCCTCTCCATGTTGGCAGCGTCCCCTCAGGCAGCCCATCTCTTCCCAGCAGTGCTGAGTATAGGCCTGGGCACTCGGGTGGGGTGCTGGCAGGACCCAGAAATCCAGCAGGCCCTGCCAAGAGTCCAGGCAGACACTAACTGTTTTGGGGATGAGTGTGGGGATGGGGTCAGGACAGAGCTGAGGGCTGAGGAGCTCATGGCTCCAGATCCTCGGTCAGAGGGAAGAGGCAGCAGGACCCAGCTCAAGGAAAGGCAGAGAAAATACAGGGATAGGAGCAGGTGGGGCCGACCCAGGGAAGCCTCATGGGAAGGACGAGGCCGGTGGAGCTGGACAAAGAGCAGAACTTGAACCTGCAGAGGGCAGGCAGATGGCCTAGGCAGCGGGGGCTGCCCCAGAGGCATAGCAGGGTGCCTGGAGCCATACTCCTTCCCTCAGGGCACAGTCCCCGTTGCCCAGGAGGGTCTCAGCTTTGCCAAAGCCCCCTCTTCTTGTGGCTCCCTGGGTGGATGACAAATCCAGTCTTTCCTGGCGGGTGGCCGAGGCTGCTGAGACACTGCAGGCTCCCAGGAACACCATCTGTCCCAGCTCTGGGGGGAGCCCCGCCCCATGGGGAATGCCATGGCAGTAAATAAATTAATAATGTGGCTTTCCAGGCCCTCCCCTCCCAGCTCCCTTTGCCAGCTCCCAGCAGCAGGGCCCAGCCCCACTTGGAGGCACATTCTCAGGTCTTGGCCCTGTGTCCCAGCAGGGAACCTGTGCTGAGCCCCTCCTGTGCACCAGGCCCTGTGTGGGCACCTTCTTTCCCATCTTACTCAGGGGCCGGGAAAGAGTGAGCCTCGAGCCTGAGACACATCTAGGCTCCAATCTTAGCTCTGTCCCAACTCACTTGCTGAATGATCCCTCTGGGCCTCAGCTTCCCCAAATGTGAAATAGGAATAATAGCAGCCCCTACCTCATGGGGGTGCTGTAATAATTAAACAAGGTGGGTGTCAAAGGCTCCTGGCACACAGGAGGGCTGATACAAGCATCATCTTCCTCTCCCTCTCAGCCAGGCCTGGGCAGACTCTGTTCTGGCTGTGGGTCCAGTTCTCTCTCTCTCTCTCACACACACACACACCCTCCTCTGTGCCGATCTTCAACATCAGCAGCCCACCTTGTTTGCTCGTCAAGGCCCCTTTGAGCACTGAAGAGTCCTATGAGGCACCCCTCACAGGGAAGGAAGGCATGGTCGGGGGGTGGGGATGGCACCCCTCGCAGGGCAGGAAATGCGCTGGCTGAGCCCTGCACCGGTACCCATCCAAGGGTGGTAGAAGGTTCAGGAATGAAGAAAGCACAGTCCCGAGGCTCAAAGAGCTCACAGTGCAGAGAAGACAAGGCAGACACACATACAGAGTCACGTGATGGAGAAAACAGGGTGCTCGTGGCACAGCACGGTGGGCGACAGACAGCAGAGCGCCCTGGCATCTGACTGCCAGGGCAGGAGAGCTCAGAGGAGGGAGCAGGAGTGAGCTTGGTCCCATGGTCAAGGGGTAGAGAGGACTTCCCAGAGGAAAGGAGGCTAGAGCTGATCCCCGAAGGATTTAGGAAGCTGAGTGGGGAAGAGGCCAGCAGGAGCAGTTTGGGGGAGGCAGGAATGGATGAAGGGGAACGATTGCCAGGCTGGGGTTGTGGAGGGGGCATGGGGGTGGGGAGCATGGAGGATTCTGGGGCAAGAGAGTGACAAGTTCAGGTCTGTGCATTAGAAAGATCCTCCTGGTGGCCACGTGGATGATGGGGGAAACTGAAAGCAAGCAGCCAGTGAGTGGCCCAGGGGAGAGTTGAGGGAGCCTGGACCCAAGCAGGCGGCAGAATGGAGAGGAGAGGAACTCGGGAAATACTCAGGGCAGAGAATCAACGGGAATTGTTGGGTGAGGGTGGGGAGGACAAGGGAGGAGTCTGTAGTGACTCCCCAGGTGAGTTGGGAGGAGGAATCCTCATGGGAGGACTTCCAGGCTGGGGATATATAGGGTGAGGGGAGATGGTCTTGATATAGGGGTGGTCCTAGTCTGGAGGGCTGGGGCTGGGATGTGACTCCAGCCTCCCCGTCCTCCCAAGGGGGAGGGCACCACTCAGACTGATCTTCAGTCTGCGCCCCACCCCCTCAAGCCCACCCACTTCTCCCTCCACTGAGCTCTCACCTCCAGTCGGTCGTCTCTACTCCCTGGGGGTCCTGGCTCCTTTGCAAGGGGGTCCAGGCTGGCTGCAGAGACAAGAAGGTCAGGGGCTGAGGCCGGCCAGGCCTTCTCCCCTTCTCCCCAGACTGTCCTCCCATTAGCCCCCAGCAAGCCCACGGATGGCCCCCTCCTCCAGGGAGCCTTGCCTGCTTGCACCCTGCTCTCTCCCAAGACTCCCTCCTTGTTCTCTGCTTCCCATGGGCACCTCTGGCTCTGCCATATTCTCTGTTCCTTGACTCTGAGAACAGAGCCATATTCCTTCTTTCCACCTAGGGCTCCTAAGGAGTGGAAATGACCACCTCTTTACTCTTTCTGAGGCCTCCTCCACTTCTGCTTCTCTCCAGGGAGCTCTACTAGCCCTCTCTAAGCCTCAGTTTCTCTGTCTGTAAAATGGGATCCGTAATGTCCACCTCACACAGTCACTGGGCCTCCACAGTGAGTTGGGCCTTTACTGACAGACAACCAAGGGGCTTCCAACCTGGGTGCTGTGAGTCTCAAATGAATGTGAGACCATGTGGGAGCCCCCCTACCCCAGCCTGGCGCCCAGTCATCTGGACTGGGATCAGACCCCCGACCTGTATCCTACCAGCACCACTTCCACAGTTCCCGGAATGCTAGCGGTGGAGACACTGCCACAGCAGCCTGGAGACACAACAGAGACCTGCTCACTCATTCTCCAGAAGCCCACCACCCTGCAGCATTCCAAACCCCCAGCCTCTCTGAGGGGCACTGCCCAGGGCCTGGCTGCCAGGCTCCTGCCCCTCCCCACCCCCACCCAACAAGCCTACTCAGGCATCGGACAGGCGGTGGGATATTCTGAGCCTGGCTTCGTTCCCGTCAGCTGCTGGCCGCCATGCCAGCCTGGCGCGGGTGCAGGGGCTGATTTGATTTGGCAGCTTCAGAATCGTGTGGTGGGGACTGGGAGGGGGAGGGGGATGAGACACCCATCCCTGCTAGTCCCTGCTAGGAAATAAACAGCCTGAGGCACTCCTTCTGTGAGCTGGGGGGAGGGCACAGTCTGGCATGGAGGAGGTTCTGGGTTCCCTGCTGGTGTCCCCCTCTTCTCGCCTGGGCACTGGATACCTGCCCACGACTACTGGAATCTCTGGCTCTCCTTGGGTTGACCGTAGGGGTGACAGGAGCTGCACCTGGTGTGTGGAGGCTTGTGGTGTGGCCGAAGCAGGGCGTCTGGTTGTCCCACGTGTCCCTGTGCCCTGCAGGGTCTTCCCTCTTAGCTGCGCCTGCAGCTGGGCCTGAGTGTCACCTGGAGAGACTGGGTCTGTGTGTGGTGTGATGGTCTAGGTGTGGCCATCTCCGGCAGTGACTGTGGTGTGTGTCTGGGCCTCTATGAGGGGCTGACTGCAGCCCAGGGTGTGGCAGGGTCACCCATGTGCCTGACTCTCCTGTAGGGCCTGGTATGCACTGGCCCTGGCCTGTTCCTTCCCTCTGTGCAATGACCCCACTCACCCAGTCATGTCCGGCAGAGGAAATGACGAGGGTTGAGATAAGTGCCTGACCCAGGGCTGTCCCTTTTATCCACAAAGCCTGAGTCTTCTTTTCCACCCACAGCCAGATGGGCTACCTGCTGAGCAGCCAGGGACAGCCCCCTCCCCTCCCCTGAGAGGAGGGAGGGCCAGTTTCACTGGAGAATCCAGCTCCCCCCTCACACCTCCCACCACCCCCAGGACAGGTTCCCTCCCCCCAGCAGAGGCACTGCCCGGAGGTGGAGGCAGGGTGCTGGCTCCTGTCCCTCCCCAACCCCACCTAACTTCTGGTTCCCCCTCCAGCCAATTTCAAGTGTGGGGAAAGTGCCTAGGATGAGGGGATTCTTAGCTAGGTATTCCCAGCTCCCTGTAATCCCACCTAGCCTGTGTTTATCACCCTCCTATCTCCTGTACATAGGCCCCCCAGGCCAGCTCACCCCTCCTGGACACTGGAATCTGCACCAACCCGCCAATAACCTACCAGTGCCCTGGAGGCCTGGACTCCATAGCCGCCAGTTAGAGAACTGCTGCTGGAGAACCAGGGCTTCTGATTCCCAGACCTCTGCATTGTGGGGTCAGACCAGGACCCTAGTCCAGGCCAGGGCTGTGTCCAAGCCACCAGCCAGGGAGGTCAGGGGAGGGTGGAGTCTGCTTTAGGGAAGACTCAGCCTCTCATCTGTCACCGCCTCCCCATTGTCCCACGTCCTGTGGGGACCTCAGGGCTCTCCCCACCCAGCAACAGGAAGCTGAGCCCCTCCTGAAGACACTGAAGGAGTGGCCCCAGGACTGAAGGGGGGACTCAGCCTTGCCCTTCGAGTCACAGGAGGAACCTAGGCTCACAGAGTTCAGTTGTCACAAAGGGGCTAGTTGGATGAAGATGGTCTTCAGGGGTCCTAAGGGGCTTCCTGGAGGAGGTGTGTGAGGCCTGACAGGAAGAGGAGGACACTGGGTTCCAGGGTGGCCTCCTGATGGTCTGACCAGTTTTCAGCTGGGATTTATGGACCCCGTGACACGCTTGCACATGTTTATGTGTCTGTGTCTGGGTGCATGGGTGTGCATCCCAGTCCTGGAGGCCTGAGCTCTAGTCTGTGTCCCAAGGACAGTGTCTGCCAGAGGCAGGAGTCAGCAGACAGCAGGGATAGTGAAGGAGAGAGGAGCTGGGCAAAGAAGAGGAAGGGAGGGCAGCTCAGGGCTGTGAAGAAGGGCTGAGGAGAGAAGCCCCCTACCGCATTTCTGTAGGTGCCTGTGTGCTTAGCGCTGATCATCACAGTCAGTTCTCAAACCCTGGACGCCTGATGCCAAGGGCAGTGTGCACCCATGACCCAGCGCTGAAGGGAGCACAGCACTGGGCTCTGCCTCAGCCTACTGTGCAGCTTTGGACAGGACCTTCCCCTCTCTGACCTGGCCTCCTTATCCGAAGAATAAAAGGGTTGGACTTGGTGATCTCCCAGGGCCCTTCCAAATCTAACTTTCACTGGAGAGAGGCTTAAACCCAGAGAGCGCCAGAGACGAGACCTCACGGGGATGGGGAGGGCCTGAGGGCAAGCGGAGATGAGAAGAGGGAAGGGGCAGCAGGAGGAAGCGGGTGGCAGAGTCACGACAGGAGGGCCCGGGGAGGCACACTTCTGGCCTGCAGCTGGGGAGGGGCTCCCTGCCGGGGACAATGGAGCCTTGTGGAGGACTGGGGGCAGCTGTCACCACCACACCTGCTTCTGGCCTGTGGGAAGAGGAAGACGGAGGGATGATGGACAGAGGCTCTGCTCCCTAACCTGAGCCCCACCTCCACTCCTGCCCCTCAGGTGTCCCAGGGGAAGTGGGGGAGGCTGTGGGCAAAAAGGAACACCCAGGACTGGGAATCAGGAAGCCTGATTTCAGGCCCCGTTGTGCTGTGTGACCAGGGCCAGCTTTGGTCTGTGAACCTACCAGGCAGCGGAAGCCCTTGGAACTGTGCAGCTGTACTGGGCTTCTAAGGATCCATCAGGGATGGGCACTCTGGAAGGAAACCCTCCCCTGCAGCCTGGACCCCTCCCCAACTCTGGCCTGGGTGCCAAGGCATAAGAAGGACTCAGGAGGCAGTGAAACACTGGACAATTGGGCTGGCCTTCTGCCAGGCTGGACTGTGGCCTTGCACACAGGGGAGGACCTGTCAGCACTTCCAGTCCCTGACCTGGGACTCCTTTCCTTGACCCCTTCTCACTGTCACCCTTGGGGCAAGAACAGGGTCTTCCCTCCTCAGCCTATACTGAGAGGGTGCTGATGGGACCCCACTGGCTGTCCTGGCCTCTGCCCTTGTCTGAGCCTTTGGACGCGGGGCCCTCGAAGGCAGGGGTTCATGCATTTCCATGTCTGTGTCCAGGAAGTATTCATGTCCTGTTTTCCCCCTCAGGCTGTCAGGGAAGGGGCGGGGGTGAGCAGACCTCTCCTTCCTCCACTGCTGCCATTTCTGCCCAGAGACTTCGAGGGCTGGGAGGAAAGGGTAGTTACCCCTCTCTCTGCCCAGTCTGAAATGGTTAAGGAATAGAGGCCAGTGCTGAAGGAAATGAGCCCCTTACCCTGCAAGCTTTGGGAGTGGAAGCTCTCTCGAATGTACACACACCAGTTCTGTTGTGACAGGAGAAACAACCTGTGTGACCCAGGTTGAAAAGGTCTCTATTCTCTAAGGCCAGCCCAGCCTCTTCTGTCCTCCCTCACTGGGAGTGGAGGGAGCGCCCACCATTCTGAGCTATCTGTCTCCATTGCTTCTTGTTATGTTTTTAATAACTGAACATTGACATTAACAAGGCAGGTGGTTGCAGCTCTTCCCAGCAGCCCCATTTAGAATCATTGAATCATCAAACCATCAAATCCTAGAATCCTAGATTCACAGAATGTCCGTATCTCTAGCTCCTAGAGCCTCAGCATCTTAAAGTCTCAGAATGTCGGAATCACACAACCACGCATCCACACAGCCCTGGCTGGGAGCTGAGAGTCAAGGAATGCTAGAATTGTCCCAGTTAGAACCCCACAGACTAACAATTCCAGATTCTCAAAATCCTATACTCCTAGAGCTAGAGCTCATATATCGCTTGGAGATATTGACCCCCAACTTCCTCCTTTTACAAGTGAGAAAATGCAGCCCAGAAAAATGGTCTTGTGCAAGAATACCCGAGAGTGGGGGCCAAGGAATGCCCAGCTCAGAGACTGCAAGATCGGACCTCAGCATTCTGATAATTCGGGAAATGGAACAGCTTTCCCATTCTGAAATACCAGTATTGATGTTGGGGCGATACTGCTCTTCAGCTCTGCCTGTCTCCCTTTGCTCTCACTCCCGGCCCTCTCCATTCTTTCGGCCACCCGACCTTCCCGCTCCCCCTCCACACCACGAGATCTCAGCCCCTCTTACCCTGAGCTCCCGAAACTCCCATGCCCTTCCTGTCTCCCAGTGGCAGCCCCCAGTAGAGGCAACCGTGGATGGGAGGCATGCAAGGCCAACTCCCTTAGGGTGGGAGACAGGAAAGGCAGAATGCCTGCCCCCTGAAGCCACCAGCCAGAGTACAGGCTCTGCAGAGGAGGGGCCCTGCCGGCTACTCTCAAGGGAGCTGAACAGGAAGGTCCTGGAGCTGCAGGGGGCAGCCACATCAGAGGCAGCAGCTTCAAGGGAGCCAGATCCAAAGTTCTGGGAAGCAGCTGAGGCTTACAATTTACATTAGAACAATCACGCATGTTTAGCATTTTCATAAATTTACATTTTTACTCATTTTGGAATGTACTCAGACATTTTTGGATTTGAATTTTATTAAGTATTACATTTCACAGATTGTTTTGATTATTGAATTCTGAACACCCTTTGCCCAGGGCAGATCTCAAGTTCCCATGTTACAGGTGAGGCTGTAGCAGCCCTGGGCCGGCTTCAGGTCTCCCTTTAATCTCAAAGCTCATGATCTCCTCTGAGGCTTTTCCAAGACCTTTTGGTCCTTAAAGGGCCCTGACACAGGCCCAGGCATCTGCCACTAACCCCTGTCTTCCCTCCTATACATCTCAGAGACTGCACAAAACCCATCCAGACACCTGGGTGGGGCAGCATTCTCCTCCCTTGCCCTTCACGTCTACAGCTGTCCAGCTCCCTCCACCAGCCCTGGCCACTCCGTCCCCTCCCCTCCATTCTTCAGCCATTTCCCTGTCCAGGCCTCATCACCCCCGCTTACCTGGACCACACCAGCCTCCCCTTCAGTCTCCACACCATGGTCCAGGGAGCTATTGAACATGCAGATCTGATCTGTCATATCCGTTCTCTCAACTCTTCCCCAGGGTCAATTTCCCTCCAGAATAAGTCCGCAGTCCTTAACATGGCTTACAAGTCCTGCACCATCTGGCTGGGCCAGCTTTACCAGTCCCCATCCCCCCGGACCCAGCCGGCTGGCACCCAGGGGCCTGCTCCATGGAGTGGTGCTGCCACAGGCTCTCCTCCCTCTGTCTGCCACCAGCGAACCTTCACAGTAACCATTCTCTCCCCTCTGTCCAGAACTTTCTCCTGGCTTGACCTTAGCTCTCAGTTCAGATTTGTTTCCTCCTGGAAGCTCCCCAACATGCCCCTCCCTCCCACTCTGGGCTGAAATAGGGGTCCCTGCTTTATATCACCATGGCCCCTGAGTTTATCTCCCTCGTTGCCCTCCCCACACACTCTACCAACATCACTCCCTGTTTCTCCGCCTCCCCTCCCCCAGCCCTAGTACCTAGGTCTGTGCCACCTGCCAAGGGGCTGATGCAACATTGCTCAGGCTTGGAGGAAGGTGTGGGGATTTTAAGGCCTGCATCCTGCTCATCTCTTCCCACCCTCTGTGCTGGGCACATAGCAGGTGTTCACTAATGTCCACCTAGGAAGTCCTGGAAGTACACATGTGTGACTCAGACAGGAAGGGCACTGTGCTCAAAGGAGGTAAGAATCCCTGGGCTGAGTGGAACTGGAGACTTCCTGGAGGTAGCATCTGGGAGGACCCTTCATATGTCAGTCCTAAGGCAGCAATTAGGGACAGTCTGCGGGAAGTGCCCAGGCCAGCCCTAGGGCTGTCAGAGCAAACCATCAGTGGAGGACTAGAGTCTGCAATGAGGGGGACTCAGTGCCTCGGGCTCAGGGTAGTGGACACTGGAGGAGCTGGCTGTGCATTCAGAGAAGCCTTCTTGGAGGAAGAGCTACTTCTGGCTGGCATGGGACAAGGAAGAAGGTAGAGATGAGTCAGGTTGGAGAAAGTGGTGAGGGACAGGGATATGGAAAAGAAAGCTCTGTAGCTTCTCGTCATTTACCCTTAGGATGTCAAGATCAGGGAGGTCGGGGGATGGGCAGAAGGAGTAAAGAAGACTGAGGCAGAATGAAGATAACATCAGCACCGATGCCATGGTCAGGACGGGTATGGATAGCTGGGGCTGGCAGGGAGCAGGTCCCCAGCTGTGGCTGGGAAACATTTCCTGTCTCCTTGCCAGGGGGGTCATTAATAATCGTTTACCCGCCGCAGGCAGCACAGAGGCCAGCCAGAGAGCAGCATGGTGCTAGGACCAGAGCCCAACCTGGCAGCAAGAAGTGCTGTCTTCTGACACCAGCCGCGCCACCCTGCTGTGAGACCTGCACCAGTCACCTGACCCTTCTTGGTCTCTGGAGCTACTGGTAAAAGAAGGGCCTGATGAGATGCTGCCTGATGAGATGAGAGTCCCCTCATCCGATGGACCCCAGTTTCCCTAGACAGAGCTGGACTGCCAACCCTACATGGCAGTTCCAGTCACTTGATGATAGGTGTGAGCATCTGGACTCTGCCAGACCCAGCTCAGGACACACACGGTGGGTAGAGGAGAGACCCGGGCCCAGCCTCTGCAGAGCTCACATTCTGGTAGGAGCCAGACCCCAGCACCAGAGGGTGCACATGCGGAGCCCCACAGAACCAGGCGCCCCAGACTGGGGGAAACACAGAAGGGTGGGCAACTGACAGCATGGCTGGACACAGAAGGTAGGAGCTCCATGAGGCCAGTTTGGCCACCACCATGACCCCGGCACTTAAAACTGTGCCTGCCTGGTACACAGCAGTGTTCCATAAAGACTTTTGGACAATTGCATGAGTTAACCTGCTAAATGAGACATTTGTGAAAGGACCCTGGAATTTGGAAATAACTGCCTAAAAGATGATGAAGATGACAATGTCAACGACAATGAAGATAATTCCAGCCAGAGACAATGGGATAAAAAAGGTACCGTGAAAGCTTGAGAAGGCTGGAGGCCCAGGGATGGCTACCCAAAGCCAGACAGTGTTGCCTGGGGAATGGCCAGCAAGATCCCTTTTGCCAGTCAGGCCAGAACCTTCCTCAGCCCCAGGCTGCATTTCTCTGCCCACCCCAACACCCCCTTCAAGGTCCAGTTCAAGCCTATTCATTTCAGAGAACCTTCTGGTATGTGACACTGCGGCATCGACCCCAGCCCCTTCCCTGACTGACTCAGACTTCTCTAAGCCTTCCAATCTCAAGGAACCTTGGATGTTTCTTCTCTCAAGCACCTGCTGGGAGGCAGCCCAGTAGGGTTTTCCCACAGCTCTCTCTGGAAGGTATGACCTCGATCCCCCTACAGACTGCGTCAGTCTAGAGGGTCCCCAAAGGTGTGACCAGCTCTCTCCTTTCAGATAAGTGTCTCTGTGAGGATGGGGACTCTTTCTCCTCCATCTGACCTGGAGTGAACACAAATAGAACTAAATCGAGGTCTTCCTGGTTGTCTCCAGGGGCTGCAGCCACACAGAGAAGGGGCGAGGGCAGGTGAACTTGGAGAAGTGAGTGCTTGGCTGCTCGGCTGCTCAGCCCCGCTGACATGAGCCAGGAAGGGCGCTGGGCCACTATGGACTAAGACTGCATGGCTGGCAAACTCCAAGCCCAGCCTAAGCTGTTCTTACACCAACAGGCGCCACCAAAGACACCACCCAGGCCTCACTGCCTGCGCCGTATGCCTCCCCTCTGCGGAGCACGAAGTGGTGTAGTAAACACAGTGACCTTGCTGCCACGTGCATCCTCTCCACACCCTCCTCCAAACCAAGGCCCCAAACACCAGTCAAACTAAGAGAACAAAGGTTCTCAGACCACGACATTGCCTGCCGCCCGCCTGTCCAGCGCCTGCTCCGCCGGAAACCCAAAACAAAGGGCTTGGTCAAGGCAAGGAGGATGAAGGGCAAAGGGTAGGGGCAGCTGGGGTTGGGGGGGCATGGAGAACATTCCAGGGCATCTCTAGGGACCTGATCAGGAGGGGAGCAAGAACAGGATGGCAGCCAAGCCCTTTTGCACACATGCGTCACTCCACAGACATTTATGGGGACACCCACTATATTCCACACGCCCCAAATGTTACAGACCTCATTCCTCACACACACCTCATGCACACACTGCCACCGCAGCACATTCTACAGTCCTCAACACCCCCAACACACACACCGCCAGCTCACTGGCCATCCTCCACTCACTCCTCACCACAGGCACACACAGCTCATGGGGAGAAAAGATCACATAATTCACACGTCACACCAAAAAGTCACCCAGCTCACACACCCTCACTTCACACCACACTCACACCGTCTCCCACCACGCACCTCACACACCTCTCACCTCCCCAGCCACAGGTGTATGCATCCAATTAAATTCAATACGCACGCCACCTAGACACAGAGACACATGCAGACACAACCTGCATAGATAATGTGCACACCTAATGTCACACGTTTGTGGGCACACACAGCCCCTCAGCATAGACAGCGCTGCTGGCCCACTGCCTCCTCCCACCCCACCCCATTCCCATATGCACGTGTACATGCACGCACACACACACACTCACACACTCACACACTTGTCAACTGGCTCCTCACCTCAGACCCCTCAGCCCTGGCTGCAACCCTTTCCTGTCCAGAATCGCGGGAGCAGCCACCACACAGACACATGACATTCAAACACCAGCACTCAGGTCCTAATAGATATATTACCCAAGCAATCCCAGGATGTGCCATAGTGACTCTAAGCCAGCCACCTAGGCTGCAAACACATTGGCACACACGGCACCCCCTGCCCCAACTCCTCTCTGACAAGACACCCAGTGGAAACCATCAGGCCCCTGCAGTGGCCCTTCCTGGCCACACACAACAGCCAGTAACACACACAACTACATATAGAATCCTGTATGCAAGCTGTCCCTACAACAACTCCACTGTACAATAACAGACATACAGCCACATACACACAAGTTCTCTACACACACAACAGCCACACACCCAGCTACCACTCCACAGCCACAACACTGCCTCCCCAGCCACACATAGCACACAATGCCATAGACCCATAATTCCCATAATCTCCCCACAAATAATCCCACTCTCGATGACACATTCATACACGGCACAACACACATGATTACACACAAGACACACCCAACACATGCAACCCAGCCCGTGCTACACACAGACAGGAACACTCACACAAACACATACACTATAGACCCACCCAGCCTGGACACATCCCACCGCAGGTTGACACCAGATTGCAGTTTACTCTTCCCTATCTCAAGCCCTAGCCGCCCCCGTCAAGACCAGGGCAGCTGGGATGAGGGGCTTTATAAGTTACAAAAGCCAGTGCCCACCACATCATCCCCCCACCACCTCAGATCCCTGGGCATCGCCTGAGGGCAGCACACTCCACATTTAGGCCCTTCCACCTGAGCCCACACCATGCCATGCCTGAGAACATGGGGGGCGGGGGTGTCCCAGGGACACTAGCCCTGCTCTCTGAGCCTGCCCCCTCCTCACCACAAAGCAGAGGTAGATACAAGAGGAAGGGGTGGCTGCAGAAAGAGACCCCAAAACGAAGATGGAGACCTAGAGAAACAGGAGAGAGACCAAGATAGACCAAGAGAGGTGGGCACATGGGGCAACAGACCAAATTAGAGAGCCCAGAAATACTTGAAGAGAAACCAGAGGAGAAGCCCAGAGAATAAAGTGGGACCACTGTACCTGGAGAGGAACAAGAGGAGGGGCCCCCCACGAGGAAAGACTCGGAGATCTCCAACACAGGAGGGAGGGAAGGGATCGGGGAGTGGGTCCCACAGAGAAAGCCAGTGAAGCCCTGATGGAAGGAGAGATTTGGACTCTGGGGTAGGTTCCAGGCTGAGGACTGAAGTCCAGATGTTTGGGTGGGAATCTGAGCGGGTGTCCAGTTGAGGCTTGGAATGGAGGTTTGGGGCTTTGGGTGAGGCCGGCTCTGAGGTGGAGTCCTGGATGACAGCTGGGGGTTCAGGTGCTCCAGGTGTGCCGGGAGCCCCACATATATGGTGAAGGTTCCGAGGCGTGGGCAGGGTCCCCACTAATCTAAGGAAAGGGAATTCGAGGCTTGGGCACAGCTCTCAGTGTGCACTGCGGTCCCACCGTGGACTGGAAGCTCAGTGCTTGGGGTGGAGCCCCGGATCCGAAAGGAGTTCAGAGTCTGGGGTGACGTGTGGACTGAGAGCTGGGGCTTCAAGGGCTCTTGGTCTGCGCTGCCGTCCCAGCACAGGAGTAGAATTCAGAACTAGAGGAGGGGTCTCCTCCCTGAGAAGGGTTCGGGGGCGGGCAGACCCGGCCCGGCGCTCGCCGGACACCCCGTTCTCCTGGTGCCCAGCGCGGGGGCCCCCCTACCTGCAGGCTGTCGGCGCATGGCTGCGGCGGCGGCGGCGGCTCGTCCGGCTTGAGGAAGACCTGCTGGCCCCGCCTGAGGAATTGGACAACAGCGATGAGGATGTGGTGCAGCACCAGGACCATGCTCGCAGCCGCCCGCCCGCCCGCCGGCCCGGCCGCTGCGCTCGGTCAGCGCGTCCGCGACAGCTTCGCCTGGTCCGCCCGAGTGTCCGCCCCGGCCCCGCCCCGGCCCGCCCCCCGCCCGCCCCCGGCCCGCCCCGGCCCCGCCTATGTCCCCGCCACCGCGGACCGCACCTCTCGGCCCGTCGGATCCTCCGACCCCACCGGACACCCGGCCGCTGTCACCCCGCTTCTGTCTCGCCCTGGGTTCCCTCGGCCCTTCCAGCTGGCCTGCTGTCAGCCTGCGCTCGCTGCCCCTCGCCCCGTCGCCACTTCTCTCGCATCTCGCAGGGGCCGCTCTCAGAGCCTCCACCCTGTCTGATCGCACCCTGTTTCCCCGCCACCACTCTGGGGTCCGGGGCCCGGCCAGAGCCCCAGGCAGAGACCGGCGCAGTGGGGTGGGGTGGGGAGGGAAGGGGAAGGGGGGCAGGGGCCGCGGACACCGCAGGAGCCTCGGGCTTGCTCCTCTCCCTCAGCCTAGGAGGCAGGGGGAAGTCGGGAGAATGTTGGAGGTCGCTGTGAGACGGACAGGCCCTGGAGCAGTCGCCCATCTGCGAGGGAGACACGTGCGCACAGACACCGAGCGCACACACGGCGGCCGCCACTGACTGGGGCCCCCAGGCCTGGGTGGGCAGGTCTCTGTCGCCGTCCCCGGAGCCGGAGAGGGTGCAGGCCCCAGGGCCACACGGTCCGCAGTTCCGCGGTGGGACCCGCGCTCCGGGAGCGCGTTTCTCCGCAGAGCGGCTTCTGGGTTCAGGAGCCTGCGGCAGCCGCGACGCTCCTGCGCCCCCTGCCGTCCCATCGCGGCGGCGCAATCCGGCCTCAGTTGCCGGCTGCCCGGAGGGGCCGCGTCCGGGGATTCAGCGGGTCACCGGGGTCAGCTCCCTGCCCGGACCGACCCGGTTCTTAGGCCTCTGCTTGGCATGAAAGCGGTTGGGGCGGCAGGACGTGTCTGGACTGGAGGGTGCGCTTGGGTCTCGCTAGGCCTTTGCCAGCGACTTGCCGCATGACCTTGCTCGGATCCCCTCCCCCCACTTCCTGGGCCTCAGTTTTCTCATCTCCCTCACAGGACGGCCAGGAGGACCAAACCCGGGAATGGCGGGAAGGTAGAGTCCCCCGACAGCCCTCAATGTGGTCTGACCTGAATCCCCCCGTCAACTGCACTGCCGGCCCCTCTCTCTGCAGCTCCCCTCCTCACCAACTCTTGGACGGTGACTCAGTGAGCTCCCAGCCTCCCAGCCTCCCAGCCTCCCAGCCTCCCCACCTCAGCTGGGTGATTCATCAGGGCCCTTTCTCCCTGGGGAGTGATTTTCTCAATGTTGAGTCATTGTGCCCATTCCTGGACACAGTCCAGGCAGCTGGCACATAGCCTTGGCAGAGCCCGGCCACCCCACCAACTCAGGGGGCAGCCCTCCATGCCAGCGTTTCTCCCACCTTTCTTTCTGAGGCATGCTCTGGCATGCTCTCCCCCACTCACCCTCAGTGGCTCCCTACCACCAGCACAATAAAGCCCGAGCCCTGAGCCTGGCGGGCCAGACCCTCTACAGCTGAACCCTTGCTTGGTCATCCAGCTCTGACTCCCCTCCCCACCATTCCTTACATTTCTACTTCTTGCTCTTCTCACATCAATGACTGACTGACTCTCACCTCCAGGCCTTTGCCCATGCCACCCCACCCCCAATACCCTCCCAGATCCTTCCCTCCTGCCTGTCATTTAGGGGCCATTTGAAGGCCCACCTCCTCTGGGAGGGCTTCCCTGGTTACTACCTTATCCCTCTGGGTAGCCCTTTTTTGTGTCTTTCCTGGGAGTCACATCTGGGGACTTAGGAGAGGTGTAGAGTAAGTGATCTGGGCCAAGTCAATGTATTTTACTGAATCTTCCAAACAGGGGCAATTCATCCTACTTATTAACACTGTAGAAAAAATTACCTGGGCTAAGATGTGTAAAGGTTCTGGCCCCCACAGGGCCTCCCTTCCTATTTTTGGCCTCAGTTTTCTCTTCCGTAAAAGGGGATGACCCATGTAAGGGCTGTTGGAAGGACTAGGTCTGAGTCTGAGCTCAGTGCACAAGTCTCTTGGTAAATTCTGAGCATGTGTCACTGGCTCAGTCCTGGGCTCTGGACAAGGCTGGGTGAGATACAGGTGCCCGGGAGGTATCTGTTACAGCCACTGGCCAGAGTTACTTGTTCTTCAGGGGAGGCCACCTCAGACCATGGTCAACAGCCGACCCTGGCCTGGCACCGCCACCATCTCTTGGGCTCCCAACTCCAGGCACCACCTCCATGGCACTCACCTCTTGAGAAGTTATTTTATTTATTTTATTTTATTTTATTTTATTTTATTTTATTTTATTTTATTTTTTTGAGACGGAGTCTCGCTCTGTCACCAGGCTGGAGCGCAGTGGCGCGATCTCAGCTCACTGCAACCTCCGCCTCCCGGGTTCAAGCAATTCTCCTGCCTCAGCCTCCCGAGTAGATGGGACTACAGGCATGCACCACCATGCCCAGCTAATTTTTATATTTTTAGTACAGATGGGATTTCGCCATGTTGGCCAGGATGGTCTCGATCTCTTGACCTCATGATCCACCCACCTCAGCCTCCCAAAGTGTTGGGATTACAGGTGTGAGCCACTGCACCCAGCCAAGAAGTTATTTCTTCAGTCTTACTTGAATCTCTCAAACTACAGCTCAATGACTGGGGTCCCTGGTGTGTGCTCTATGTGTCCCTCAGCTCAAAGAGTCTTTCTGTGTCAACCTTTCAGATCCAAGCATTCCTCAGAGGGTTTGAGTCCTAACTGTGCCATAGACTTGCTGTGGGATTCTGAGCAGGCCACAGCACCTCTCTAGGCCTCTATTTCCCCATCTGTGAAATGTTATTACACTAGACTCAATAAACAAGTGCACTGCTTTCTTCCAGTGCTTGGTAGAGTGCAGAGCCCTTTCAGAAAAACCCTCTCACACAATCCTTGAAATTCCCCAACCAGCACCCTTCCTGAGGGGGCAACCAAGGCTCCTTGAGTTGGCACATTTAAAGGCCTTGCCGAGCTCTTATAGCTAGGAGTGACCCCACTCCAAGGACTCCTCCACTCACACGCAGATCCCTACCTCACTCCAACTGCACAATCTGTGATCCTGT
Source organism: Homo sapiens (assembly GCF_000001405.40). Lineage (NCBI taxonomy): Eukaryota > Metazoa > Chordata > Mammalia > Primates > Hominidae > Homo > Homo sapiens. The sequence continues at coordinate 72,645,548 of NC_000011.10, forward strand.
TCTGGGTTCTCACCCTGACTCATGTTAGAATTGCCTGGGAGCATTTTAAATACTGATATCTGGAACCCCCATCCCAGATGTTTGTGAATGTCCCCCGGTGATTCTAATTTGCTGCCAGGTCAGAGAACCCTGGAGTAGATGCATCTCCTCCCTGGCTGACCTCTGTCCCATGGAGGTGAGGGCCAGGGCTGGCCCCTACTGGCCGAGTGTATACATCTGGGGCTGGGAGGCTTTCGCATTTATTGAGCACATACTGTGTGCCTCACATTTCATCTTCTCAACAATGTTATAGGGTGGGATCTATTATTAGTCACACTTCACAGATAAGGAAAACTCAGGCACAAAGTAAACTGCCCACAGTCACATAGCTTGTAAGTAGTCAAAATTCAAACCCAGGCCATCTCACTCCAGTCTGTGCCTTAAATACATTCCTTGCTTCTTGAGCAAAGCCAGGTAAGGAAATCAGATTTCCCAGCTCCTCTTTTGTCCCCAAGAATGCAGTGGCTGAGGGTCCTACTATCCCGGTGTCTGCACCCTCTGCCCATCTCGGACACCAGGAAGCCCAGTCCCAGCCCCAGCTTTCCTCCCAGCTCCAGCTTAGGAATGCATAGCCCAGCCCCTCTAGCCAACTCTTTTTGTCTTCCCACCTTAGAGGCCACTTGGCCTGGAAAAGGTGACTCAGCTGTCAGCCTGGGTCCTGGGCCCACTCAACCTCAGGCCCTGTCTAGGAACCAGCCCTGCCTTGTTCCTAATAAAAATGACACCTCTCATTGGTAGGGCCTTGTGCTGGCAAAGCATTTCCTCACCCAGGCCAGATCCAACAGCCTCAGGAGGCACGGCATTAGCCCCATTTTACAAATAAGGAAAGTGAGGCTCAGAGAAATGTAGATGCTTACCTGAGATGGCACAGCTGGTTACTATAGGAATGTGAACCCTGGCCTATAGACTCCAAACCCAGTGCTCTTTGCACCAAGGATAAGCAGCTACTATGTAGCCCAGGACCCCCCAAAGCCAGGGCAGGTTCACTCTGACCATGTTCACCCTCTGCTCATAATCTTCACTGGGCTCCCCATGGCCTCCAAGGCAACATCCAAACTCAGTATAAGATGCAAGGCTCATCCCCACGTGACTTTTTCCTGCTGCTTCTCCTACCACTTCCCGTCCAGCCATGCCTGACTCAGCTGTACCCTGAACCTCTGGCTTTTCTTCCACCTCTTTGCCTTTGCCCAACCTGTTGCCCTCCCATTTTGAATACCCTTCCAAAGGCATATCTGCCTGCCAATATCATACTTTCATTAATTCATTCATGCCATAAATATTTACTGAGAATGTACTCCATGCCGAGTTTTGAGGGTAAAGAAATTTGAAAGTTAGATCTTTCAAGATGCAGGAAGAAAACTGCCATCCAACGAGAAGTAGCCCCCACCATCTCCCCAGTCTATAATGCCCTCTTCCTTCTTCACCTATCCCCAGCCCTCCCTCAAGAGCAGGGCCTGTCTGATTCTTCCCTGAGTCCCCATGGTCCAGCCAAGCTGGGAGCCCTGTGGTGCCCAGTGAGCTCTGGTGAAGAAGCACCATCTCTCCATCTCACACACTTGGTCCTGGCAGATCTCCATAGACTGTAAGTCTTTTCCTATCCCCCATGACCACATGTCTTGCTTCCAAGGGCCTGTCTGCTGCCTGACATGCATCTATCCTGTTGCCATGGACCATGGTTACACCCCCACCTGGAAGCCCAGGTTCAAACCCTAGCCCTTCCCTGACATGCTGGGTGACCTCAGGCAAGGCTTTGGCCCTCCCTGGTCTCAGACTTCTCAGCAGCCGTGAAGCTTGGCCTGCTTCTCTTTGAGTGCTCAGGAAGCTGAGGTGGAGGAGGCAGTATCCAGGCAGGCCTCCCTGGGCAGAAGGTACCTCTCCTGAGCAGATGGTCCTACGCAGGCACCAGGCCCAAAGATATGGACAAGGGCTGGATCCTGGTATTGGAGGACCCTCAGGAGAGGCTGTGTGTGACTTGCTCTCTCTGTGACCTGGGCTAGAGCCCATGGACTAAAAGAGGGCCCCACTTCCAAGGGCTCTGTGAAGGGACAATCCAAGATGCTTCCTGGAAGAAACTGACATCTCTGCAGGTTCTGCCTCCATCCAGACCCTTTCCTCAACACTCCAGCCCTGGAGTGGGCACAGGTGTTCACCTGGGCAGGGGTGAGCCACCCTTAGGCTGCTCTGTATGTGTGTGCATGTGTGTAAGGCTGCACACAGGCTTGTAAGCATGATGTGTGTGAGGGTGGAAGAGAGTGTGAGCACAGGTTTGTATCCTTGTGAGGGTGTGTGATACTGCAGTGGTATAGCTGAACTTATATGTGTATACACAGATATGTCTGTGTATCTATAGGGGTTGGCACGGGTGTGTCTATGCAGATAGGCATGTGTCTGTGTGCAGAAGTGAGTGTATATTCACACATGCAGGTATATGTGTGCAGTGGTGTGTGTACACAAGTGTCCAGGAATAGCATGTGCGTGCTTTCACGTGTGAATGTGTGTGCAAGTATGTGACACGTGTTTATGCTCTAGCCCAGGTCAGAGAGAGAGCAAGTCACACACAGCCTCTCCTGAGGGTCCTCCAATACCAGGATCTAGCCCTTGCCCCTATCTTTGGGCCTGGTGCCTGGGAAGGCCTGTCTGCTCAGGAGAGGTACCTTCTGCCCAGGGATGCCTGCCTGGATACTGCCTCCTCCACCTCAGCACCTGCCAGAGGTGCTGCCCATGGCCACCAGTCCAGATCCAGCTCTGTGTCCGCTGGCTATGGCTCCAGATGTGGGGGTAGCCCTCACAGAGAGAGGATGTGGCCACGGGCAGGTGCTGGGGACAATGTGAATTTCAGCTCCTAGTGGGCAAGGCCTGTTCCCAGAGCCCTGGCAGCAGCTCTGGGTCAGGAAGGGTACAGGCTGAGTGAACTCAGGCCCAGGGGATGGGGGCTGTAGGGTGGGTCAGCCACAGGCCTCATCCATTTTCATGTGATTTGCATGCATGTTTGTCTTGTCTGCAGCAGATGGCTGGCCCCATGACCCTCTGGGGGAAGGGAACCCATAGGATTCTAGTCCAGGACTAGTCTAAGACCTGCCAGCTCACAGGGGATAAAGTCCAGGGGGCTCGAGCCCCAGCATACCTTAGGCCTTAGTCTCTGCTCCCCATCATCCACAGACCCCAAGATCCTTCCTTTTCACAGGCTGCCCTGGGCCACAGAATCTTACACACATACACCCCTATGCACAATTGGAGTCTTTCCATAGATACACGTCCATGTTCCTATCACGCCTACACCCCAGTCCTCTACACAGACACACATCCTCAAGCACATGCTCACACAGCTCCTACACAGAGGCACAGGTGGCCACGCCTGCTTCTGTGCCTCCTCTTCGATGCCCACACTGGCTGGAGTCATCTTTTCCACACCTAAATCTGATTCTGCCTCACCCCCACCCATATGGCTTCCTATTGCCAGCAGGACAATTGGAGCCCTGGTCCTGGCCTTCAAGGCCTTCCAGGTCCTTAAGTCTGGACAAAGCCTCCTCTCATGCTGCGCCCACACTCTGCCTTCTGGCCACTCTCCCCACCACTCACCAATACTTCTCATCACGGTCTGGAAGAGCTCAACCTTCCCACCATGCTGTCAGCTCTGTTTTGCTCACTGCTGTTTTATCCCAGCAAATAAGAACAAGTCTTGACCCAGAAGAATTGCTCAAAAAGACATCTACAGACTACAGGAATCAGTGATGGAACTGCCTCCCAGCCAGGTATGCCCCCTTTTGTAGGACTTACCCAGCTATATTTGTGTCCCTGTGTGCCTCCCCCATCAGACTGGGGCTCCTCTAGGCAGAGACTGAATCTGATTCAGCTGCACATGTCCGTGTTCAGCATAGGCCAGGCACAGAGCACAGGAGTTGGGGCTGGATCAGAGGCAGTGCCTAGGGTGCAGCAACCCCCTTTGTGAGGCCCAGGGACGTCTGGAAGGTGGGGCTGGTGGGGCCCCCAGAGCCAATCACACAAAACATGATTGTCTCAGGGAAGTGGCCTCCAGACTGCTTCCTCTGCCCCATCTGAACCCCTTTCTGGAGTCACTCTAGCCATTCAGCCCCTACCCTGCTTGCACACTCCCAGGGACAGGGAACTCACTTTCTTACCAGCCGGCTCCTTCCCATGTGGGATGGCTGTGCCTGACACAGACTCCTTCCACAGCGCCATCCTGTCAACCCCTGATCATCCTGAGCCACAGATTCCCATGGAAACCAGAAAGGAAGATGAGCAAAAGGAGAGGCAGATGCCAGCTTTCTTAGCAGCTCTAACAACCTTTCCAGCTTTGGGCAGAGTTGGGAAAAGGAGCTCTTGCTTCTCAGCCTACCCCAGGGACAGAAGACTCCCCCAGCCCCAACCGCCGTCCTCAGGAACCTGGAGCAGTGCAGAGACAGCCCTGAGACTTTTTTTTTTTTTTTTTTTTAGATGGAGTCTTGCTCTGTCGCCCAGGGCTGGAGTGCAGTGGTACAATCTCGACTCACTGCAACCTCCGCCTCTCAGGTTCAAGCAATTCTCCTGCCTCAGCCTCCCGAGTAGCTGAGATTACAGGCGCCTGCCATTACGCCCGGCTAATATTTGTATTTTTTGGTAGAGGCAGGGTTTCACCATGTTGGCCAGGCTGGTCTTGAAGTCCTGACCTCAAGTGATCCATCTGCCTTGGCCTCCCAAAGTGCTGGGATTACAGGCGTGAGCCACCGCGTGTAGCCAACCCCAAGAAACTCTTCAGCAACCTCCACTGAGCCACATCCCCTTGCTGAGCCCCCATCCTTCTCTCTGAGTCTCCACCCTCTCAAAAGGTCTCCCACCCACAGAGCCCTTGGCTCCATCCTAAGCCCCAGCCCATCACTAAATCCCCAGCCCCTTCACTGATCCCACACCCTTCAAAGACTCCCACTATATCTCTCATCCCCCCGTGCCCCACCTCACCGCAGATAAAGGTCCCAATCCTTCCCCAATCTCCTCCCCTTAGTGGCACCTCCTACCGTCCAGGCTGCAGAACCTGGAGGGGCTGCTCTGACTCCAGCCCTAGGAGTCCCATGGAGATGCCTCCTCCTGATCCTGGTAGCAGGCTGGGTAGGGGACGAAGGAGGCAGGCTGGTCCTCTGCCAAAGGCAGCCACCCAGAGCCCTGCCCTGTACCACCAGACAGCTGCAGCCCTGAGGCTGCCCGGCTTTCCTCCACCTGCTATTCCTGGGCTGGCCCCACTCCAGGGGTGCCTCAGGTTAGAGTCAGTCCCTGACCCCTGACCCCAGTCCCCACTACACACACACACACACACACACACACACACACACACACACACACACACACATACACAAAGGCTACTAAGAGCTGAGCCCATCAGAGATACCAAGGCAAGAAGGTCTAAGCAACAGGGACCAAGGCCCCATACTCTGAACACTCCCTGCTAACTCAGAAACCATCACACAGGGAGGCCCCAGTCTATGGCTTCAAGGCTCCAAGAACTCCCAGAGCTTCATGTTCTTAGAAAATCAAAGCTTCTGTTATAACACCCCATCATTCAAAAAGTCTGTTTTTCTTACATTCTGTGAATGCGAGAACCTGGGGTCTTGAGAATGTAGAAGCCCAAGATTCTAACATTCTAATGTCCTGACTGCCTGAGATGCCTGATTGCAGGACTCTAAGACTCCAGCACCTGGTTTCTATGCCCCTGAGAGCCTAATGGTCAGTGGGCTTGAGTCTCTGTGATGCCAGGTAAAGGGGAGGGCACAGCAGCAAGCACCTGTGTCTGCCTGCAGTTGGGGATACCAAGGACTGGGATTGGGAGAGCCCAAGGAAATGAACACCCACTCCCAAGGGGTGTCAAGGGAGTGATGGGTGTCCTGGAAGGGGCACGCAGGGAGAGGCCAGGGTCTGGGGGGGTGACTCGGTCTAACCACCATCTCCAACTCTCCAGCTGTGTCACCTTAGACAAGTGCCTCCTGGAGACCCCGTTTTCTCACTTCTAAACTGGGGATCAACTGGCCTTCCTTGAAAGGTGGCTGTGAATACATGAGAAGAGGCTCAAAAGTATTTAACAGAGAGCTTGGCACTCCCAACAGCTCAGAAAAGGATGTTGCTTGTTGTCCTTATGCCCCAGCAGGCCTCAGCATCCTCTGGCAGTGCCAGTGCCCATGGCTTGGGATAAGGGATCTTTAACCCTTTCCTGGCTGCCCAAGTGACATGAAACTCTGTCCTCAGGCCCCCGCCCAAGTCTATCTCATCTCCTTTCCTCCCTCCCCACCTTCCCTGGTGGCCTGAAGTCCTTAGTGCAGAAGACAGGCCTGAAAAGAGGGAAGAGCTGGGCCCTAGGACCAGGAAGCCCTCCTACTTCTGAGCCTGTTTCCTGATCTCTACGATGACAGAGTGGGGCCTTCCATGGACACTTGCTGGCCCCAGGATTCAGGCTGTGTGGCCATGGTGGCCTTGGTGGGCAGGCCTGGCAGGGAAAAGGAACCAGTGGGAGCCCCTCTCCTGGGACCAAGTGACAGGGCAGAAGTAGGGAGCAGCATGAGAATAAGCAAGGGGACCCCAATGTAGCTCCCTACCCAGCAGCCCCAAATGCTAGAGGAGAAATTAGTCAAGCCCATCCCTTTGCACCTGGCAAGAATATACCTCCCAGGAGACAGAGTCCCTTCTCCATGGGCCCATCAGCCTGCCTGTTGTGTTTTGTTTTTTTGAGATGGGGTCTCACTATGTTGCCCAGGCTGATCTGGAACTCCAGGGCTCAAGTGATCCTCCTGCCTCAGCCTCCCTAGTAGCTGGAATTACAGGTGCATGACATGGCACCCAGCTTGGCCTGGCTGCTTCTGGCAGAACCATTTCCAGATATGGCCCCTGGTCCTCCCTAAATACTCCAGCATATGTGAGGTGCATGCCAGCCTCCACCCCTTTGCTTACACCATTCCACAGGCCTGAAGAACCCTCCTTCTCCTCTCTGTCAATTAAATTTTAAACAACTTTAAAGGGGAAGGGAGGGGAATGGCCATTGATGACCACCTACTAAGTGCCAGATCTATTCTCTCATTTAATCTTCATGATATTATTAGCCCAATTTTACAGTTGATGAAACTGAGGCCCTGGGACCTGAGGTCATTCGTCCAAAGTCATGCAGCTAGAAATGATGGAACAGCAATTTCAACACAGCCCCTTCCAGCTCCCAAGCTTGTGCCTCTTGCAGCAGGCTGACTTGGGGAAAAGAGCCCAGGGCCTCCCCCAGTCCTTCCTTGGCTTCAGGGCTGTACTTGAGCAACTCCTCCCAGCCCAGCAGTCCCCCCAGCTCCAGAAGGCAGAGACCACAGTCCCCTCCTCTCTTGCCTCCTCAAGTTGGAGGCAACCTAGAGCCTGGCCACACTTCCTGATTGATCAAAAGGCACTCGCTCAATCGGCAAAGGCTCCTGTGGTGGGACTGGGAGATGTGGCATTCTGTTTCTAAGCACCCGTCGCTATGGAAGCCAGGTGCTGCCAGCCCAAGGCCTAGCAACAAGGCACGGTGCAGGGCGGAGGCCATTGTTTGGGGCTTCCGAGGCAGCCAGCAAGAGAGAGGGAGGGTGGACTCCATCTGTTCTCTGGGCTGGAGGGCTGGACCTGCTGCCTGGCTGGGCTCTCGAGGGGAAGAAGGAGGCAAAGAGGTCAAGACCAGTCAGGCCCTGAGAGACAGAGGCCCAGAGATAAGAGCAGAGAGAAGCATATAGAGAAAAACAAAGGGAGTTCAGAGACAGTGAAAGGCAGAGACACCATCAGACAGCAAGAGAGATTCGGGAAGGTGGAAAAAGATAAGAGCTGGCCAGAATCGCAGAGACTGCTTAGACAGAGACCAGAGGCAGGGGGGTCCTGATTCCCAGCGAGGCTCCACTCCCGACTCCCAGGGAGGGAGAGGGTGTGCCAGGGAGTGAGGCAGAGTCGCAGGGGAGTGACAGAGGTGGATAGAGGCATGACAGGAGGAGATAAGCCTGAGGCAGGAGGCAATATAGAGATAGTAATAAAGGAAGAGAGGAGAGGACTGGAGAGGGACAGGTGGTGACTCGGACGCGGAGACAGACAGCAGTGGGGCAAAACGGCAGCAATACCAGGTCAAGGGCACCGAGGCCACCAGAGTCCTGAGCTGGCCCCAGTCCTGGGCCCCTGCTCCTTAGTCTGCCCATCAGTGGCATGGGGGTCACCCCCCAGCCTCGCCTGTCCCCTAGAACACAGAATCATCTGGGCACAGAAGCTCAGAAGAGAGACTCTGGAGGTCAGAGGTCACATGTGTCTCTTACCCTCAAGGGGACAGGTCTTGCCCAAGATGGAACAATGAGGTAGTGCCTGAAATAACAGGAAGTCAGGGCTTGGAAATCCCAGTCCAGAGATCCTTGCCCACCTCCACCCCAAGTGACACCACTCCTAGTTGCCCATGGGGGCTCAGTTAGTGCAGAGAGGCACATTTGTCCCCATACCAGAGTGAATGAGGAGATTACAGAGCCTAAGATGGAACACCTCCATAGTGGGCAGAGCTCCAGCCCTGGGATGTTTACTTCCCTCTTTCCCAATAGCAGGCCCTGTGTCGGGGCCCTGAGGACCCACCAGTGACCGGTAGAACACAGCCGCCCACCCAGCGCTGGGACCAGGGGAGGCAGGTGCTAGAGAACCCAGAGCAGCCTAGCTGCTCGGCGTCAGGGAAGTGGCAGGCACTTGACGGGCAACATCTCATTTAACCCTCACCAGAGCCTGTCACGGATGAGAGGGCTGAGGAAAGTGATTTGCCCTAACCTCTGCCAGCCAGCAGGTGCCTGAACTGGGGCTCAATCCCAGCTCTCTTGAGGCCAGTGCAGGTGGGAGAGCCTGGGGGAGGCTCCTCCGCCGGGGAAGAAGCAGCCAAGAAGCAAGGTGACCAGGCCTGCTCAGGAGCCCCTCCCAGAGGGAGAGTGTGGGGTGGCCTGGGGTGGGTCCCCAGCCCTCCTCCGGCCACCACTGCTCCTAGCACCAGACATCTCTCCCCTCATCAGGATGGGTGACAGCATGCTCTCCTCCGCCCCAAGCTACCTGTCCTTGGGATTGCTAACACTGTTAGCTGCACCTGCCAGCCAGCCCTGGGAGCTCCTGTGCCCTCAGAGGCACCCAGCTGCTCTTGGTTTCTCCAGACTCTTACTGGAGGAACGAGACAAGATGAATTCAGCACCCACTATGTGCCCCTTTACATTTCTTAACTCATCGTTTTGTCTGTCGAGGTCTCCAAAGGCTCTGAGGTGGGCTTGCCTCACATCCCCACAGCTCCAGCCCCCGGTCCCCCTACCCACCCATCCCCAACCACCATAGGGTGACTCTTGCAGCACCCACCCGAGACCTGCCTCTAGGGCAGGGCGGGATGGTAGCAGCAGGCACACAGGTGCCTGGGAACTGGGAGTTTGATTCTCAGCCTCTGTAGTGCCCAGGTTGGGGACAGTGGGGGAATCAGGGGAAGGTGTGGGGCTGGCAGGTGAATGGCAGGAGGAAGGCAGGAGCAGGGGAAGGGAGCCAGGGGAAGGCGGGCAGCTGCACACCAGCCTCGCCCCACACACACCCTGTACGCACTCAGAGACTGTGCTGCTGCCCAGAACATCGACCCGTGGCGCCACACTCCCCTGGGCCCCAGTTCCTGGAAGGAGGCACTGCAGGGATGATCGATCGACTGTCTCCCAGCCTCCCCTTTCCACTGCCTGGAGGCTGCTGCCTCCCTGCAGCTCCCCAGCCAGCCAGTGCCACAGCCAGGGTGAGGCAGCCTGGGGACAATGAGCAGTGACCCCTCATGCCCTCTGCAGCCCAGCATTCTCCTCACTCCTCAAGAACCTGGCCCAGGTAGATGGATGGTACAAGAGCCAAAATGGTGGCTCGTGCTCATGCATGCAAGTGAGTGCCTGTGTGTGTGTGTGCACGCACGTGTGTGTGTGTGCATGTGTGTGTGTGTGCACAGGTGAGTCAGTAGAGCAGGAGTTGTGAATGCAAGATGTGAGCCATAAGGATGTGGGTTCAAATCCCAGCTCCTCCATTTCCTGGATATGGAGCCTATGCAAGTCACTTAACCTCTCTGAGCCTGAGTTTCTGTATCTCTACAGTGGAGTGATGAATGAGATGATACATATGGCTCTGCAACAATACTTGCCATACAATATTCTTTTGCTACACGAGAGCTTTTATTAGTGTTACTGTGAGTGTGTGTGCCTGTGTGTGCATGTGCACGTGCCCTAGGGAGATTCAGGAGGGATTTCTGACACTCCAGCAAGGGAGTGCAGGCTATTCCCTAACCCTCGGGCCCCCCAGAGTGGGGGCTGCAGCCAAACTCTTGGCTCAGCCTCAGAGGAAGACCTGCTGTGCCCCCCTTCTCCCCAAACAAAATCACCTGTGCTGGGCAAGGCTGTGTGGGGAGATGGATGGCTTGGCGGCCACCAGGCAGGACTGGTGATTAGGAGGCTCACGGCCCGGCATCCGGAGAGGAATGGGAGGGAGGTTGAGCTGCAGAGCCATCCATCAAGGCTGGCAGGCCCAACCATGCTGCACAGTGGGGTGCGAGAGGCGAGGGGAGAGCCACGAGGGGGGCCATGTAGACAAGCTGAGGGCCAGACGCTAGGCCCAGCCCAGCCACTGACCTGTTGTAACCCTGAATGAGTCACTGTTACCTCGGGACCTCAGTTTCTTCATCAGGACAATGGGGCTAAAGGTTTATTCTGCCTGGATAAGTTCCAGCACAGCAGGCCCAATATCAGGCCCCAGGGCCAGAAGGAGCCCTGAGGAGAATGTGAGGGGCTCGGGGGGGCCCTTGCCTCCTGTAGGTGCCTAACTCAGCCAAAGGCTCCTGAGAGACGGAGGAAGGAGATGGAGCACAGAGTCTGGGCTGGGTCTCCAAAGACCCAAGTTTGAATCCATCTCTGACCCTAATGCCTTGCTGGCCCTGGCAAGCCCCTGACTTCCCAGATCCTTCCCTGGATGCTCACCTCCACCCCACTCCCACCCCCAAACAGGCCAGACACGAGCAGAAAGGACTATCGGCATAGCCCTTGCTGATGCAAATTTCATTCAAACTGAGGGCAAAGTCACCCATGGGCTCTCCTCGCCTTTCTCGGAGGTAGTGATTACCTGGGAAAATCCTGGCCAGCAAGTCTGGGGCAAGAGGTCCCAGCTAGAGTCCAGCAGGACCCAAGCAGAGCCTGTACTCTCAGTCTGTCTCTAGTGACTTAAGCTTGAGCAAGTCACTTTCCCACCCTGGGCCTGTTTCCCCATCTCTAAAATGAACCCTCCCATTTAAAAATCAAAGAAGCAACAACAAAAATCTTCAGGGCTCCTCTTCCCCCAGGGACAAACTTCAAACTCCTCACTGCATCCACTCTCTCCCAGTCCTTCTCGAGCCTCGATTCCTCCCACGTTCTCTGCTCCGCATCTCACACTTAGGCCACTCTGAACATCTGTCGCTCCCCCATCCCACGCTGCTTCATCTCTGACCCTGCCTCTCTACTGAAAACCTCCTCCCCACTCATCAGGGTCAGCAGCCACTTGCACAGCCCCTGGCCCAGCTGGGTCAGGCCCTCTCACCAAGCCATCAGTGGTCCCCACACACCTTCCCTGAGGCCTAGACCAGAAGGTGGCTGTCCCCCACCTCACTCAGCTCCCCGGGGTGAGGGCTGAGCCTGGCTTTATTCCCAGAGGAGGGGAAAAGGGTTGGCAGCCCAGGGCCTCAAACAGGAACAAGGCTCAGAAGAAGTGGGAGGAGGGGAAAGAGGAGGGATGGAGGAATGAAAAGAAAGGGGGAAGGAAGGAGAGAAACAACTGTCCCCAAGGTCCCTCTGGATGGAACAATCTGAATGAACTCCAGTCCATGCCAGATGCAGCCCCATGCCCCGGCCCCTGCCCCTCCCACTCCTCCATCTCCCTCAGGCCCCAGCCCCGCTCACACACGCCAGTACAAAGGCCCAGAGCCAAAGGGGTCTCTGGCCTCTGCGGCTGAGCCCTGACTGGAGGCTAAGAGTGCCATGTGGTTGTCATAGCGATGCTGGATGCTGTCATCACTAATTCATCACCTGAACCCTGGAAGGCCTATGAGGTGTGAGGAGAGCTGGTCAGAGCTGATCAGAGCAGCCACTGGACATAGGCGTCTTAGGATCTTGGATCTGGGGGAGGAGCAGGGATTGAACTCCATCACCCCAATCCAGCTGTGCCCTTCCCTCAGCCTCCCAACACCCTGGTAAAACAAGCACAGACCTGCCCCCATCTGTTATGTGCACCTACTGTGTGTCCAGCTTGGTCCAACTGCAGAGGCAGCCTCAGTGAAGGCCATGATGGGAGCCTCCCACCCAGCCTCTGTGAGCAGGGCAGGGCATGTCCCTCCTGATGTCACAGGAGCTGAGGAGGGGTGGAGGGAAGAGGGAGGGAGTTCATATGTTGTGCCTTCTCCTGGCAGGCATGTACCAGGCATCTTTAAAATGTAACTCATTTAATCCTCCCAGAAAACCTGCAGGGTCAGAATCATTACTCCATTTTACGGATGCCGGATGTCTTCTCAGCTAATCCTCCCATCCAATCCTCTGGGAAGCCTTTCAGGATGCCCCACCCCGACTTATCGCTGCCTTCTCTGAACTGCCAGCAATGGTGGGTGAGGGTTCTGGTCTCCCCCATCAGATTGGGCTGGGAGCTCCTCCTCCTCCCACCCCAGGTTATGGAGGAAACAAGGGCAGATCTTCCCACCTAGCTACCCTCCTGGCAGCCAGAAGACCACCCTCATCCAAGCAGGCTGGAGCTGTGGTTCTGATCCCTCCCAGGACTTTCCCTGGAAGTCACCACCTCCTCAGCCTGGAGGAGAAATGCCAGACTCCCACCTGTGAGGCACCCCTGCAACCTCCCCACCTGCCCCCCCACACACCCTAGATTTTTTCTGTTTTAAATTTTTTTGAAGTAGAGATGGGATCTCGCTAAGTTACCCAGGCTGGTCTTGAACTCCTGGCCTCAAGTGATCCTCCCGCCTCAGCTTCCCAAAGTGCTGGGGATTACAGGCATGAGACACCACACCCAGCCCACACTGCCTATTTTCTTCACTCACAACCTCAGGAAAATGAACTTTTTTTTGGAGCAGGAGAATGGGAACAAAATTAACACGCAGTCACACAACAAAGCATTTACTGAACACCTACTTTGTGCAGTCCTATGAATGAAGCTTGAGATACAACAATGAACAACACAAACCAAACCTAATCCCTGCCTTTGTGGGCTTTTGGTCTAGCAGAGTCAGCACCGAGTCTTCTAATTTTTTTTTTCTTTTAAGAGACAGGGTCTCCCTATGTTTCCCAGGCTGGTCTCAAAACTACTGGGCTGAAGCACTCTGTCTCAGCCTCCCAAAGTACTGGGATTACAGGTGTGAGCCGCTGTGCCCAGCTGAGCACAAAGTCTTGCTTTGCACATTTTAACCCACTCAATCCTTATAATATGCATGCAGGTGGATGTTATTGTGCCCACTTTATAGTGGAGGAGACGGCAAAGCTTCTGGTGATAAAGGAACCTGCCCAAGCCCACGTGCTGGCAACCCGCAAAGGCAGGAGTCACACCCAGTTGTGTCTGACTCCCAAGTCTCATTCTTGGTCTCCCGCTGGGTGAGGAGGCAGTCACAGACCTAATCCCTGCCCTCACAGAGTTTACAATCTAGTGTTGCCGTCCCAGTTCTCAAATAAGCACCACTGGGAAGTGTTCTTGAGTCTGATCCGAATCCCTCCTGCTGCAGCTCTGACTCGGCCTTTCTTCCTTAGGACCTCAGTGGGGCGGAGGATCAGCTTTCATCTCCTTGCAGACACCTGGGGTGCTCCCATGAGTTCCCAGCCTTTTTTCCACCCCCACCTTGCACAGAGGCCTCCCCCACAGGAGAGAGTGAGGTGTGTGCTCTAAAAATACCTTAATCCCTCCCTGCTTGCGCTCTAATTAAGCTGAGTGAGTCACTACTTTAAGTAATTTATTGCTAGTTACATAATTGCTTTAATATTTAGTTCTAGAACTGGGGAACAAAAGTGACCCCCTTCTTTTCAGGGAATTGTTAATCTATAGAGTGGGGTTTATGGCCTCTGGTTGGAGGAGGATGGGGAGAGGAGTGGACCATCTTGGCCAGCCCCTGCTACAGTCTGGACAATATATAGCCATTTCCACCAGGACCACAGGGCACACCTGGTCAAAGGAGGGGCGGGTTTGTGGAAACACCAAGTCCCTACCCTGTCACCCACTCTATGGGTTTCTGAAGCCACCACTTCCAGCCGATCCAACCCTCACATCCAAGGCTTGCCCTCAGGAGACCAAGGCCTAAGCATCCCTTCCCCTGCCTGGCTGCACTGCCTCTGCCAGGAACCAAGGCCCAGAGAGGGTCAGCAGTTCCCTGGCAACTTCCAGCATGTTGGAGGCACCCCCACTCCATGTGCCCAGGTTTGCAGCCCAAGGAAAACCCAGTACTTCTCACACTCCTATAAGAAGTCCCCCTCAAAGGGACTGACTACAAAGGGCACAAGGGAAGTTTGCCAGGATAAAAATATTCTTTTCTTAATTGTCATGGTGGTTATGACCATATATATTTATCAAAACTCATTATACACTTTAAATTGGTGATTTTACTGTATGTAAATTATGCCTCCATAAAACAGATGTAAAAAATTAAAAATAAATTCAGAAAAAGTAGTCATACCCCCACCTTCTAAGCCCCCACAGCAGTAACAGCTGTGCAGAACTGGCAGCCATGCAGAAACTAAGGAGGGGCGGGTCACAGAGCCCACTACAGAGGCACATATTAGGTGCTCACACAGGAGGTGTTTGTTTCACTAAGTGCCAGTTAGCAAGGACTCACTAGGCACCTTCTGAGTGCATTTGCACATCCTTGATCTCATTAGCTTTCTCCCTGCTCTCACGCAACCTGGAGAGGGAGCCAGGTACATTACACACTGTGTCTCATTTAATCCTCATGGCTGCCCTAATGAGGTGGGCTCTATTATCCTCTCCTTTCTACAGATGAGGGAACAAAGGTGGCAGAACTTGCACAATCCTGCAGCTAAGAAGTAGAGGAGCAGAGATCTGAACCAAGAGACAGTCCTCAAGGCTTGTGCTCCCAAGCACGTCCCTCCACTACCTCCCTTCACGATACTCAGTGGCACGGGTTAGGACGCCAGGCATGGATGATGTGCCCACTGACCTCAGGCCTTGAATAACAAGGATTTCACTGCACGTAGAAGTAGGGGTAGGGCACAGCCAAGCAGAGAAGGTGAGTGAGTATGTGTGAGCTCCGAGAGGTGGCAAGGGGCAAGGCCAGCTCTGGGAAGGAGGGAACTGGGTCAGGGAGCAAGCCTAGAAGAAACATAAGAGAAATCAGGCAGGGTCTGAGAAAATGAGGCAGAGGGCATCTGGCTGTGTCCTCTCTGTGGGTTTCAATGTCTTCTGAGGTCAGGTGCAGTGGCTCACACCTGTAATCTCAGCACTTTGGGAGGCCGAGGCAGGAGGATCACCTGAGCTCAGAAGTTGAAGACCAGCCTGGCCAACATGGTGAAACCCCGTCTCTGCTAAAAATAGAAAAATTAGCCAGGCATGGTGGTGCGCACCTGTAATCCCAGCTACTCGGGAGGCTGAGGAAGGAGAATCGCCTGAACCTGGGAGGTGGAGGTTGCAGTGGGCCAGGATAGCGCCACTGCCCTCCAGCCTGGGTGACAGAGCAAGACTCTGTCTCAATAAATAAATAAATACAGAAATAAATATCTTCTGAGGCCCTGAGTAGCTGGGGCTCCTCACAGCTATTCCTAACTCATTTCCCCCCAAATTTGCCTCTGTCCAGTTTTTTGGGGGGGTTTTTTGGCCCTAATCACCCACTCACACCCACAGTCACCACCTCAACGAGCACAGGCAAAATCCTTCATCCCAAAACTTGACAGAAACTCATTGGAAAACAGTCAGTGATGCCATGTGGCAGGAAGCACTCCAAGGCTGGGGAGTATGGAAAGGCCCCTATCAAGGAGGCAGAAGTCTTCCTAGAAGATCTGAAGAATGACAGGAATTAGCCAGGTAAAAAGAGGAGGGCCTTGGGGAAGGGAATTCCGGGCAACAGCATGTGCGGCAGCCCAGAGGCGAGAGACGCTGCACAGGTGGGGAACCACAGGCGGCTCCCTCTGACTATCTTGGCATCTGTGTATACTTCAAGTGCAAGTGCTTCCCTGCGATGCGCCACACATGTGCTGAATCGTACCTGTGTTGCATATCTAGATGTGTATACCTGTGTCATGTGCATTGATGTTCCCATTTGTTCTGTTTTCGTTTCTGGGTCACTTTTTGGAATGATCCTGTGTCTGCTTTTCAGCATCTGTTGGTGTCTGTGTTGTGTGTGTACTGTGGGTCTCTGTCTGTGCTATGGTCTGCTTCCTGGTATGGGGAGTTCTTCTGTGTTATTGGGTTTTTCCTCTTTGTATATTTATGTTGGTGTTCAAGTCCCTATGCCTAGATTGTGTCCGGGTTTCGGTGTGTTGTATGTTTGTGGCCAGGTCCCTTATCTCAGGCAGCTGGGGTCTGGAGGAGAAGCTGGGGCAGGGAGGTGCCGGAGCTGGGATCCAGTTGCACACAGTAACACCTAATGATTGTCAAGCACTTAGAGTGGGGCAGAAAGCTGCAGGGGAGATGCTAATTAGCACTGAAAATGAGTTGGCTGCCCAGGCCCAGAGAGGCTGACACAACAGGGATGAGTTGGCTGGGCCAAGGTCCCTCAACTCCCAGCACCATAAGGGGGCTGCCCTCACTGACTCGCCTCCCAGGGAGGCCCAAGGCCCAGGCTCTGGACAGCAAGAAGGACTGAGATCCGACTCCAGGAGGAAGGTCTTCAAAGGGAGTTCTTTTATCAGATTTGGCAGTGGAGGGGTCAGAGTGTTATCAAGAGATATGCAACGGTGACACAGTTTTGCTTTAGGGGCCATTGTCTGAGGGGGTGGCTTATGGGTGCCATGGATGAGTGCTCCAGAGAGTGAAAGCCACAGGCAGCATGAGGCAGGGAGGGATGTCCCTAGAGGAGGGTCTAGAGCTGCCACACACCTGCATTGGTGGGCAGACACTGAGGAACTAGGGCCTTAGCTCAGGCAGGTGAGCCGGGAAGTAGCGGCTGTCACCCCTCCTCTGGCCCATTTATGCAACTCACATGTCCTTGGCCAACCGCAATACTGCCTCTCACCTGGGTCTAGCCCCCCTACTTCACCCATCATTTGGAGCTTCCTAACCCCAAAGCTAACCATGGCCTGACCCTGCTTAAACTTTCCTCTGCTTCCCTTTGTGAGCTGGGCCTTCACTCCCTTCCTCTCCACCGCCAGGCCCTTCCTCCAGCCCAGGAGCCATGAACCTGCCACCCTTGATTTCTTGCTGCTCACACCTTTGCTCTTACGGGGATTTTTGCCTGGAATACCCTTCCTTTTCTCCTCCACCTGGAAAACTCTCAGTTGTTCTTTAAGGCTAAGACCCAGCATCGCCTCCTCAGGAAGGGTCCTCATCAGCGGTCCCAGCACTCACCCGACAAAATTGATTGCCTGCGTCTGGGTGTGCCTGTCTCTAATGAAGCGGAGAGCAAGGGCTTTTGGGTCCATCTCCATGGCCAGGGTGACAAGCACAGGCAGGGCACACCAGGGCACCCTCAAGGCCAGTTGGGATGAATGAACAGGTGGCTTGGGGGGCTCCAGGGCACACTGCGTTCTGAGAATGACATTCTTCAGCAGCCCCTGTGCTGCCCAGATACAGAGCGCGGTGATCACGGCAGGAAGCAGCTCTCAGCCAGAGAGTAGATAATGCGCATATGAGTCCACTCAGGAGACCTCAGTGAATGTGACAAAGTGAGTGTTCAGGCCAGGTGCAGTGGTTCACGCCTGTAATCCCAGCACTTTGGGAGGTCAAGGCGGGCAGATCACCTGAGGGCAGGAGTTCGAGACCAGCCTGGCCAATATGGTGAAACCCCGTCTCTACCAAAAGTACAAAAATTAGCCAGGCATGCTGGCAGGTGCCTGTGATCCCAGCTACTTGGGAGGCTGAGGCAGGACAATCACTTGAACCCAGGAGGTGGAGGTTGCAGTGAGACAAGATCGCACCACTGCACTCCAGCCTGGGCGACAGAGCAAGACTGTCTCAAAAAAAAAAAAAAAAGAAAGAAAAAAAAGAAAACCAAACAAACAAAAAAGTGAGTGTTCAGAGGCAGAGCCTGGCTTCTGACTCCAATTCTGATATCAACAGGCTGTGTGACCTTGGGCAAGTCCATGCCCTCTCTGTTCTTCGGTTTCCCATCATCTCTTTGTCCCTCCACATCCAATCTCTAACTTTTGCTGCTGGGTTGTGTGCCCCAGAGGCCGACTTCTAAGTGGCAGCTTCATCCAGGGCTCCCTTGCCCCCTGGCATCCAGAGAAATTCTGCCAGTGAGGGTCAGGGTACTGGCAGGAGAGCAAAGGGTGAGAAGCATGCAGGCTCATGGTGGGTATTCACCCCCTCACCCACCTGCCTCCTTTGACAAGCAGTGGCTGCAGCCACAGCTCCTGCAGGGCAGCCCCATCTCCAGGGCTCTGGCTCATGGAGCTGGGGCACTCTCCTCGGCCCCCCTCTGCCAACGCCCCTGGCCCCTTGGATGCCAGTCCTGAGTAACTTGACATGTCCTGCTGGTTCCCTTAAGCCTTCCCCATCTCCATAATACTTGCTTCACTAACTGTCTTCAGTTAAACCATTTAAGTTTGTCATCTGTTTCCCCTCTACAAAATAGGGCTAGCCCCTTGAAGGATTTTTTTTTTTTTTTTTTTTTTTTTTTGAGACGGAGTCTTGCTCTGTCCCTCAGGCTGGAGTGCAGTGGCACAATCTCGGCTCACTGCAAGCTCCGCCTCCTGAGTTCATGCCATTATCCTGCCTCAGCCTCCCGAGTAGCTGGGACTACAGGCGCCCCCCACCACGCCCGGTTAATTTTTTGTATTTTTAGTAGAGACGGGGTTTCACCGTGTTAGCCAGGATGGTCTCGATCTCCTGACCTCGTGATCCGCCCACCTCAGCCTCCCAAAGTACTGGGATTACAGGTGTGAGCCACCGTGCCCGGCCTCCCTGGAAGGATTATTTAAGGAGGCGATTTGTTTAATCGCCTCCTTAAATAATCATTTTTAAAACTTAAAGGTCACTCTGTAAACATTAGTTCTCTCCATCTGGACCCCAGATCCCCCCTCACTGAGAGGTTTTGTTTGTTTCTTTGTTTGAGGCAGAGTTTTGCTCTTGTTGCCTAGGCTGGAATGCAATGGCACAATCTAGGCTCACTGCAACCTCCGCCTCCTGGGTTCAAGCAATTCTCCTGCCTCAGCCCCCCGAGTAGCTGGGATTACAGGCATCCACCACCACGCCCAGCTAATTCTGTATTTTTAGTAAAGACAGAGTTTCTCCAGGTTGGCCAGGCTGGTCTTGAACTCCCAACCTCAGGTGATCCACCCACCTCAGCCTCCCAAAGTGCTTGGGTTACAGGCGCGAGCCACTATGCCTGGCCCACTGAGAGTTTTAAGACAACTCCGAATTACCTGACCTGGGAAGGAGGTGGTACCCAATTGCTGCTTCTCTCCTTTTCTACCCCAATTCCTGCCCAGACCCCAACCCCAGGAAGCCTCTCCTCTGCCCCAACCAGAGCCCATGTTTGAGCCCCACAACCATGGGCCTCCCACCCTAGAGCCCTGCATGATTCAGGATATGCCTCCCTGCTCCTTCCTGCGGGTGCTGAACAGCAGAGCCGCCTCGGACTTGCCCAGTCCTCCCCATCCCACCCCCACTCCACCCCAGAGTGTCCTCCCATCCAGCCCCTGCCTCCAGCCCCAAACCTCCAGGAAGACAAATTTCCCTTCAGTTCTCCAGGGAATGGGATCTCTCTGCTTCCAGGTGCACAGTCTAACCTTGCACCTTCCACTGCCCAGGACACCAGGAGCACTCTGTGGACTCAATCCTCCCCAGGCCCAAGAGAGCTGAGGCACGTTCTTCTCTGGCCCCCCATGGCAGCTACAGCTTGAAGGGACTCAAGATAATCTGCAACCAACTTCCTCACTAGGGTAGGTACCTTGTATACAGCCTTGCTAACCAGGCTGTCCAGCCCCTGCTCATGCCTCCCCACTATGGGCAGGAAGCTCATCCCTGTCTCCCACGCAGCCCTTTCCCTAAGGGACTGCCCTGCCACCCTCACTTTGAGCCCAGATAGGCCTCCAGGACTGCCCCAAACCCCAGCACTGTCTCAGTACTAAGAGCTCAAAGAGAGATAACAGAGAAAGCCTTGAATGTTAGAACGGTGAAAACCTAAAAAACAACAACAAAAAAAAAACACGAAAAAAAAAGCAACTACTGCAAAGAAGAAATTGAGGCTTCCAGAGGAAGCCCCTCCTCTGGCCTCACTTCACCACTGGGCTCCTCTCCATCGAGTCTCCATGCTCCATGGAACAGTCGACTTCACACGTCCCCAGGAGGAATCTCACAGCATGCAGAAGCTCTGGTAAAAACTTCAAAGGCAGCCTCTGAGGCCCAGGAGGCATGGAAATAGCCAGGTGCAGGAGGTGGCTTCACACCACAGACTTGGCTCTCCTCTGAGCTCCCCACCTGCTCTAGGGGCTGGAGGGAGGGCAGCCTTCCAGGTCAGACACTCCCCTCTCTGCTGCAAGCCCTATCATCTCATCCTGGGTCCTGCTGGGTGACCTTGGGTTAATCACTGCACCTCTCTGAACTTCAGTAGTTGCATCAGTACAAGAGGACCGTGCTGGGAGTCCCTGAAACTCTTTAAGTGTGACCATTAAGAGTTCCTGGGGAGAATGGAACCTAGACACTTCCCAGCCATGTCTAGCTGCCCAATCCGATAGACTAGGACCCTGGCTGGCCCAACCTGAGACTGAACACAAAGCCTGACTCTGGCCCAGAGTCCCCTGAAGGAAGCCCAGCCCTTCAAGGGTCTCTACCTACAGGAAAGCGCGACCCAGGAGAAAAAGTATTGAATAGCCAGACATTAGGCGCGGCCTTAAAGGTTAGCACAGCAGGTGTCTGGGCCTTCACACACACATATCCCCTCATCCCTGTGCTCACATTGAGACACAGGCATCTGTATACACAGGGAACACACATACGGTTTCACTAGAACATATGTATATGGCACTCTACATACATGTACACACACACAAGCCACAGTCACATGCATATAACTGTTTACCAAAATCAGACATAAAGATGGACAGTCACAGCCGGGTGCAGTGGCTCATGCCTGTAATCCCAGTACTTTGGGAGGCCAAGGTGGGTGGATCATTTGAGGTCAGGAGTTCAAGACCAGCCTGGCCAACATGGTGAAACCCCATCTCTACTAAAAATACAAAAATTATGCAGGTGTGGTGGTGCATGCCTGTAGTCCCAGCTACTCAGGAGGCTGAGGCAGGAGAATAGCTTGAGCCTGGGATGCGGAGGTTGCGGTGAGCCGAGATCACGCCACTGCACTCCAGTCTGGGTGAGAGTGTGAGACCCTGTCTCAAAACTAAACTAAAAAAAAGGACACTCACATGCTCACACATGTGAGTATGTTCACACTTTTATACGAACACTGACCCACACATTCTCACCCTCTCAGATCAGCATACACATATGCACAACTGGAAGCTCACATTCAGGTACACATACACACACTGAGACACAAGCAATATCCCCAGCACCTCAGTATCAAGCAAGTCATGACCCAAAAGAAACCCAGACCCCAACTGCAATGTCATTCTAGATGCATTTCCAAATCTTAGCCTGTCCCAGAACCATGAGGAGAAAATTTCCTCTGGCTTAACTCAGTATGTCTGTCCCTTCTGGTTGGGGTCCAACCTCTCCTCAGCCTTCATTCCTCCCAGTGCCATTTCAGCAGGGCCCTCATGTCCTGGGCTCAATGGAGGTGGAGAACAATGGGCTATCCTTCTCTCCATCCTTCATCTCTGCCACTTGTCCAACACTTCTACTGGCCCTTCAAACACAACGAAGATTCAGGCTGGAATGGACTGTATGTGACAGCACCCCCTTCTGGAGACATGTGATATTACAGCACAGCTCTATGGTATAAAAGTCATCACTCCTCAGCCTGAGGCAGAGAGGAGTAGGAGAGAAAGAGGAAGATGAGCTGGGTGCAGTGGCTCACACCTGTAATCCCAGCACTTTGGGAGGCCCAGGCAGGAGGATAGCTTCAGCCCAGGAATTTGAGGCTGCAGTGAGCTATTATGGCACCACTGTACTCCAGCCAGCAAGACACTGT
The DNA here is from genome assembly GCF_000001405.40 of Homo sapiens. NCBI lineage: Eukaryota > Metazoa > Chordata > Mammalia > Primates > Hominidae > Homo > Homo sapiens. The sequence continues at coordinate 72,667,863 of NC_000011.10, forward strand.
CTCTATTAAAAAAAAAAAAAAAGGGTGAGGGAAGAAGATGAAGGAGAGGAGAAGGAAGAAACTGAGAAGAAGCATGGAGGAGGGACAGCAGCAAAGTGCTGGGTGCACCAAGGATGGGATTTAGAAGCCTCAGTCTGACTTTGGTTTCTCCAGTTCAATCCATTCAGCCTAAGCTGCAAGACCAATTCTCTCAAAGCTCAGCTCTAATCAGAAAACCCTTGGGTGGATCCTGGTGGGCCACAACACAAAGTCCAAACTCTCAGCCTGGAATCAGCAGCTCTCTGCTCAGCTGTTCCTCTGCCGAGATGTCTCACATCCAACTTTAGTTGTCCACATCTTGCCTGTCTGCCATCTGGAACAGTAATGTATGGAAAGAGCAGGAGCTCTGGAAGCAGACAGATTTGTGCCCCAGGTCTGGCTCCACTGGCTGAATACCTGTGGGCAAGCGATTTCCCCTCCTGGATCCTCTGTTTCTTCATCCAGAAAACAGCAGTCTCTTGGGTTTGTGGTGAGGATTAAATGAGATCACAGGTGTGGAAACAGTGCTCAGGAAGCTGTAAACTTCTGTGTGAACATGTGAGAAGTCGTAATTATGGCTTAATACTTCTATCCCTGCTCCTACCTGCACCCCCCAACACATAGCAAGCCAGGGGGTCCCTGAGGGAAGAGGTCGATGCTGCTTCACCTTTGGGCTCCACACAGCCCAGCACCCACCAGGGCCGGCCCTCGGCCAGCCTTGGCAGCAGGGTGTGGATTTGGATCAAAAGAGGCAGTACAAACTATGCTTACTGCAAATTCACAACAGACTACAGCTCCCAGAATGGCTCACAGACTGCATGGGTGTGGCCACAGACTTAACCCCTTCTTCACCAAGCCCTTTCTTCCATTGTATTATCTGGGGATTGGTCTCAGACCAGTCAGAACAACTTAATGAGGTGGCCACACTTCTCTGAGAAACCTCGGTCCCTCCCACAGAGCTTTGTGCTTCTCACCGTAGCCACAACCACAGCTCTGTTTCAGGCCTCCTGGTCCCTCCCACACGATGACAGCCCTGAGCTCCTAGCTCTGGTCTCTCCCTCTCCAGGCCCCGCTAAATCTTTCTGAAAGTGTGGCTGATCGTGGGTGGTTCATAATGACAGTAGCTAACCTTTGTGAGCACCTGCCGCATGCCAGGGGCTAAGCTCTGCACTTCCAGATTCTTCAGAATCATCCTGCCAAGAAAGGATAATTATCTCCACCCCACTATTCACACAAGGTTCAGAGAAGTTAAGTAACTTGCCCAGGACCACACAGCTACAGAGTAACAGTACATCTTTCAGTATGCTGAAATTTGAGCATAAGCCTGTCTGCCACCTTCTCTGCTCTATCTTCAAAGCCTCCTCTGCGCCCAAGGCAACCATCCAAAGAATGAAAGCCCAGAAATCCAGGGTCCACACATCTCAGCAACCACACTGTTGGGAAGTCCTCCCAGATATTTGACTCAAATCTGTTCTGCTGCACCAAGCCCCAGTTGCCTCCTGTTTTTCGGGGTGGGGGGGCAGTGAGAAGGGTGACTTCAGGGACTTCAAGAAGTGGGTCACATCACTGGGGACCTGGCCTTTCCCAGGGAGCAAGCAGCTGAACAATAGGAGATAAATGTGTGAAAACATTTCTGTTACTAAATATATCGACTTCCCAGGAGGACGAGGGTGCTGACAGGGAGCCCACGGCCACCACCCTGGAGGCCACAATCCTGTGTCTCAGAAAAGCTGGGGCGCTCCAAGGAGCAGACAAGGCTGTTCCGGCTGTCCTGGAGGCTGGGGCAGAGGGGGTAGGAGGCCGGCATAATAAGGGGTGATGGCTCATTTCTTCCAACCAAAGCTGCCAAGCCCTAGCCAGCTGATTTGCATATTGCTTTGTATTTGTTTGCACGCCACTTTCTGGAAGGGGCCCACATTCTTCAGCCACTGCTTCTCTCTCATTTCCAGGGTCTCTTTTGTTCACTGAACACCCCTTTCTCAAGCAAGGCTGGGTCCCTCAGCAAGCTCTGGTCACGAGCACCAGGAGAGACCAAGAAGTTGCAAACTTACAATAATGCCTACACATCAAGCCTGTTGGAGACACCTTCACGGAAGAAAGTGCTTCCTACAGTCTAGGCTCAATTCCCCACTCCTCTCCTGCTCCACCACGGCCCAGGGCTTCCCCCCAGCCTGGCACTTCATGCCTAGGCCACTCTGAACTCCTATAGTGCTAAGTGAACAAAATCCTGCTTGCCCTTACCTTGAGGCCTTTGCAAATGCTCTTCCATCTTCCTAGTGCTGTCCCTCAACTCAGCCTGAAGTGGCTCTTCCTTATAAGGCCAGCCCCAATGGCCCCTCCTCCTAAATACCTTCCTGCGACATTAACACAGGTAGGAAAGACTCGGAGCTTCCATCCACGTGGTCACTGGCTCTGTCCATCTGCCCCCAGGGGTGTCATGTTTGGTAGGGCCAGTGAACGGCTGCTGAATGAATGAATGATGAGTCCTGATCTCCCTCCTCTGTTCCCTCTCCCTGGATGACTTCACTCACTCACCTATGGGAGAGTCAGAGGCTGACAGTGCCTCTGCCTCCAATTCCCCCTCTTGTCCTCTGAGACCCTCCCTTTCACACGTACAGCCCACTCTCATAAAACCAAGAGACTCACAGCCCTTCTGCATTGGTAGGAAGTTCTTCCTGCTGTCTGTCCTCACTCCCTTATTTGACCATGCCTGCTTCTTTATCATTATTTTTGGAGAGGAGTCAGGGCCTGCACCCATCTCAGATTTTTGTTAATAAAGGCTGCGCATTTCTCCCACTCTCTGCCTAGATGTGTTCTTGCCACTCCTGGATCATTGTGCCCCAGCCTGGCCCTACTTCAGGGGACAGTGACACAGGACGGAGAAAGGACATAAGGCCAGGCTGGGTAGCCTGGAGTTGCTGGGCCCTGCGGAGAAGACCCAGGACAGATATAACCACCACAAGGGAAGGGCTGCCCAGGAGGGAAGAGATGAACATCCTATGTCCGGGGGTATACAAACAGCAGGCTGGATAGATCTGCAGGGCAAGTTGTAGAGAGTACTAAAACAACTGCTAGAAAATGACCCAAACGCCCTTACTGTCTTCTCCCACCCAGAGGCTGCACTGAGTCAGGTGCCTAGCCCTGTGCCTTTCCTACCCACCTTCACAAACTGTTCCCTCTGCTCTTCCCTGCCTGGGTGATTCCTACCCATCCTTCAAGGTCCGGCTCAAATGTCTCTTCCTCTGAAGCCCAGGCTTGCTGTGGGCCCCCCACCTCCTACACAGCACTGCTCACCCTGTAGGGTTGCAGCTTTCCATTTCTTTCTCCTTCATCAGACTGGGCACTCCCTGAGAACAGGGACTCAGTCAGTGTCTGCTCTGTGTCCCCGGTGACAAGCCAAGTGGGCACCAAGCAGCTACTGAGAAGTTCCTGTTGAGTGGTTGAATGAATGAATGCAGCAATGGAATCATGCTGAGTCGGGAGATTTCATAGGCCCAAGCAGCAGAAGCCCGGGGAGCGCAGGCCTGGCCTGACAGCAGCATGGCTGAGGGTGAGACTCCCAGTCCATTAAGACCAAGGGGTAAAGGACTGCTGGGAGCTCTTCCCCCCACCCCCGCCCCCACCCCCCACCATTTGGCTAGATCCCAGCCAAGCCATCAGCAGTCCCTGGGGACAGGAGGCTGGAGTGGGAAGCAGGAAGAGTGGCAGGAGCTGCTTGGTGGGCAGGGGGAATGACTGCGGGGGGTGGGGGTGCAGGGAGCATAAAGACAATTAACCCTCACTGAGCTGACCAAGCTCAGCAACCAAGAGGTTCCGGGCAGGGCCTGAAGGAGAATGATATTGAGGGTCAGGTCTGATGAAGAGGTTGAGCCCCAGCCTTGCAGCCAAAGGGTAGTGATGAAGCCATAGTCTCAGTTTCCCTGTCTGGCAAGAGATGGCTCCATGATCTCTGACCCTCTGCATCCTAGCTAGAAACACTACAAAGATCTCTCCCACTACCTCAGCCCACCCACGCCCAGCTTTCCTGAGCCTTCCATGAGCCTTTTCCCTCATGAGATCCTGACTTACTGAGATGTCTGCACTACACCCCTGACCCCAGTCCAAGCCTGAGCCACCTAGACATTCCCTTCCCTGTTCTCATCTATCCAGCCTTTCCCAAGTTCTCAAAAAGCTCCAGAACTCACTGACCCCTGTATTGGCTTGGCCTCCACTCTAGCCTCCTGGCCCCACCTCTCTCTTCCAGTTCAACCCAGACAATGCCACCGAGGCAGGTTTCTTTATTTTTCTTCTTCTTTTTTTTTTTCTTCTTTTGAGACAGAGTCTCACTTTGTCACCCCCAGGCTAAAGTGCAGTAAGGCAATCTCAGCTCACTGCAACCTCCACCTCCCAAGTTCAAGCGATTCTCATATTCTCATGCCTCAGCCTTCTAAGTAGCTGGGACTACAGGCGTGTGCCACCACACCCAGCTAATTTTATTGTATTTCTAATAGACACTGGGTTTCACCATGTTGGCCAGTCTCGTCTCAAACTCCTGGCCTCAAGTGATCCACCTGCTTCTGCCTCCCAAAGTGATGGGATTACAGGCATGAGCCACCATGCCTGGCCCAGGGCAGGTTTCTAGAACCCAAATCTGATCATGTCTCTCCCCTATATAAAACCTTTCTGGGCTCCCCAGGGCTCTCTGGATAAAGCCTAAGAGTCCTGGATCTTAAAGTTCTATTGAATGTGGGTCCTGCCTGCCCCCCACTCTATACAGTGTCTTCACTGCTCCAGGACATGCCCAGCCCAGGGCCTTTGCTTATGCAGTTCCCACCCCACCCCCACCTGTTAGCATGACGTTGATCTCTACTGCTTAATTATTCTCAAGCTATTTTATGTCTAAGAAGCTTAGGAAGCCCCAGAGGGCAGAGTCATTATTGCCTATTTCTTTTCTGCATCTTTCCCACAGGGTGTAGAATGAATTGTCCTGAGTTCAAAGAGGCGGTCATACATTCAGCCCCTCCCTGCCCTGCATCAGTGGGCCATGGTGTCCCAGCTGTATCCTCAATTGCCAGGGGAAGGAAACAGCCACCCACACACACTCAGATGAATACACACATATAGATACACACACACACCAGCCACAGAAGCACCGATATACACACTAGCACCATGATCACACACCCACACCAGAATACTTATACGCACACAGCCACATCCACCTCCACACACAGCAATGCTATTATTCACACACTAACAAATACACACACATAAATGCACATGGAACAGATAAAAAATGCACACTGATTCACTCTATTTTGCAGACACAACACACATAATATACAAACTCAACCTAATAGACACACCTACATACATATGCAGACCAACCTGCACTCACACTCAGACACATGCGAATAAACTCTCACTCACACAGGGATGATCACAAACTCTGACAGGCTGCTTTACATCCAACCACCAAGGACCCTAGAGCTCTACAGGCCCCTCTACACCCAACATGTCCCTTACATTCCACATGTATACACACACACACACACACACATACCCTGCCTACCACCTCGGCAGCCCTTAGTAGAGGGGTGTCGCCACGGCGCCCCCCACTCACTTGCACATGCACCCCCCTGCACGTGGACACACACGAGGCTGGCACCATATTCCATCTGGCTCCGTAGAACCCTATCCTGGGACAGACGCTTTGGGGTAAAGTTTCATAAAGTGGTGTCCCTGAACCCCAATTCCCAATTCCATGGAAGGTGGTTACCTCTAACCCTCTCTTGCTCCAGGGCCACTCTTATTCATATTTTCTCCATCTTTCCCCCTCCCCACCTCCTTCACACACACATAGCCTTGGTGGGCCAAGACACTCTCCCTCTCCGGGTCCTGAACCAGCCTATTGCAGCCCCGAGAGCTCCTCCCAACTACTTGGCAGACCTCCCCCTCCCCACATACACCCTCAGCCCTTGAAGAACCGGTTCAGGTTCATTATCAGCCCCTCCTCCAACCAGCAGCCCCTTCCATGGGACCCCAGCCTCATCACCTACTAGGTTGACGTTAGACACCCTCATTCTGCTCAGAGGTAACCTGCCCCCACCCCAGGCTGCAGTCTGGCAACGCGGGGAGGAGGGGTGCCCAGGAACAGGATCGATCCTTCCACGTGGCTCAGCTCCATGCCAACCCCAGCTCCTTGGAGGGACTCCCAGGACCCTGTCTGTGGCACCTCTCACAGCCGCTCACCACCCCAGCCCCTCACTATACTCACGGCTCAGCCGGTCGCGCTGCCGGGTACTGCTGGCTCCTGCAGAGGATGGAGTGGCCGCATGCCTGCCCCATCACTCCTCATCGTCCGCCTCCCCAGCCAGACTAAGGTGGCACCTCGCCCTGTCCCCGCTGCCTGGAGTTCAGGGCAGGGCACCCCCAGCAGGCACAGGGACCAAGAGCAGTGGGCTGCCCCCTACTCAGCCTGGACTCAACACCCCAATCCAGCTCTGCTGCCCCGCTGCTCCCGCCTCTCCCGCTGCCACTGCCTCTGCTGCTCGGCTGGCTCTGGGAGGAGGTTGGAGCAGGTCTGATAATGCAGAAGGGGGAGGGAGGAGGGAGGAGGAACAGAGAGAGGCCCAGACAGAGAGGGAGAGAGGGAGAGAGGGAGGGGTAGAGAGAGAGTCTGACTGGGAGAGAGGAAAAAAGACTCACAGACAGAGAGACTGAGAGATAAACAGAGACAGGAAGGGGGACAGTAACACATGAAGAGGGAGAGGAGAGAGGGATCAGAGCCTTAGCGAGATCAAGATGGAAGTACAAAGAGACCAGAGAGGCATAGAGAAACACACACACAGAGGAACAAAGGCAGAAAAGGAAAAAAAATCAGAGGCAGAAATAGAAAGAGAGTGGGGTAGGGGGAAAGGGGAGTGGCTGACAGAGGAGAGAGGGGAGAGGACGAGGGATTTACAATCCTCATGGGCTAGGATGGGGCTGGGGACTTGAGGGGCAGCAGACCCAGACCCTCTGCTGCCCCATCGCAGAAGCCTTCAGGATGAGGGGACACGCTTGTGCCCTCAAGTCTGAGAGATCAGGCCTCCATGCACAGCTAGCTGCCCTCTCCTCTGGGCTCCCTCACCCGGTGTGTATCATCTCCTAGCGTGCATCCCAGCCTGGAGCTGGGTCCACGGAAGACTTAGGGGGCTTTACTGATGGCCTTTGGACTCAGAGCCTTGTCACAGGGCCCACCTCTTGGTGGCTTGGTTTAGCTGGGACTTGGAGCTGATGCGTGAGCATGGACTTCTACCAGGATCTGTGGAGACCTAGGCCACAGCCTGCCCCACATGGCCTTCGCTGCTCACAGACTACAGGCATGGGGGAAGGCCTGTTGCACCCCCACCCTGCTTCCAAAGAGGACTCCCTAGGATAAAGCTATAACCTAGTGAAATAGAGGCATTTTAGGCCCTAGGACAGATAGAGAGTTGTCACAGCAGAGCTACTATTGTATGCAGGAGAAACAGCTCCACACCTTGAGGCAGGAAATGGGGATTTGGATCCTGGCTTCACCATTAACTTACTTATTCATTGGCCTACCAGTGGCTGAGCTCATGGCTCACACTATCCCTTGTCTCAGAGAAGCACTCGGGCTGGGGAGTGGGGAGGGGAGACTTGCAGGCTGTGACAGAAAGAAGCACAGGGTCTGTGAAGCCCAGAGGGACCCCTGACCTAGTTTGGGTGGTGGGGGGGCGGTTAGCAAGCATTTCTGGAAGAGAGGGTCCAAGCTGGGTCTTTTAAGGCAGAAGAGGGTATATTCCAGGGTAGAGGAGCTACAGCAAACCCTCCACAGCAACCCCATCTCTCTGAGCTGTGGGGAGAATACCTCCCCGCCACACAACAGGCTTCAAGCAGAGAAGTCCCTGAGGCTGAATAGAAACCTGACCCATGTTGAAGAACATGGGGGTGCACGGTGGAGGGGGCAAGGTCAGAAATGACTGAGCTTGTGTAGATGGCCTGCCCAGGCTGGGTGCTGCAGAAAGCAGTTGTCTTGTGGCCTGGGAAGTGTCAGGAAAGAAAATATGAGGAGTCTTTGCTTCCCACTGTGGCCCCAGAAGGCATCATAGAATTTTAGATCTCTGAACTCTGGGCAAACCATTTTCTCAAAGGGAACGAGGCCCAGGCTGGTTGTAAAGCAGCTGAGCCAGCCCAGAACTCATGTCTTGCTTCTCCACCTCACCTATCACTGGGGCCTCGCTGCTCCATTCCTGACAGCTAGGAAGGCATTCTCTGGGCTCAGGAAGCTGCAGCCCTGGACCATGGCGTCCTGCTCCCTCACAGCTCCCCTTCATGTCCTGGGAACCTGCTCACTGGTCGGAGGAACCTGGCAGCAAGAAGCTGAGTCAGAAGAGTTCAAAGGAGGGTTCCTCCTGGGCATGCATGGGTGCAGGTGTGACGAGGTCTCACCTGGCCCTCAGCCTCCTTTCTGCCCTCCCACTTCAGAAACAATGGTGGTGGCCTCATCTTCAGAAATCTCCTGGGAATACACTCAAGCAAGCAGGTGGAAGGGAAGGTCTCCTCCCCATCCCACTGCCACACCAGACTCCACAGCCACCCAGAAGTGGAGAGTCTGCAGGAACAAACTGCAAGATTCAGGACTCAGAAGGGCTAATGGGCACTCAGGACTTAGAGCCCGGCAGGTGGAATTCAAATCCCAGCTCTGCCAAGTGCCTAGGCAAGGTATTTCACCTTCCTGAACTTCAATTTAGTTTCCTCATCTGAAATATGGGGTCACGAATTCCAAGCTCAAAAGGTTGTGAGGTTTTGGGAATGTCTGAAAAGTTCCCAGTAAATAGTTGCCCCTCTCCTCCCATCTCATTTCCTGAAGTCGTCAGGAGAGTAATAGCCCCAAATGCTGGGATAGGGGCTCCTGTAGGCCAGTGCCGGGATGGGGGAGGTGCATAAAGGGGAGAGAGCTGGAGAAAATCCAAGATTGTTTTTCCCTCCTCCATCAATTGCCTGCCTGCAAGACCGCTCCCAGACGGAGCCAAAGGCCCGACTGCTCTGACTGCGCGCCCCTACCCCCGCCGCAGGCCCCGCCCCGGCCACAGGCCTCTCTCCAGGGTGCTGAACCCTGCGAGCCGTGTTCACAAGACCTGCCCGCCCCGCCGCCCTGCCGGGAGTCAAGAAACACCGTTTTTTGTTAGCTGGGGAACTGGAGGTGGGATGGCAGGAAGGATGCTCCTGGGAGGTAGGGTGGCTGCCCAAAGCGATGGGAAGATTCAGTTCTGGAATCCGGCCTCCGCGCTGCCCCCATAGCCTTGAGAGGACTGCAGGCTCCACAGGCTTCAGCTACCTCTTTGCCGAAGAAGGCGGCTTCTTCTCAGCGCCCGCCCCCGCCCCGTCCTGCGCGGCTGTTTCCCTCCCACCTTCCAGACGGCCCCTCCTCTGTCTCCCTCACTGGTGCACCCTATCTTCGCCCCCTCAATATGGATGCTCCTTGCAGGACGGCGGCCCTGTCTCTCCTCATTCTCCACCCTACTCCCACGGAGCATGCAGCCTTCTCCCAGCATACCAACAACTCCGGGTGTCCCCTGCTGCCCATCCCTCTCCCTGGAGCTCCAGGTGTCCAGGCTGTCTCTTGGACATCTCCTCTGGGAACAACCCGTAGGTCCCTCAAATATTGAACATCCAATACACCTTTTGTTACTATTAAAGGCATCAGCAAACTTCTTAGTTTTTTGTTTTTTGGGTTTTTGTTTTGTTTTTGAGACGGAGTCTCGCTCTGTCACCCAGGCATGGGGAAGGGGTGGAGTGGGGAGTGCAGTGGTGCGATCTGGGCTCACTGCAACCTCTGCCTCCCGGGTTCAAGCAATTCTCCTGCCTCAGCCTCCTAAGTAGCTGGGACTACAGGCACCCGCACCACGCCCGGCTAATTTTTGTATTTTTAGTAGAGACGGGGTTTCACCATATTGGCCAGGCTGGTCTTCAACTCCTGACCTCGTGATCTGCCTGCCTTGGCCTCCCAAAGGCATCAGCAAACTTCCAATCTCTGAGCTGGACACTTCAAAGTCGCCTTGCCCCATCCCTCTCCTACACTTCCTGTATCGTTTGTTCCAAAGGACAGTAGATTCTCTTAGATCCATCCACTCCCTCCATCCCCACCCCCTGCTTCCTTCCCCCTCCCCTGGTCATGCTCCAACCCTTACCCCAGGTCAACCTCTCTACTCCACCTCCTCCTTGCACCTAGAGGCGGCTTCCAAAGACATCTATCTGGTAATGGAATTCCCTCTCAAAACCTTTGCAGGGCTCCCCAGTGCCCTCAGGATAAAGGCCAAGCTCCTCAGCCTGGCATTTGAGGTCCCTTGTGATCCAGCCCTGACTGACCTCACCATCCTCTGCTCCAGGTGGGGCCAGGTCTGGTCCCTAAGCACACTCTGGTTCTCTCCTCCTCGACTTTGTACAGTGTTTCTCCTCCCAGGCCGACTTCCCCCTCCTCTTCCTTTTCTCTGCCTATCCCAAATCCTAGCCCACCATTGCTGGGCCAGTCAGCACACACCCTGCCTCCCACCCACAAGGACAGGTAGGCAGGAAGGGGCATTGGATTCTGGGCTAGAGACCCTTGGTGGCCTCTCCCTTCCCTAATGTCTCACCCCCCGACCCCCTCTCAGGCTCATCTCATTTCTTCTACAGGATCCTGTTAGCTCAAAAGACAAGCCAAAGTCCTATGTACCTCGGCCCCAGTCCACAGCCTTTGGGTAGCCCGCAACAGGCCCAAGCAGGAAATGTTGATGGAGAAAAGTCAGAAAGGAGGCCGACGGAAATCGGGTGGTGCACAACAGAGCTCAGCTCAGGGGCACACGTGTCTTGCAGACAAGATAATGCAGGTGTGTGGGGATGCAGGCAGTGACGCTTACTGCTCTGTGAGCACCCCCCCAACCCCAGGGCAGGCTGAGACTACCCAGTGTGAGACAGCCCTCAGCTCTCCGGAGAAAGGCTGGTAACTGGTGGAACATGGATTTCACAAAGGGTTGGCCTGAACACCCCTGGGTGACTCCCTCTGGCTGGGGGACAGGATAAGCCCACATCTGGGTCTTTGCAATGGGAGCCCAGGCATGGGGAAGGGGTGGAGTGGGGAGCTCAAGGAGCCATTCCACAGCTTCTCCCCACTCCTCCTCTGCCAGGAAGCTCCCCTCTGTGGCTCTGATGACAATGGCTGAAGGAGCACCATGTCCTTGGGTAGGGCCTGGCATGGGTCTCTGCATTCTCACACTAAGCATGTCCCCCACCACACAAGTGACAAAAGCTTTTGCTGATAAAGGAATGAAAGGCCACCACAGCCCCTATAGTAGTTCCAAGGTGGAGCAGCTTCTTCAACACCTCAGGAAGGTGGCTTTGGGATTCAGGATGGGGCATGAAGGATCCACTTCAGGTTCCAGGATATCTGTCAGAGCTCTCCGGGGAGGAAGGGGTGACCCCAGGTGAGGGCAGTGACCTACCCATGGCTGCTAGGCAGGGGGCTGGGGGGCTGGAACAGATGGCGAGTTCAGGGAAGGGAGAAGCCGCCCAGCCCCAGCTGAGTCCAGGGCCCTCTCCTGCCTCTTTTGTCTTGTGGGTGGGGGTGGCTGCATTGGTCTAGGAGGGATGGCAGAGAAAAGAGGGAGGGAAGTCAGCCTGGAACGCGGCTGGGCCAGACACTCGGAAGTGCCTTCAGCCTCAGGTTGAGATCATCTCCAGGGTTATAAATCAGAGAGAATGAGACGCTAGAGCCAGTTAATCTAATCCTTCACTGTGCAGATGGGAAAACTGAGGTCAGAGGGGTGCCCAGGTAACCCAGTGAGTGAAGGGCGAGGCTGAGCCTAGGACCAAAGACGGTGGCCATTGCCCCACCGGACTACTTCCCCCTCTTCATACTCTTCCACCTCTCCTTCCTCCTCCAACTGAGACAGCAGCCCACAAGAGAAGGCTGTACATATAGCTTGTGACTCTGGGGAGGGCCCCCAGGAATGTGGAATTCCAGCAGGGATGGGTCAGGGCAGAAGTGGCCCCTGTGGCTTCATATTCTGGCGAAGGCTCTGCTCTTCTTGGGGCCTCAGCACCAGCCCCCTCACCACCACCACCCTCCAATCCAGCACACTAGGGATCTTCCTTGCCAGGAGGCCCCGAACCTCCCACTCAGCCCTGAACCACCTCTTCCCCCATAACTCCCCGCACCTGAGGGGGGATGCAGGGGGTGTGACTCAGTGGGATAAAGGCAGCTGCTATATTTGAATTATTACATAAGCCAGGAGGGAGGCAGCTGCAACGTGACTCCATGAAGGTCAGGAGACAAGTTGAGGCTGGGCACAGGAGGCAGGGGTCTCCTCCCCTCTGTCCCTAGACTCCAGCTTGACCTAGGGATTGGAAGTCGGTCTGCATTGCTGCACTGCAAGAAAGGTCTTCCCTAGGTCTAACCACACTAGGAAAGCTCTATTCTCTATCTTCTTAGAAAAATATCCCCTGGTTTCTAGAAACCCTAAGGCCAGACCCAGGCTATGCCCCAGATCCTCCCCCTACACTCTTACCGGTAATAAAGATGGGATTAAAAGCTTTGCCATTCTTTTAAAAGAGCGCCTGATGGAGACAGCAATACACACGAGCCTTGACTCACCTGCCCCATCTGAGAGGGACCTGTGTTCCTGTCCCAGCTACTCCACTTACCAGTCATCTTCCTCCTGGGTCTTGGAATAAAATGGGATGACACATGCAAAGCCTTGGCACAGCAGGTGGTGGGCGCCCCATGATGGTTTCTCGGCACTATCACTTGCATCTTCACTCCCACTGCCAACTCTAAGGGCTGGCTGAAGATCGTGGTGGGAACTGAGGTTGGACTGACCCCTCTGCCCCCAGTCCCCTTTCTGGGTGGAAGGTGGGAGACCGGAGGAGAAAACAGGTCTGAGAGTCAGGAGCTTGGCCAGACTTGCTGTGTGACCCTGGGCAAGCCCCTGCCCTCTCTGGCGCCCAGCTCTGGAGCTGGTGTTTGAGAGAGGATTTCCCAAATGGGATCAGTGACTTGTGGCACTGGAAGCTGCAGTGGCAAGCAAAGTTGGCTGGGGGGATGGGGGTGGGCTGTCCTGGGAATGGTGAGCTGGAGGCAGCCATGGTGGGCACCAGCACAAGGCCCACCTCCTCGGCACCTCCTCTTATGGACCCCACACCCCAGGAGGAGGAAGCTGTGCCCACCCGAACTGTGTTGCCATGACACTGGTCTCCATGGTGCCAGGCACACAGCCCTCCCCTAACCCAATAGGAGGGACTGAAGGTGACAGGAGCTGAGGAGATTCGGGACCTGGGGTCCCTTTCACTTGTCCCTATGCCTCCATCAGCCCTATGAGGTCAGGTCCCCATCCTGAGCCTCTCAGGAGAGCTGGGAGGAGCAGTTTCCACTTCAGAGTCAAGAGTAACAAAGAGAGGCCTCAGAGTGACTTGTGTGGAGGGCAGATACACAGGAACGCAGGGAGGTGGCAGGGCGACAGGGAGGCAGAGAGAGCTGGGGAGGCAGACGGGCAGGGGGAGGAGGGCATGCTAGTCACAAAGGGAGGAGGGCGTCCCAGGCTGACAAGTGGTGAGAGGCACCGTCCAGCCCATCTCTTTGGTCTCAGCATTTGGAAGTGGGTGGTGGTGGGAGGACAGGGTGGAGGAGGAGCAGGAGGGAAGGGGAGCAATTTTCCTAGAGAGCTGTGTGTGGGTGGGTGTTCATCCACGTGCCGTGTGTGTGTGCTCATCCACGTGCCGAGTGTGTGTGTGTGCGCGCAGCATGCACTCGCAGATCTGGAGAAGCAGGCTGAGGTGTGCAGGCACGTGTGTGCAGGCCTGAGTGTGTGTGGCATGTGTGCGCCTGTGCCACTGTGTCTCCAGGGTGATAAATACAGCAGTAGGAGCTGTAACCAGGGCAGAGAAAGTATGGAAATTTCCACAGGCTGGAAGTGGTGTAGGAGAAGGGACATGCTAGGGCTGGGCCAACCCTGGCTGACCAGGGAAACTGTCCCCGACTGCTCTTCCCTAGGTGAGTCCCTGACTAGGTGTGGTGACCTGGGCACATACGCATACCCTAAGTAGGCACAGTGGGATGGGAGAGCAACCCAGAAGAGCTTCCTGAAGGAGGTGTCGTAGTGGAGGAAGGGCTGGGAGGTTCAGGCCACTGCACTTATGTGAGAGACAGTCCCCAGAGCAGGGTCAGGGTCACTTAGGTCACAGAGCTGGCTAAGAGAATAGGAACTGTTCCTTATTCTGATGGGGGATGATCCCAAGGAGCCCACTGGACTGGGATGTGGTCATATCTCAGAGGCAGGCGCAAGGGGGATAGGCCCTAGGGTGCTGTAGGGCACTGTGTCCCAGCCACAGCAGGTAGTGACCACAGCAGGGTCACATCCCCTTGTCTTGTGCTCAGACCACTTCCTCTCCTCCACCTGTGGAGAACTGCCTCTCCTTTCAGACTCACCTCCTCCAGTCTTTCCTGATAATATCCCCTACCAGGAGGTCTCTACCTTCCTCCACACCACTCACTCATCTGCTCCCCCTCAGTGTTCAGTAACGCTCTGCATACAGTTGGTGTTCAATAAGTGCTTGTTGAGTGCAAATATATTGGGACTAGAATATGCCATGATACCTTCTCAGAAACTGCAGACAGTGCAGTGGGAAGGGGATTAGCAAGGGGCAATGCTAGGCACTTCACACTTACTAGCTCATTTAATTGCCCAAACCACTAGGAGGTAGCTACTATTAATACCCGCAAAGTACAGATGACAACATTGAGGATCAGAGACCTAAGTAACTCAGGCAAAGTCACACAGCTTGTAAACAGGAGCACTGGCACCCACACGCGTGCTTTCCAAGACAGCGGGCTGTGGGCAGGTGGCTTGGAGGCCACCAGAGCATGAGGCCAGGAAAGAAGCCCCAGCTCTTGCCCTTCCCTGTCCCACTGATTTCCTTCTCCAGAAGCCCCAGGACTCCTCAGAACTCTGCAGGGTAGGAAGGTTGTGCTGGAAGGAGGCAGGAGAGAGGCAGACATCCTACCCCACCTCCCTGCCCCTCTCCCCTCTGCCCCCCAGCCTCCCCTTCACCTGCAGTGCCCTCACCATCCAGGCTCTGACGTGCCTCGGCCTTCTTTCCCAGGGCTCCCCGTATTCCCCAGGGGCTAGGCCTGGATTTGGGTTGGTCCTTGAAGCCCTGTCCTCCTCCCCCAATATTTCAGTATTTCAACCTCTACCCCAACCACACCTGGCAAGGCCTCCGGTCTTCAAAGCTGGCTCAGGAGCACTTCCTTGTCCAGGAAGCCCCTCCCTTTCCAAGAGCTGCTCCTGGCCCCTCTGCAGGTCCAGGTCTGGGGTCTTCAACTCATCCATGGCAACCCAACTTCAAATAATATGTGAATGAGCAAACCATCCAGGGTCCCAACAGGCCCCATTTTTAGGAATCCTTGCGACAAGGACCAGCAGAGCCTCCTGCCCCTAACCCATCCAACACTGTTGTCACAGGCATATTTCATTCCGGCTGAGGCCCTGAGGCTCCTGTTTGGATGTCACCCCTACCCCTTACCAGAGGGAAATCACTTTAAGCCATCACTAACTCCTGACAGTTCAGACCCCCTGCCTCAGGCCATTTCTAAGAGGAGAAAAGGGTTGGAATCAGGAGGGGAGTCAAAGAGGGAGACCCCACCAAAGTAGGGCAGGGGAAATGGACCTCAGGCCTGCTTCACGAGCATGGTGTGACCTTGGGAAAGTTGCCTCCCTTCTCTGGGCCTAGCTCCCCCTTGCCAAGAGCAGACAGTGCAGGGGGCACAGGGGCCGATTCACAGCAGGTACTTGGTAGAAGGCTGTTCCCTCCTCTTCCTGGTTCCCAGAGCCCAGGACTCCAATGCACATTCCTGTATGGTGCTGCCTTCCAGAATGTCACCAGCCTGCAGGCCAAAGGCAGAACTGGGTCCCGCTTCACACCCCAGCAGAGAAAGGTCTGGGCCAGGACCACCACTCAGGCATCCTCCAGACCCTGCTTTGATTCCAGCAATGATGAGTGGTCCATGGCTGCCGCCTTGTGGCCTAGTGCAGGACTGCAGCCAGCACGCTGAGCTGGGGCAGTGGCCTTAGCAGAGCAGGGGGCGCCTCCAGTCTCACCCACTCAGGTGGGCCTCAGGGCTGGCTGGGCAGTGCAAGGTCAGATCCAGGAGCGGATTCCAGCCCCTCAGCACTTGGATAAGGGGGTCCAACCTGTCCTGGCTGGAGGCAGAAGGGTCAGACATTCGACCTGTGGATCTGGCCAGAGCGACCCACAGGAGGTGGGAGACTCAAGGGGCTTAGCCCCAGCCTGTGAAATAGGTCAGTAGGACTCAGGGAACCGGTTCCAGTCTCCTGCCATATACCTCCCCTTCCTGAGACAGCGAGAGGGAACCTGGAGTCCAGCTCCCCAAGTCTTCCGCTGGACCCAGGCTCCCCACTGAGCTGGATGCCTGAGTCGGAGGTCACATGGCCCATCCCCACCCACTCTGCCCAGCCCCACTGGCTGAGGCTAAGGATGGAGGTCAGCCTGTCCGCCCACTGAGCCCCCGAAGAGCGGGTGGTAATGAGGCTCTAGGCAGAGGCGGGAATGTGGTGTCTGGCACCTCCCCAGGGAGTCCCAAACCCATCTCTGAGCAACTCATTATTTCCTCTGCAGGCCAGGGCCTCATCTTCTTAGTGGAGATGGCCAGGCAGTGCCCAGTGAGGGCAGCCCCCTGGTGCATGGCAGGCCCCACCTCTGGAGGGGTAGGCACTGGGGCCACAGGTGACCCAAAGGTGCTTCTTCTCAATTTCCTCAGGCTCCTGTGGCTCTGACCTTGTGTCTCCAGCAGGGGGCTGCTGCAGGGCTGCCAGGCCTGAGTCACTGACACACCACACCCAGGCCCCAGCTGGGACTCAGACTCGGACTGCAGCAGGACAGGGGCTTGTGTCCAGCCAGGGTCAGTGCTGGCCAGGAAAGGACCGGCATTCCCAGCCTGGCTGCAGGATAGTACAATGGGGAAGGCATGGAGTCAAGCCAGGGCTCTGCTTGGGGAAGGGGGTCGTCTGAATAGCTCAGGGCCTGGAGAAAGCAAGGCCTAGGTTCTCAGCTTCAGGCACTAGGCACTCACCCCTGGGCTTCCCGACCTCCTGTCCCCTCCTACCCCAGGACGCCCAATCCCCTTAGCCAATCACAGGCCTCAGCACCATAGGGTAAAATATACAGATATATTTATATTATCAAAAAGTCCCCAAATTGGGGAAGGGGCATCAGGTAGTCTGGACCCCCCACTCAGCCCAGACTGGAAGGAAGGCTGAAGTCCCCAAAGCGCAGCTCTCAGCCCTGTAGAAGCTCAGCCAAGAGCTCCCTCCCCGTGAGCTGAGTGCTCCTCTACAGCACCCGCTTTCTGCTGTTCTGGAGTTTGTTGGGAGGAGCAGGGGGCTCCCTTCCGGCAGGGCCCCAGGGCCTCACGCCTCTGAAAGGGTGGTGGTCCTCCCAAGTTCCTGACTTATGCCCATCTCTCCAGCCCCACAAGGACAGTGAACCCGGTGGGGTGAGCAGGTTGGGCCAAGAGGTCTGAACACCTGGACAGAGTTGGGAGAGGTTCCTGCCCAGGCTGACCCCTGCTGCCTCCCACCCCTGCCGGGGAACCCCATGCTGCAGTCAGGATGGAGGATGTGGGTTGTGGGGTGCAGTTTCCCATGCACCCCCCGCTGGCTCACATCAGGCCTTGGAGCATAAGGGGTGTCTGAACAGAAGGCTTCCAGCGGCGGAATCCTAGAGCCAAGGATGGGCTCCTGTGCTCAGACGTTGCGCAGAAGCTGCAGGAAGGCAAGAGACCCACAGGTATTTTGTGAAGGCCCAGAGGGGCTGGCGCCCCGCTGAAGCTGCTGCAGCTGCTGCAGCCACTCTCCACTGCCAGCCGGGGAGCACTCCAATCAGCCAGGCTCCCAGCTCCCAGGGCCAGGCAGAGGGGACTCCCAGCTTCCAGGGCCAGGCAGAAGGGGCTCCTTTGAATGGTGTGAACCAAAGAGGCCTATGAGGGCCCCCACCAAGGCTGGAGGGAGGGGGCCGGAGGGCAATCGGGGAGGGCAATCAGGGCAATCATCTACTGTGGAGTAGAAGGCAGGCACCCAGCCAGGCCCCCAGCCCCCTGCCCAAAGGCATGGAGAGCCACTCACAGACAGAGGGTCCGCGGTGAAGGCAGCCACACTCCGGCGCATTTCATTTTCACTACCTCGAAGGGGGATCAGTGACACACTACCCAGCCGGACCTCAGGCACTGCCCGGGACACGCGTGAGGGCTCTGAGGGCCACACCAGGCCGTCATGCTGGGGAGCAGAGAGGAAGGGGCTGGGCTCAGCTTCAGTTCACCCAGACACTCAGCCTCAGATCTGCCCACCCTTCCCAGAAATGCCTCCAGCTGTGGTCTGAGATGACACCCTCAGCTTTGATCCCCGCCGATATGAGAAGCAGCTGTGGGGAGAACATGACTGCATCTCTGGCAAAACACGGCCAGTTCTGTTACTCAACAACTCCAATCTCCAGATCCACAAACCCCTCCAAGAACCAAGAAAACATTTCTCTTAGAGGAACACGTCTGCACCCCATCTTAGGAATCGGGAACTACAAAATCCACCGTTTCCCTTTAGGCTTTGCTTACCAGGAAGCTCAGGGCTAAAAGAACACAGCTCCAAGAAAGAACTCAGCCTAGCACCCTGGTTGTTTTGTCTCCCTTTCCCTAAACACATATGAGCTCTCACTTTAAAAACTCTGTGTCTTAATTCATCTGTTTTAAGTCTAACCCAGCCTCTGGCCCTGCTCTGGCTCAGGAGTCATCCCCACCATGTCCCTGCCTGGGCTACCACAGCCACTGCCTCACTGGCCTGCTCACCTCTGGGTTCTACCCTCGGTCCCACTGCCCGACGCTGCACCCAGAGTGAGCCCTCGAAGACTCAAGCCTGCACCACACTCTGCCTAAATGCCACCCCCACCCCCGCCAGTGGTTCCCCACTGACCTCTGTGTCGAGGTCAGTTTCCCTGGCGTGACCTACAAGCCTCTTCTGAGATTCTGCTTCTCACTCCCTTTCCTGTGCTGACTTCCAGCACTCCTGGCTTCTCCCCTCACATTCCACTGTAACAATCTGTGCTTCTCTTGCATATCTCTGGACCTTTGCCTAAACCGTTCCCTCTGCCTAGAAGTCATCCCCCTCCTCTATGCTTGGTGAATTCTCCCACATTTCCTAAGACTCAGATCCCCTGGGCTCTTCACTGCCACCACAGCACTGATCACACTGGGCTATAACTGGCCACTTCTGAGTCTGTTTTCCTGTCCACATGAGGGGTGCCCCAAGGGCAGGGTCTGTGTCCTGTCTGTCCCTAGCATCCCTGGCTTGGGGCTGGACTAACAGTAGGTGCTAGGAAGGGTTTATTGAATAAACTAGCAAATGAATTAAAAGCAACTCAAAATCTCCTTGAAGCAAGGGGTGGGTTGAATAGCACAGAAGCCAATGTCCCCATTCTCCATAATGGAAGCCTCCAGGGACCCACCCCACACCCCACACTCTGCACCTGGTACCTGCACAAACAGAAAGGTAGCGAACCACTCCCGGAGCTCCATCTGTGTGTCACAGCAGAGGTACCTGCAGGGTTGGACGCGGACCCACATGATGCCAAAGGCCTGACTGAGCAGGGAACACCGTGTCTGCCTTCCCAGCCCAGGGTCTGCTAGTGGTCACAGATCTGGGCAGTGATGAGGGACACAATGAAGGGGGACGTGCCACCATCTTTCCTCAGCCTGGGATCTCAGGATGAGGCGCTCACTCACCACTGCTGCTTCTCATGTTTCTCTGTCTCATGCACCACTGTGAAGCCCCAGCTACAGAGGAAGAAGGGAGAGAGTTGGGTGTTTGACAGGCCATAGAGGCTCAACACCCCAGTTCCCAGGACAGAGCCCAGAAGCCACAGCCAGAGCCAGAGCCAGAGTTCAGAGCCTTCTCACAAGAGTGGCACATCCTGGCCTCTTCCTGTCTCAGCCCCAACCAGCCTCCCAGGCCCTTGACACCCCTAAGCCCCAGCCCTACCCTCAGAATCTGTGATTCAGTAGGAATGGGGTGACACCTGAGAATTTGTGTTTTTTTGTTGTTGTTTTTTTTTTGAGATAGGCTCTCACTCTGTCGCCCAGGCTGGAATGCAGTGTCGTGACTACGGATCACTGCAGCCCAAACTTCGGGACTCAAGCGATCCTCCCGCCTCAGCCTCCTGAGTAGCGCGCCACCAAACCCAGTTAATTTTTGTATTTTTTTGTAGAGACAAGGTCTCGCCATGTTGCCCAGGCTGGTTTCGAACTCCTGGGCTCAAGCAATCCACCTGACTTGGCTTCCCCAAGTACTGAGATTACAGATATGAGCCACTGCACTTGGCAGAGAATTTGTGTTGAAGGTGTGTCCAGGTGATGCTGCTGGTCTGGAGACCACACCATCAGAGCCCCTGCACCTATCTCTGTCAAATTAAAAACCCCAGCTGTGCCTCCCCCATCAGTTCTGAGCCCCCATAAGCCCCAGTAGCAGGCCTATCTGCCCAGTCCCAGCTTACCAGGTGGGTGGCCTG
The DNA here is from genome assembly GCF_000001405.40 of Homo sapiens. NCBI lineage: Eukaryota > Metazoa > Chordata > Mammalia > Primates > Hominidae > Homo > Homo sapiens. The sequence goes on from NC_000011.10 coordinate 72,688,470, forward strand.
AGTTTCTTCTTCACTCCCAGGTAGACTTTGAGACTCTTAATAGGCCACTCCTTCTCAGGCCGGTGACTCTGAGGTAGGGCAAGGAGAAGAGGGCACTTTAGTCTGCAGAAAGGGCACTGGGGCCGCTCTCCCGACTGGGCAGCTCCCTCTTCCAACTCCCCAGCCCTCTTTGCATCCCAGCACAGGGCGCCTCCTCCAAGAAGCCTTCCTGATAAAGCCCTCCCTGTTCACAATCTAGCCCAACCAACCTCCCAGCCCTAGGCCCCCAAGGCCTGTCTCCCTGCAGCAGTATCAGACAGTCAACCCTCAGTCTCCGAGGCAGCCGTCCCAACTGGGACATCTGTAACAGCGAATCCCAGCACCACCCTGATGCCCTGCAAACTGGAGGACTTGAAGTATCACCCTGAATCAGATTGTATGTGGAGGGAGAACTGTACATCCTCCCCCAGCACCAAACTGGAACGAGCGGGTGTGATCAGAGAGCCTCGGTTGGCTGCCTGTGTCTATGTTCATCTCAGATTATTCATTTCTCAGCCCTCTCTGCCCCATGGAGGCTCCAGGGTTGACCGTGTGAACAGAAGGCTTGAGGGACCAGCAGTTACTAGCTCTTTGGTTCCACAAGGAGGCTAATGACTCAAGCTGAAGCAGAACAGCTGTTCAACAGACCACAGGAAGAACTTCCCAATGGTCTAGGTCAGGAAGCGAGAGACCAATGTACTGGGGAGGGACACCAGATTGCCAAAATGTTCACCTCTGGCCCCCGCCTCTGCATATGGGTCTGGGCTTGGAAGGAGCAGGCTGGCTCGGAGGCAGAGGGATGGGGGCAATGACCCCCAAGGAAGAGGCTGGTTGGAGGTCAAGCTAATGAGGCTTCCTCCTGCTCTAGGAGCCACTTGCTTGAAGCCCTACCCCTACCAGGCACCCCTGGAGTCCACAGGGGCACCAGAGTGAATGGCAGGGGAGGGGGATTCACTTACAACCGAAACTGGGGGTCAAAGACTGAGCCACCTCCCCCCTGTTCCCCACCATTGCTCCCAGCCACCACCAGGCATGGCTCCTCAGCAGGGGCCAGAGAAAGGACAGCCAGGGGAAGGGGAAGTTTTGGGAACTGGTGGACTTCCTGTGATATCACAAAAGGATGGGCTGCTTAGGGACTGGAGAAGACCTCTGTGCTCTCACAGGGGGTGTGGCTTAGGAGGGCCTTAGTAAGGACTTTTCACTCTGCTTTTACCCCGATACCTGCTGATTGGAAAGCCTCATGTCTTCTACAGACAGCACCTAACCTGATGATGGCCATGTGCCCAGGAGGGCCTGGAACCAACTGGGCTGCAGGCATGGAACAATCAGGGCTGCAGACAGGGAGGAAATTAGGCAGGCGGGAGGAAATCAGGCTTCGGACATGGAAGAAACAAGATGTGGGGGAATATAAGGAAGAAACCTGTAGGCACACACAGAAGAAGCAAGGCTGGGAGCACTAGAGCAATCGGCCTGCAAACTGGAAGACAGCTGATGGCAGAAATGGAAAGACTGAGACAGAGGCTATAAAAGAGATTCGGCTGCAGGCATGGAAAACACAAGGTTCTGGGTATGAGGAAGGATGTGGGGGAAACTGGACTCCAGGTACAGGAGGAATCGGCTGAGGGGATGGAAAACAGGCTGTGGGTTTGGAAGAAGTCAGGCTGTGGGTGGGAGGGGAACAGAACTAGAAGCAAGCAGTCAAGTGAGTTGAGGGTGGACGGGACAGGCCCAGTCAGGCGCAGAGGCAACTGCAGGAATCAAGACATTCAAACCAGGCTGTGGCTCCAAGAATGAAAACACAACCCTCAGGCCTCCGATTCCTTGGGGTCTGATGTGCATGACATGTGTGTGATGTAAGGGTGGCTGAGTCAGAAAGTCTGCAGAAGTGGGTCTTGGGAGGGAAGGATGTCAGTCAATGCAATCTCCTTTTGAGAATGAATCCCCCAAGCTGGAGTGTAGTGGTGCAATCTCAGCTCACTGCAACCCCAACTCATGGGATCAAGCCATCCTCCCACTTCAGCCTCCTGAGTAGCTGGGACTACAAGCATGCACCATCACATCCGGCTAATTTTTATAGAGACAGGGTTTCACCATGTTGCCCAGGCTGGTCTCAAACTCCTGGACTCAAGCCATCCTCCCACCTTGACCTCTCAAAGTGCTGGGATTACAGGCATGAGCCACTGCACCTGGCCCAAGGACATTTCTAATCAGACGGCTCATGTTTCCAGCATCTCCAAGGCATGGGGCCATGGGCAGACAATGACGTTTACTCTTGATGCTTAAGGATCTCTGCTGGAACCAAGATCTTTCTAGCATGTGCCTTTTCCAGGTGCCTCAGGGTCTTTAACAAGAGGAGACCCCCAGGATAAGGCACAAGTGGACATATATCCTACTGAATCACCTGAGATTGTCCCAATTTCAAATATTCTGTCCTACTGCCGCATAAACCAACAAATGCCAGAGTTGATAACCCCGTGGTAACCAGCTCACATCTGCTCAGGGCCTCTGCCAGGCCAGAGGTGTTGGCTGTCTCTGGGGTGTGAAGAGCACCACCTACCCTGTGCTGAGCACCCCTCCCTGCTGAGTCCTCAAGTCTGAGACTTCCAGGAATACAAGCTTGCGTTTCCACACTAAGAAACCTGGGTGCAAGTCCCAGTCTACACTTATAGATGGCCTTGGGCAAGTCACACAAAGCCTGTTTTCTCACCTGGAAGTGGGGACAGCCCTCTTCCTCAGAGAACAGTAGTAAGGATTCCATGTCTCAGTATGTGAAGGGCCAGCACTAAGCCAGGTTCCTTAGGGAACATTAGATCTCATCCCTTTTTCTAGCTCTCCTGCCTCCTTCCTTCCATGCCCAGGGATCCACACGTCCCTTTCCAGGTACCTCAGCCATCTTCCCTCCCTTCTGCCCACAGTGAGGGTTCTAAACACTCCTAGAGGGAGGCGGCCAGGGAAATAGCATCCCAGAACCAAGGGGGATTGACTGGATGGGCAGATAGGCTCAGAAGTGAGGATGTGATCACAGAAGAGGGCAAAGGAGAGAAGAGACGGTGTTTCCCACAGGGTTAGCAGGAGCCCAGGATGCATTAGAGGAGGCACAAAATGCAAAGAGAAGGAGATGAGGTCCTGCTCTATCTGCTCTGCTCCTGCCATGGCAGCCAAGCCTGTTCAGATGACCTCAGGAAATGCAAGGGGCAGGAAGAGGCTGAAGACACTGGGGATGGGGTGGTGGGTAGCTGTGGGAGCTCAGGCTAGACCACCAGGCTTGGAACCATGTCTCTGTTGCCCATCCTGCAGGGCAGCAGTCCCCAGTCTTTTTGGTACCAGGGACCAGTTCTGTGGACAACAATTTTTCCATGGGTGGGGGGATGGTTTCGGGATAAAACTGTAAAACCTCAGATGTTCAGACATCAGATTCTCATAAGAAGCGCACAACCTAGATCCCTCGCTTGCACAGTTCACAGTAGGGTTCGCACTCTTACGAGAATCTAACGCCGCTGCTGACCTAACAGGAGGCAGAGCTCAGGCAGTAATGCTCACTCGCCCGATGTTCACCTCCTGTTGCACGGCCCTGTTCCCAACAGTTGGGGACCCCTGCTGCAGGGCATCTATGCTCTGTAGCCCCCAAGGCATAGCTGGGACCCATGGGGGCATCATGAGATGCAGATTCTCAGCAGAACCTGAGCAAGGACCTTTTCCAGACAGAAGTATCCCCCTAGGAACAGGGCAGCCCCAAGGGCGGAGGGATGAGCTCTCTCTCCTAGGAGTGTGCAGAGTGGAAATAGCCAGCCAGGAAGCCTCAGAGAGACTGCTACCCCAGGTGGGGGTATCCCACAAGCCTCTCTCGTCCCACCCCGGCATGTTAGGATCAGGGCAGTAGCAAGAACATTCTGACAGTCCTGGAACACTGTCCAGGGTTGGAAATAAGGTGGCTCCAGGGATGACAGGAGATGAAGATCAGGGCTCTAATTCAAACCTAGGTGCCATCATTACTGGCTCTTTAACTTCTACACTAAGTCCTTTGGAAAATTCTAGAGCATTGCACTGATAAGGAACCCTATATTGGGGAAAGGACCCTGGGACAGGATTAGGGATAAAGGGGAGGAGCTTAGGCCCCAGGATAGGGGCCAGTGCCAACGGGCAAGGGGGCAGGGATCCATGCCTGGAGATGGCCAGGAGCCCTGGCTGTCTCCCCATGCTCCCACCCAGCTCATTTGGCCCCCAGGTGGTGTAAGGCAGCTGGCAGTCAGCCCACAGCTACTCACGGTCTCAGGGGCCCCGCTCCACGGCCTCTGGCTCTGTTTGATAGAGGATCAGGGTTATGGAAGAAGTCCCAGGTCTAGAGCCAGGACAGCATGTGCAGTGATGTGTGGGGTTGGGGTGTGTGTATGGCATGTATGTGCAGAAGGTGGAGGGTGTCAAATGGAGTCTGGGTTGGGAGAACACCTGCATGTGGACAGAATGAGGGAGAAGGGTGGCCCGGGAGGCATATGACATACGATATGACAAGGCATGCATGCACAACTTGGGGCTGTCATCAAGTAACAGGTTCCTGTGGATGCAGTGATAAGGCACAGGCACAGTGAGACAGAGCATGGGCATGGAGTGGTGTGATGGCATCCGGGTGCCAGGGCTTAGTGGGGCTACAGGGCACACTAGAGTGGCCGTCCAGGGCCACAGCAGGAGGGGTCTTGAGAGTCTACAGTTCTCCCCCACTGCTGTGCCATCCTGAGAGCCTGTAACGGGAATATTTCCACTTGCAGACCAAGGGGAATCTCTGAGCACATTCAGGTGTACAGGTGCCCACCCTGGGGCAGAACCCAGCGGGGCCACTTACCCGGACCTCCTTGTAGAGCCGCAAGCAGCTGCTGTTGAGGATGAAGTAGCGATCGTGGAAGCCACCTGAGGGCAGGCCCAGGCCCAGGAGGCTGCGGTCCTCACGGAACTTCATCATGCCATGCTTGGTGTCACCGACACGGCTGGCTGGGGGGTGGGACTGGAGTGGGCACAGGCTGCACCAACCCCTACCCGGGGCTGGGTCCCAGGATGAAGGAAGCTGCCCCATCCTGCCCCAGCCTCTCCATAGAGGCCCACCCACTTGGCGCCCTCTGTCTGAGCTGTTCCTACCTGGCACCACCAGGTCCCACCCTGGCTCTGGAAGAGAGGACCACCCGGAGCCTGGCCACCCTGCAGGCACCACCTACCCAGGTACAGCAGCATGGCCTCCATGGCCTGGTGCTTCTTCACCACCAGGTGGCTGTCCGTGCCCAGCCCGTGCAGGATGGGCAGCACCTTCTCCGCAAAGTGCAGGGGGCGCTCTGGGGAGAGGTCACACCTACCGTCACTGGGACCACATGGCCCGATACCACCAAAGGCTGGCAGATGGGCACATATCACCTACACATCCCCTGTCCACTCCAACCATATGCAAGTGCCACGACACAAAACACCACCATCATGACCACCCTTCCCATGACCAAGCTTCAGGCTTGACACACCTGGCTGTGACCAAAGCTGCTCAAATTCAACATGTGCAAAACCATGCCCATGATCTCCACCCCCTGCCTCCCATCCCACCCTCCCTGTGGCCCCCATCAGGGAAACACCACCACCACCCGCCAGGCTGCTCAACTCAGAAACAAACCCCTCCTCCCTCTCCCAATCCACACGTCGAATCTCTCTGCTCTGTCTATCTCCACTGCTGCCACCCCAGCCCACATTACCGCCTTCTCCTTGGACGAAACCATGGCCTTCAAAGTGTGCTCTAATTTCCCTCTCCCCACCCATCAGCGAGTAGCAATCTTCTTAAACTGCCATTCACTAGCCCTCCGATGGTCTTGCATTGCTGCTAGGCCCTGCATGGCTGCCTCTGCCTCGATCTCCAGCCCCACCCATGTCACCACCCCCTCACTGCCCTCGTCTCCTTGAAAGGGCTGTGCCTCTGCCCACCACAGGGCTTTTGCCTTCTTCACCAAGTAACCCCTACTCTTCCTTCCCATCCTGGCTCAGGGAAGACCTGGCAATGCCAAGGGTCTTTCCTCCACAGCAGTTAATGCATCTGTAGTTGAACATTTATTGGTATGATCATTAGACTAATGCCTCCGTCCCACACCAGACTAACCCCCACGAGGATAGGGACTGTGTGTGTGGCTCCCTAGCCCAGTGCCTGGCACTCAACAAATATAGTAAAACAAATGAACAGATACAGCCTCATCCTCCACTGCCATCAAGACCACCTTTACCATAAAATACATTTCTCACCTCAACCATCACCACTGTCACTGACATCTTCTATCAGCCACATGACAGCCATAACCTCAATCCCTGCCAGCACCCTATCACCACCATCACAGAGATCAGTGTGACAGCAACATGTCATCAAAGCCCTTTTCACCACCCATCCTCATGTGCAGGGTAGGGGAGGACAGACTGGGGCTACAGCTGAGACAAGACAAGCCATACCACACCCTGCACAAGCCCAGCGTCACCCACCTGCCTCCTCCCTCTCGTTGACCTCAAAGCAGGTCCAATAGTCCTTCTCCCTGATGCCCACGTTCCGGCGATCCAGGATCTCCAGGGTGAGCTCCTCAGCAGTCATGGATGCTGGGACCTGCAAGGACCAAGGAGGAGATTAGCCTGCCTGTGCCTAGCCCCTGCTCTGCCACAACCTTGCTATGTGACTCAGAGCCTGAGCCCATCCTTCTCAGGCCCTTCTGGAGTCCTGGGATAGAGAGGGGTATTTCTGAGTGGTCCTTAGGAGCAGACCCCAGCACCAGCCAGATACAGGTCCCAAACTGGTCCTCTCCTCGGGGTAGAAGCACTGCTCCCCTGGCCATCTGAGCCTGTACCTGGCCCAGCCTGATTCTCTAGCCCCTTGGCTTCTAGGTCCCAGCACCTACCTTGATATGCTGCTCAGTCTCTGCCTTCTTCTCTTCCAGATACACTGTGCAGATGAAGTCACCGGCATGCTGCAGGGAGACAGGGCTCAGCTGGGGGCCTAGGAAATGGGTGCAGGTGGCAGGTCCAAGCCCCCCACCCAGGCTCCAGCCTTCACCTGGGTCCCACTGGCAGTGCCAGCCACGCGCATCTTCACAATGGCAGTGATCTCCTCCCGCTGCTTCCTGAGCTCTTCCTCATCCACCTGGGAAGGGGCGAGAGGCAGGGACAGGTGGTCACCGTCATCTGCAAGGATCACCCCTGCCCTCCACTGCCCACTGGCCAGGGACGCACACTAAACACCACCACATAGTGGTTAATGAGGTCTTCCACCACACGGCCAGCCTTGTAGTCCTGCCCATCTGTCTGGAAGAGCGTGGGCCCAAACACAATTGCCAGGTTGTGCACGTTCATCTGGTTCGTGTCTGAGAAGCACTGAACACTGGAGAGGGGAGGAGGAGGGCTTTGAGTGAGGAGTCAGGCCAGAGCTTCCCATCTCACCCTATTAATTTCTGACAGGTCCAAGACTGGTCTGGTCAGAGGGGACCACTGTTTAACAGGGTAGGAACAGTTTTTCTGGCCATATCTTGGGTCCTGGTAGGAGCAGGACTGGGAAGCTGGGAGATCCAGACAAGGTACCCTGGCCCCAGTTGGAAAAATCCTCTACAACAGTGGTCCCCAACAGTTCTGGCAGAAGGGATTGGTTTCATGGAAGACAATTTTTCCAAGGACAGGGTCGGGGGGCAGGGGATGGTTTCAGAGGCATTAGATTCTCATAAGGAGCGCGCCACCTCCCATGCACGGTTCACAATAGAGTTCCGATCCTTTGAGAATCTAATGCCGCGGCTGATCTGACAGGAGGCAGAGCTCAGGCAGTAACACTTGTTCACCCACCACTCACCTCCTGCTGTGCAGCCTGGTTCCTAACAGGCCACGAACCTGTACTGGTCTGTGGCCTGGGGACTGGGGAACCCTGCTCTACAAATATCCAATGTTAGGGCAGATCACAGTCAGCACTTGGTGCAAAAGCCCAGCTGGCTCCCAGAGGAGGGTAGTCAGCCAGGGTGGGGGTAGAAGAACCTTCATCCCATCCCCCCAGAATCTCACAATGGTATCGTCCCTCACCAGTACAGGTGGCTGATAAGGGCCTTCACTGTGGCCCGGTTGACAGGGGGCAGCCGCACCAGCAGCTCTCGGTACCTGGAGACCTTCTCCTCCTCGTCCTCAATCTCTGGGTGGGAAAGATAAATCAAGTCAGAAACCCCCTGTAACTATCTTCCCCCCACCCCGCCTGGGCTGCTGTGCCTCTCATGGTGGGTGACAGCAGTCCCTGTGCCCTCCAAGTCAATGCAGGCCAGGCATTCAACCAGGGTAAGGAACTCTCGGTCTTCCAGGGCCCCTGGCTCTGTATGGAGCGGCGATGGGAATGAGAAGCAGAGGCAGGCAACTGGAGCCTGTGGGTTAGGGTAAGCCTAGTGCAAGTGCCACAAGGGAAGGGCGCAGGAGTCCGGAGGGATGGGTGGAGGAGGAGGAGGCTGGGCACGGGCTGCAGGGCCCACCTGAGGCCTCCAGCCAGGTTAGGCGCTGGGCGCGAGTGAAGAGCCCATCAGGCAGGTCGCGCAGGAAGCGCTTGAGCGCCGAGGAAACATCATCCACGTGCTGCTCGCCCTCCTTGAGGTGCACAGAGCGCGCATCCTGCCGCAGGCTCTCCAGCAGCCGCTGTGTCTTCGATGTCTGCCCACACTTGCGGTAGATGCCCTCGGAGGTCAGGCCTAGGGAGGGGCGGGGCCAAGCGTTCGGGGCCTGAGGCATAGAGTCATGGGGCGGGGCCGCGCAGCTCTGGGGCGGGAGGCGGCTCTCCGGGAGGGGCGGGGCTGGCACCCTAGGGGCAGGGCTCACCGCACTGCGTGATGTAGTCCACACAGCGGTACACGATCACCGGGATATCCGAGTCCCCAAGCTGCTGCTCCGACAGCGTGTCCCCCATGCTGGCGGCTGCTTTCTGGATGGCCCCCAGCCAACCCATGAAGTCCAGCCGCCGCTCGCCCTGTATGTACAGTGTCCTGGGCCAGGGACAGTCAGTCACTGAGGGGCCTACACCTATCCCACCCTGTCCCCAGGCCCATCAGACTGCTCCAGCCTTCTCAGAGCCCCTCAGGGAGGCCGTGGCTCACCTCCTTCGCTCCACCAGCACCAGCACCTGGTTCTCACTGTCCCCCTGGATGGCTGTGGAGGGGTTAGTCAAGGTGAGGCCCAGGTCTTGCTCCTGATCCCCAACCTGCTCCCTCCCTCTGTGAGCACACACACACCCTTGAGACCCGCCCACCAATGTATGGGGTGGCTGAGATGCACCCCAAGGACATGAGAGGGCAGGATGGCGGCTCTGGCCAGGCCAGGCAGAGTTCAGATTTCCAGGCAAGGGCTGGGGGCCTGGGAGCCCAGGATAGGGTGCCCTGGAGGCTGGGGGCCCAGGTCTGGTCCACGCACAAAGCTCCTGCAGTTTCCGTAGTTGCAGCGGCTCTTCGCAGGGCCCCTCCGGGAAGACAGCACGGAGCTCCGAGCCACTGAGAGAGAACCAGCCCTCCTGGGCCCGCTGTAGGCTCAGGCCAGCTTTGTAGGGTAGGCGTCCCAGCCGCTCAAAATCCCGGGCCAGCAGATCCTCGGCTAGGGGAGGCACGAATGCCTGGCAGAGAGGCGCCGGGGGAGACAGCATCAGCCAACGGCACTGCCTGCCCCAATGCCCCAGCTCCTTGGCTTACAGGCACATGCCCTCTTCCCACCCAGCTGCCTTCTCTTCTCTTCCCCAAGGCAGAACCAAGCCCAGTGATGGAACTTGGGTACCATGCCCCACTTCATACCCACTCAGATGTGCCCGCCTCTGGAAAGCCTTCCCAGACACCTTCTGGAGGGCCCTTCTCTGGGCCCCCACAGCACCAAAGCATTCTTGCCCTCTGTTGTGGCACTGGTTACACTGCTGCTGCCGCCTGAACTACACCCGCAGGGGAGCTGTCTCCCCCACCCACATGGGTGCTACTGAAGAGCTAGGACTAAGCCTGGTTCATCTGGGTCCCAGGTCTCCGAGGGCTGACTCTCAGGAGGCGCACAAGACAACTGATCAACGGAGAAGTGAATGATAAAAAGTCACAGGCTCTCACAGCACAGGGGACCCCACAGGCACCTGGCTCTAGTCCCCGAGGCAGAGCTCTCCCGGTGGCCTCCCTGCCTCTTCCCTCCAGCCTCTGCTTGCTCGCCTCCAGGAACGAGGAGCACACCCCCTCTGGAGGCCGCACTGTCCATCCTAAGATGGCTCTGACTGTCATTCACTGTTAAACACTTATTGAGCACCTATGGAGTGCAAGGCCCACAGCCCTTCTTCTGCAGAGCTAGGATAGGTCTGACCAACTCCGCAGAGGGCTGCAGATTACAGTAGGCTCTTGGTGGGACAGGCCCGCTCCATGTCTGCTGCCCTGCATCTAGCTTCTGCTCTCTAGACGGGGGAGCTGGGATACATGGGATTGGCCAGGAGGCCCCACCTTCCCCAGTCAGACACCCTTACACCCACCCTGCTACCCCAGGCTCACCTTAGCAATACACTTGACCCACTCATGAGCCTGCTCCGCACTCTCCAGCCCAAACAGGTACAGCCGTTCTCCCTCCGTGTACACCTCAAAGGTGTGCTCAAAGCTGCAAATACACAGGCCAGGACTCAGGCCCACCTCATCCAGCACGGGCCCACCCCCAACCCGCACCATCAACCGCCATCCTCTGCCCCCTCCGCACTGCCTTGGCGCTTGTCCTTATTCTGGTCCCCTAAGAGGTGGTGGAAAAGTCTTGGGCTGGGGCCTCAAGAGACTGGAGTCGGCCCTTGTGCAGCCTCCGTTTGCTGTGTGACTCTGCGGAGGTCCTCCCCTTCTCTGGGTCTATTTCCCTGTCTCCCCAGTGGGGGATTGTACCTTATAGCAACCACAGTCTGATTTGCCCAGGAGTACTCACCCATGGGTGTCAGGAGGGGGCACTGCCAGGCACACAATCTCGCTGGCCCGAATCTCTCCATTGGGGGTCACTGCCCGCTCATTCTCAAAGTAGCTCAGGACCCCGTCACCAAGGACACACCAGCGCCGGCTGAACTCTGGGGAGAATTTGGGCAGGGGAGCCATCAGGGAGCCCCCCACCACCTGAAAACCACCTCTGCATCCTCCCGGGGCTCCTGCTCCCATCTGACCCATGAGCTCTTCATTCTCTCAAGTTTTCCCTAAATCCATCCACCTCTCTGCATCCCCACCACGCTAGCCAGCCCACAAGTCATCCGCTCCCCCAGGCCTCTGCAGCAGCCCCTTCCAAAATCCCAGAGTGATCTAGCTAAAATCAGACCCCATCCTTCCTCTAACCAAAACCATTCCATGGTCCTCAGGACAGACTCTGTGCCCCTCAGCCTGCCATTCAAGGCCCTGCCAGGTCTACCCCTGCCCGTCTCTCCAGCTGCCTCTCTGTCACTCCTGGACACACACATCCCTACCCAGCACTCCCAGCTTTTGCAAACCTTGTCCCCTCTACCCACCACCTGAATGTCACAGGAAGCCTTCTATGCCCCAACCTCCTTTTCCAGAAGCATCTATCACTCTGTACTCTGCCTCCTGCTACAATGGCTCTGAAGGACTGGCAAGGTCCCATAAAAGAAACAGAAATGGGAATCTGGACCAGGAAAGGTAATGGAAAGGATAGGCTGTCATGGCCATGCAGGCTTGTACCGTTCACAGCACTGAGCTTTACAGTGGCTCAGAGCTTCCTGGCATCCAGGGCAAAAAGGATGACTCAGGCAGTTGTTACATAAATGACATTGTCAGGCAGAGGGAGGCAGACCTGGGGCAATGAGGTTGTGAACAGCATGGAGTTCCAAAGAAATCTCTTTGGGAGTTGGAGGGCTTTGTCCCCGTAGGAAAGCATGCAGGAGGTGCTGAGGGATGTTGTCAGCAATGACCTCACAATGTTCCCACAGCAGACTCTGTCTCTCATCCTGTCTGTGAGGGCCTGACATGTGCTCTTTGAGAGCAATGTGTCCTCAGGCCTGTCCCCGCAGGTGGGCTCCCTCCAGGAGCACCAGCTCTGCCTGAGTCATCCTTCATTCTGCAGGTATTTGCCAAGTGCCCACTGTGTGCTAGCCACTGTTCTAGGATCTGGGGGCTACAGGCAGTGGTGGCCAAAAGGAGTTTATGTCCCAGTGGGGTACAGAGAATCTATAGATAAGTACATTAATGGACAAATGAGTACCAGGTAAGTGGTGTGAAGAAAATGCAGGGTAGCCAGGCGTGGTGACTCACGCCTGTAATCCCAGTACTTTGGGAGGCCAAGGCGGGCAGATCACCTGAGGTCGGGAGTTTGAGACCAACCTGACCAACATGGTGAAACCCCATCTCTACTAACTAAATTAGCCAGGCATGATGGCGCATGCCTGTAATCCCAGCTACTCGGGAGGCTGAGGCAGGAGAATTGCTTGAACCCGGGAGGCAGAGGTTGCGGTGAGCCAAGATCGCGCCATTGCACTCCAGCCTGGGCAACAAGAGCGAAACTCCATCTCAAAAGGGTAAAGGGAGAGATGGGGGGTGCTATTTTGCATAAGGTAGTCAGAGATGACATCTCTGCAGGAGTGATACTGAAACAGAGACCTGACGGAAGTGAGGGACTGGCCATGCAGATACCTGGGGGAATGCATTTCAGGCAGAGGGAACAGCACAGGCAAAGATCCTGGTAGGTGACGACGTGTCTGAGAAACAGTGAGGAGACCGGCAGAGTGATTAGGGGGGTGGTTCAGAGAGGTAATGGGGGTGGTGGCCAACTGTGCGGGCTCTTGTGGATTTTCTTCTGAGTTGGGGAGTGAATGGAAGGCTGAGATCAGATGGATAGGGCTTTCGTTCAGTCCTCAAACTCCCTACCAGCCACAGGCTCTTACTACCAGATGCTCAGCAGAGCCCATATCCAGTAGGGGCTCAATAAAGGCTCATTTAGTCCAAAGAAACTCTGGCACTGACCTGCTCTGCAGTGTCATGCACTACCCCCACTCCCACCAGGATCATTTAGGAAGTACCTACTGTGTACCACAGACTATATCCAGGAAGCCCTCTAGGGTGACTCTGCCAGAGTCCACCAGTCTGGCCAGCCCTGGCTTCCCTAGCCCTGCAGCCGTGACCAGATGCCATGGGCTAAAGCAGAGTCTGGGGTGGCACCCACCTTCCCGGGCCCGGCGGTCCTGTAGCAGCTTGCCGGCAGAGGCAGTCTTGTAGAGGAAGCCACTGTGGCTCACGGTCGGCAGGACAACTGAGTAGTGCTTTTCCAGGGGCTTCATCGAGTCCAGCCGAGGCACCTCTTTGTAGGCGGGGAAAGGATGGCAGGTCATGCTGGCCACCCAAGAGGGTGTCCCCACCTCACTCCCACCTGGCCTGGGCATTCAGGCTCACTTTCGAATCATCAGCCCCAGCTCCCTAACTGGCAGCCTCAAGCTCCCCCTCCTACCTGCAGGGTCTTGTCCAGGCTGTTTCTCCACCTCTCCCCACTTGTGGAAATTCACTCCACTCCCAAGGCCCAGTTCCAGCACCTCCCCTTCCAGGAAGCCTCCCTGATTCCTGCCCCACCCCACTCTCCAGGTTGGAGGCATAGGCCAGGCACACTGGCATGAGGGGGGCATTGGGCAAACTCAATAATAATCCCTGGAAAGAGGATTGTCCCAGACAGCGGGAAGCTCAAGGTGGCAGCCTGACTACAGCCCTGTTCCCCACGGTCAGCGCCGTGGGGGGGCGGTGATCTGTCCCCAAGCCCAAGCCAGTTGGGTGGTCTCCTGTGTCTCCCTGGACACCTGGGCTCTCTCCAGCCCAGTGTGCCCCGCCCACCCATGGCCCTGAGCCCAGAGCCCCAGCCATTGAGCTCCACCCTCAGTCCTGGGATGTGGCCCCAGAGTCCAGGCCTGGGCCACGAGCTGTGCTGCTCAGCCCACTGACCCCTCCTCACCCACCCCAAGAGGGAGCCAATGGTACCCAAACCAAGTTCAGGATTGAGCTCCACCCAAGCAGGGCAGTAGACAGGGCTGCCTAGGTGGGTGACCCACCCATGGAGAAATGTAACTCAGCACCCCTCACGCAGCAACACAGACACACTCTGCACACGCATGTACTCCAAAGCTCTCAGCATCCCCAGAAACACAAATCCGGGGGGCTCAGAGGCGCACAAACACCAGCACAGCTGCCAGCCATCCTGAGGGGCCCACACTGCAAGTCAGGGAAGTCATCAACAGTCACAGAGACACAGACACAGAGGAACATGCATACGTAGTACAAATACACACTGACATGCAAACCCAAGCACACCCCAGCTCACACATGATTTATCACAGGCCCTTGAGGAGCTGCGATCACGGCCTGAGAGCAGCAGGTAAATCAAACCCCACCAGGCACTGCACAGCCTGGTGGACCCCCACCCTCTGCCACGCTCACCTGTGGTCCGGTTGTTCCGAAGGAATTCCATCTGCAGCGTCTGCCCCGCCTGCTCTGCAAGAGCCAGGGGCGTGGGGGCCTCAGGGTCCCCCGAGAAGCAGTTGATCCCAGCCCCACAGCCCAGGAGCGCCTGGGTCTCAGCCAGGTCTGTGGTGGTGACTGCAGCACACAGGGCCTAGGAAGAGGCAGGGGAGGGTCAGCCCAAGAAGGAGTAGGGGGCCCACAAGGAAAGGGGCTACGGGGGAGGAGAGGAAAGAAAAGGAAGGAGTCACCCAGGCCTGGAGCAGTCCATCCTCAGACTGAAAGAGAGAATAGGAAGGAAGAAAGAGAGAAGGAGAGGGAAGAGAGAGGCCAAGGGGAGGAGGGGTGAGCAGGGGCTGCCTAGCAGAGGCCAGGGGATCCCAGCTGCCCGGGGCCTCACCCCTGCTGGCTGCCTGGACACAGCTGCCCAGTCAGCCAGAGCCTCCAGAGGATCTCAAGCTCCTTCTGCCTTGTGGAGGAGCCGGGGGGGGGGTGTGCTTTGTAGCTAATTCCTCCCACATTTGAATTCCTCACCGCCTGCCCAGCCCTCCCAACCAATGGGAGTTGCCGCCCTCCTGGCTTGCAGGCTAGACTGGGTTGGGCTGGGAGCAGGACGCCTGGGTCCCTGGGAGGTGGAGGCCTGACTCCCACCGGGCTTCTAGCTGGACTGAGTCTGCCTGGGAGGGGCGGTTTGGGGGAGGGGCTGAAGGCCAACCAGAGGTCACAAATGGCATACCCCTGCCTCGGAGCTGGCTGCCTCCCACTCAGGCAGAGCCAGATCAGGGCCTAAGACTTGGCTCCCAGCCTGTCAGGGCCTGGGGCCCATGCGGGGCCTCATCTTGAGTGGGGTGTGGATGGGGATGGGTCAGAGCAGCCCAGCTGTTTTTCATGAGCCTGACAGGAAATAGCATCCCCATCAAGTTCACTCTTTTTGGCAGGATTCAGAAGCAACCGGACGGGGTGCAGGAGACTGAGGAATTGGGAGAGAGACAGACAGATGCTGGGGATGTGCCCTTGGCCCAAGGGTCAGGCCTGGCTCCTCCCTGCATGGCCAGAACTTTTCACATGGCTTAGGCAGGGCCCTTCTGCCCTCCAAACATCAGTTTCCCCATATGCCAAGACATCTCCCTGAGCTGGTAGATGAGATGGGTTAAGACAGCATGAGGAACAGGGCAGCAGAAAGACGGGGGTGGTCCCAAGGGGCCCCAGAGCTGCAGTGCCCTGACCTTGTCCAGCTCCTCCTGGTTGCCAAAGAGCGGGTGGTAGCGGCGGTACTTGCCCTCACGGTACTTGGCCTCCAGGTGGCACCGCCGGGTGCTGGGGCTGCTGCTGGGCTGCAGGGCCTCACTGGGGGGCACGTTGGCTGCCCAGAAGCGGTTCCCAGCGCCATTCCCCAGCTGTAAGAAGAGCTGTGGGGGTGTGCAGGAGGTCAGACGGGCCAGCTGACAGCCAGGGGCCGTGCCGGGCAGAAACTTGGTTTCTGAGGTTGTTAGGAAAGGGGCTGGGAGAGCCAGGCCATCTGCCCACTTTCCCAATGGGGAAGGTGAGGACAGCCTGGCCTGCTGGTGGCTGGGGATGCTCCTGCCACCAGCACTGGGCTCTGAGCCTAGGTCTCAGGCTCAGTGACAGGACAGGGAGTCAGCAGACTGACAGGTGGATGCCTCAGGCCTTGCACCTGGTCCCAGGGGCCTTGCTGCTGCCCCACCCAGTTCCACATCTGGAGCTCTGCATTCCTGAGGCTGTGACAGCTGGGGATGGGTGCCTAACCTGTCAGCCAATGGGGTGGGCAGGGATTTTGGAAACCTCTCCTATCCCTGACATTCCTCTCTGGGCAAGAGGGATGGGGGTGGATTCTGGGTGAGTGCAGGGATCCAGCATTTGGTAATCAGTTCCTTCATTCGGCTCCTCATTCCACAGCCATTTCCTAGGCCCCCCACCTTGCCTCCTTGTCAGGTCCTGTATGGGGTGCTGGAGTCACAGCACAGAACAAAGCAGAAAAGTCCTTGCCACTACTGATTCACTCTGTGTCTTCCAGCAAGTTATTTTCTCTCCCTGGGCTTCAAGGCTGTAAACTGGTTATTCTAATCCTAACTCCTGGCTTGTTCTGAAAGTCAGTTAATTAACATATGCAAAGTCCTTAGCACTTATGTGCCAAACACACCGTGGGGAGGTGAGAAACGGATGTGACACTCCAAGTGTCTGGAGTCTGCAGCCTGGGTCTACCCTCCCATTGCAGGTTCTCCCCTATATCTACCACATATGGGTACCTGGGAGTTTCCAGTACAGGGGCATAAATGTACACGTGTGTGCACACACAGCACACATATATATACCCACTGGTACATGTGAGTTCACATGAAATGGAGGCTGAGGGCCTCTGAGGGGCTGTGCAAGGTAGGGGAGAAGGCCCTGGGTCAGCCAGAAGTGGGATGGAAAGAGGCAGGGATGGTGGTCAATATGCATTTACAGGGTAATCTCAGGCAGATTACAGCCCTGCCCAGGACCTCAGTTTACACATCTATTCAATGGATGACAGTGAAATTAGATCAGAAGTTAGCAAATTCTTTCTCTAAAGGGCGAAATAGTAATTATTTTCGGCTTTACAGAACACATACAGTCTCTGCTGCATTTTCTTCCTTTTTTTTTCTTTAAAAAAAAATAACACTTTACAACTATAAAAACATTCTTAGCTCACTGGCCAGTTTGCTGACTTTGCCAAAAATTGCTTTTCCGAAATCCCCACCCACTAGATTATCACAAAGGGTCTCTTCCAGCTCCAAGGTGCTGTGGTCACTGAGATAGGGAGGGGGCTGGGAGACCCAGACAGCTGTTGAATGGGGCAGACCCCAAGTATCGGTGGCAAGCAGGGGCATCCCCACCTCGATAAGTGTTTCTGTCCACACCTTCCTGTCCATCTTCAGGCTCCGCACCTTGGAGACGCCAGCGCCCAGGCCACGGTGCTCCCCTGTAGACACAGGGCCAGACCCAGAATCACCTGGGCCCCCCCTTCACGGGAGCACTTACCCACCCCCAGTGTCTACTGGGACAGGCAGGGATGAGAGGCCACAGGCAGGCCCCAGGGGGTAGGCCTGCTGGCAGCTCTGGAATCCAGCCGTGTACTCTTGCTCCCCACAGGGCAGGACTGAGCCCCGTAATCCTTGCCTGGGCTCCTGCACCAGCCCTCTGCAACTGGCCCCCTGGAACCATGCTTGGCCTCTTGCAGGCCACTCTTAACAAAGCCCTGCCAGAGGTGATCTCTTTAAAATGTAAATCCCTGACTTCTAATCCCTGCTTTCACCCTCCAGTGGCTCCCAGAATTAGATCACAACTCCTTACCTGCTTCCCCTCCTTCATCTTTCTACCCAGACTGTCATCACCCATGTCCTCATGGCCACTCCTTCCTGCCATTCAGATCTCAGCTGGCATGTCACCTCCTCAGAGAGGGCCTCCCCAGCACACTTCCCTAGACTTGCTCCTCCACCTGGATCCCCACCTCCAGCAGCCCACAGCCACCACCTGGGCTACGTCAGCTCCCAAGAGGACAGAATCCCCAGCATCTGGCACACAGTGGCCAGAATGAGTGGCCTCGATTGAGCAGATGAATGAACCTTGGGCTCAACCCTCTCGCATTTCATCTTCCTCATCCAGTCAGTCAGAGAGTTTTCCACCATAGATCCTGAACAGCCCTCAAATGCTCACGGCTTCCCCAGGCCAGGCTTCCTCCTCCTCCCTCTCCTGGATCCTATGGCAGCCTCCTCACTGGTCTCCAGTCTTGCCCCTCTAACTCAGCTTTCACCCACCAGCCAGAGTCTGACCCACAAATCTGACCATGTCCCCGCCTCCCATCGCCCTCCAGACAAAAACCAGCTCCTCCCTCTGCATGCAAAGCCCTGCCTGGCCCCTGCCAACTCCTCTTGCCTGGCCTTCCCTATTCTTCTGACATGAGAGGAACACCAGACCCCAACAAGCCTGGGCTCAAATCTGGGCTCACTTACTTGCCAGGTGACCCTGAACAAGCCATTTCCTCTCCCTGTGCCTCCGTGTCCCCACCCGTGATGGGAGAAGTTGAACCCCTGCCTGGCAATGTAAGGACTCAAAGCTAATCACAGGTGTGCAGGAGAAGCCTCATCAACAGCAGCTCTCTGAGTGCTGTCTCCGCTCCAGGCCCTCCTCCAGATAGGATACCTGCCATCCCAACTGGCCAACCCCGCCATGCCTCTGCCTGGTGCCCCGACCCCCATGCACACACCTGCACAGCGCTTGCAGATAACAACACAGAGGTTGATGGAGGCCCAGTCAGGCTGAGGAGCCCCGCAGTCAGCACAGAACCTGTTGGGGGCTGCAGCCCAGATGCGCTCGGCCACCTCCGAGGTAGACAGGGCCTCAGCGATGGCTCCCTGCATGGCCTCCAACCACTGCTCCTTCTCTAGCTCTGAGTCAGCAGAGAAGCTGGGGACATAGGGGTGGGGAGATTAGTGGGGATGGACTCAGAGGGATTTGGGGGCAGCATGAGGATGCACAGAATGAAGTGGGGGACAAGGTGTTGGGAGCGCTTAGGCAAAAGAGTGAGGCATCCCACTCTGGTAGGGAAGGTAGGTGTGGACAAAGGCAAGGACAACAGGAACACAAGAGCGTATGGGGGCAGGGGAGCCCAGTGGGGGGCTCTGCCCAGCCCGCAGAATGAAGGCTGCTGGGAAGAAAATGATGCCTGAGCTAAGATTCGACAGATCAGAAGGGCTGAGCCAGGTGAAGAGGTGAAAGGACAGTCTAGACAGAGGGAACAGCATGTGCAAAGGGGCAGGATTGCACAGGGGGCATTCCAGGAGACAGAAGGGCAGACTGGCAGAGAAAAGGGTGGGAGATGGACAGGGACAGGCCTGCATCAGGAAGAGGAAGTCAAAGTGTACCCTGAGGACAATGGAGAACCCACAGAGGGTTTAAGTAGGAAGGAGGGGAGGGTACAGAGATGTCTTTAAAAGACTCCTCCGCCATCCCTATCCTCATTCCTGTCCCAGCCCCAAATGTGACATGCTCCATAACCCCACTCCACAAAGAACTCCACTGGCCCAACATACCGAGACACCTGTGGCCGCTATAGCATGCCCTGCTCTTCAGGGTGGGAGGCCCTGGTTGAACAATAAATGATGACTGTCCCTGAAAAAATTTAGTTTTAAAAAGACCCCTCTGGCTCTTTCCCTGCCACCACCGAGTCACACATGTGACCATGAGTCTACTCCACCCATGACCCATTGCCACAACCAAGGAAGGCATCGCTGCTGGAGGTGTGATGGCCATTAATGCCACTTTATGGAGGTGCTGGAGACCTCCTCCTCCACAACCTAGCACGTGGAATTCGCAAAACTGCCAAAGGTGGAGCCAAGCACCAAGCTCACCTTCCTGTGCTTGCACCCAAATGCAACGAGCCACTCATGCCAGCTGGGGGAGGCCCTTTGTGTAGAACACTAAGTCTACCTCTTTAGGGTTGATGACAACAAGAAACCCAGGAACGGACAGGCCTCTCAGACTGACAATCAGAGAACGCCCGTCAGGCGGGGCTGCAGCTGTGTGGTAGTTAAGGACTATGGCAAAGAATCTCAGGGCAAGGATGTCATCAAAGAGAACTTCAAATGCAAGAAATGAGCAAATAAAAACTTAGCTCTCAAATATAAGGCTCCCGCAGAAGTCAAAGCAGTTGGAGTAAAGAGGCTGGACAGGCACGGGCGGCCCAAGAGTGAGGAGGCAGGCGCTGGGGCCAAAGGCCCACCAGGCCTGGGCTAGAAGGGTGACAGCAGAGGGATGGGGCCAGATGGGGTAAAAAGGAATGGCACAGGCCAGGTGTGGTGGCTCACCCCTGTAATCCCGGCACTTTGGGAGGCCGAGGTGGGTGGATCACCTGAGGTCAGGAGTTCGAGACCAGCCTGACCAACACGGCAAAACCCTGTCTCTACTAAATATACAAAAATTAGCCGGGCGTGGTAGCGTGCACCTGTAATCCCAGCTACTTGGGGAGGCTGAAGCAGGAGAATCACTTGAACCTGGAGGCAGAGGTTGCAGTGAGCCGAGATCGTGCCACTGCACACCAGCCTGGGAGACAGAGCCTAAGACTCTGTCTCAAAAAGCAAAAAAAAAAAAAAAAAAAGGAAAGGCACGAGTCCTTCCTTCTTGGTTGGAGAGACAGGCCTCTGGGAAGAACAGGGAGCTGAAAAGGGGAGATGCCCACAGCTGTCAGATATGCAGGCCAGAGCTCAGCAGAAAGATCCCGCTGGAGACAGACACCTGGACTAAGAGCAGAGAAGTGGAAGGGTTGGGAGTGATGCTAGTGTTTATTGAGCAGTTACTACCCAGTATTACAAACACTTCCCCAGGAAACTGAGGCACACAGAGGCCAAGTGATTTCCCAGGTCACACAGCTAGTCAGTGGTGGACCCAGGATTCGAACCCAGGCATAGTTCAGTACCTCAGAGGTAGCGGCTGAAGGCCTGGGAGTGGGCAAGGCTGCCCAGGGAGAGGGCAGAGGACAGAGAAAGACACCAATGAACAGCTGAGGTCAGAGGAAACCAAGATGGCAGAGGCTTGGTGGCCCAGAGACAAGGACTGAGGAGCAGCCTCATGAGAGACAAGAGCACTCTCCAGGGGTGGCGTAGGCGCAGGGATAGTGGGGCAGGGGCAGTGGGAGCAGGAGGCCAGATGGGCAACCCCTGAGCAGCATGGCGGGCAGGGGAGGACAGCAGTTGCCAAGCAGCACAGGGGAGAGTAAGACCTCTCAGGAGGGAAGGAGATCAGAGAGGGTTAGCAAGTGACGGGAGAGGGGCTCCACAGGTGGGGCAGGGCGGGGCAGGGTGAGGGAACCCATCCCATAGGAAGGGGCAGCTTCCCACGTCGCGCAAAAGGAAAACATTAGGAAGGAGTGAGGATGCCGGTGAGCCAAGAAGATGGAGGGTCACCTGAAGATGCGGTAGGGCGTGGTGAGGTCGAAGCTGCGCCGGTCCACTTCCTTCACGTTGCCCACGCTCATGTCGATGAAGGTGATGCCAATGCCCAGGTGGTACTCCTGGAGGGCAGATGGGACGGGATGAGGGCAAGGCTTTGGGGGCAGGGCGTGAGGCTTGGGACAGGGAGAGGAAGGGAAGGTGGTGCAACTCAGGGACTGGGGGGGGTGCCCAGGAGGGAGACAGCAGGGGACATGGGAGGCTGGGCAGGGTAAGGGGCTGCAGGTTCAGGGCCCACACAGCAATGAACAGAGGTGCGGGGGAGCAAGGGCCAGGGCAGGGACTGGAGGGCAGTGCTCAGAGCCTGGGGGAAGTGGTCAGAACTTGGGGGAGCGAGGACATATCCAGGCAAAGGGCTGGGCCCAGTGCAGGAAAAGAGGGAACAGAAAAGGCAGGGCTAAGGCCCTAGGTCAGCCTGGGGCAGGGTAGGTGGACATGGGCAGGGGAGAGGTTCCATGACCCCTTAGCACCTCTAGATTCTTGTAGAGCTGCACTTTGTCCCCGACCACGGCCACGTACAGCTTATTCTTGAAGCCACGAAGCTCCAGGCTGCCAGCGCGGTCAGGCTGCTCTGAGCCTGGAACTCCCAGCAGATAAGCGCTAGAGAGCCGGGCCCGGGCACGCTGCTCAGCCATGGCCTGCTGCAGGGCCTGCATCCACTCCTTCCGCTCCACTGCAGGAGAAGGGTAGAGGAGTAAGCCCAAGGTTGCAGGGAGCCCCTCAGGGGTCTCCTGGCCCTAGGCTCCTCATGCAACACCTCCTCCAGAAAGCCCACTCAGATGCCCCCATCATTTTGCTTGACTTCTCTGACTTGAACGAGCTCAGGCTCCAATCCCAGCTATGCCACTGATGCTGGGCAAGTGACCTCACCCCTCCAAGCCTGCTCCCGCTGATTGTGTGGTTCTGAGGAGTCAGTGACCGTGCCAAGCACAGAGCCGGTCACAGAGGGTGCCCCCTTCCTCTGCCCACCTCACAAAGGCAGCATGCCTCCCCGGATGTGATGTGAGAGGGCAGATGCACCATGACTCTCTTCCCCCTCCTCTGCCCAAACTTCCAGTCTTCTCTACCCTCTTCTACACACACACACAACACCCCACACTCCCCACCATCACTCTCTGCCCGGAAGGCAAAGGTTCGGTTGTTTGTGATCACTTCAAACTTCTGGTCCCCGATGGCAGCCACGTGGGAGATGCAGGCCACAGAGATAAAGCGCTTAGAGTAAGCGTCCTGGGGGAGAGACAGGAACTATATTTTGGGACCCAGCACCTCGCTGACTCCCCCAGCCTCAGCCAAAATGAAGTCTGCAGCCCTGTCTCCTGCAGCTGGTTAGAGACAAGACCCTGTGCTGACCCTGACTGCAGCCCTCAGCAGGCAGAGGGCCAGGAGGACATGGGTTAAGGGGTCAGACTTAGAACTCTGGCGAGGACTCCTCTGGGGAGGGACGCCACCTCGCTCCAGTGTTGGGGCCAGCCTAGGCTGGAGCAGGGGTCGCGTCAGGACTGATGCAGGCCTCACCTTGTTACTGTCAAAGTATCGCAGGTGATCAGTATCCAGTCTCACCCATCGTTTCTGATAGATGTAAGATCTGGAGAGGGAGAGGGACAACAAGCAAATGACCGGGGGTAGGAGGACAGGTTCCAGGACCACCCCAGCCCTCAGAAGCCACACTCAGAGTGAGGATCAGCCAGGTTCTAGGGAGGAAGAATCCCAAATGGCCACTGGCAAGAAGATGGACTTTACAGCAAGAGTGACTGAAGTCAGACTCAAAGTAGCACATCTCTTTTTTTTTTTTTTTTTTTGAGACAGGGTCTCACTCTGCCACACAGGCTGGAAGGCAGTAGTACAGGCCTAGCTCACTACAGCCTCAGATGCCTGGGCTCAAGTGCTTCTCCCACCTCAGTCTCCCAAGTAGCCAAAACTACAGGCATGAGCCACTGCACCTGGCTAGTTTTTAAATTTATTTGTAGAGACGAGGTCTCGCCATGTTGCCCAGAGTGGTCTCAAACTCCTGGCCTCAAGCAAACCTCCCATCTCAGTATCTCAAGTGCAGAGATTACAGGAGTGAGCCACTATGCCCAGCGATCTCCCAATTTTCAGGGCAATAAAATGGGTCTGGAGGGAATCATCAGTGGTCACAGTGTGCCTGGAGGGAGACCTGTGCAAATCATCGCAGGCCCTTCTGGTTTTCAGATCAGTGAGTGATACCAGTGTCCTGGGGTCCTGGACACTGCCCCCCACCCCCCCATGCAGAGCACAGCAGGACCCAAGAGGCCTCACTCACCCCTGCGGTGGGTTCTTGTCCAGCCAGCCAGCCTTGATGACTGGTGTGACGGGGGTGGAGCCCCCAGGCGGCCCGTCCATGGGGTGTGGCGCAGCTATTGTGCTGGGCAAGGACAAGCTCAGGCTGCTGGTATGCCATCCGCCACTAGCGAGAGATGAGGGGATGGGGGGCCGGGCTGAGGAGGCAAGGAGGGGGCGGGCTGAGGTTGGGCTCAGTGGGAAGGAGGGTGGCCGGACACTCACTTGGGGACGCCCTCATAGGCGTGGTCATCCTCTTCCTCATCCCCTTGGTCGTCCCCAGACAGTTCCTCTCCCTCGCTCAGCAGACTGGCCACGCGCACGGCCCGTGGGACTCGGCTCGGTGGGGGCTCCTCCTGCCCCCGAGACCCACTCAGCGTCATCCTTCCCTTCAAGCCACAGATCACACCCACCCGGGGCTGCCACGCCCCCTCTGTCCACACAGCCCCGACCCACACAGCCCAGCACTTTTAGTTCTGTTTCCTCACACTCCCCTCCCCCTGCCAGCGGAGACCACACAGAGACCCAGATCACAGGGACAGGAGAGCCAGTGGCAGAAACCGACCTAGGACACAGACAAAAACAGAAAGATAAAGGGACAGAGAAAAAGACTGCGGGCTAGGGATGCAAGACAGACAGACACGGGAACACAAGAAGTGAAACAGAGACAGACACTCCGGGACAGGACACGAGTTCCTAACACACAGGGTGGGGGGAGGCCACATGCCCACCCACATACAGCCAGGGCCTGGGGGAGCCACACCAGAGCCCCGACCCCTGGCCCAGAGCGCTGTGGCTACACGTGACTCCTGACCCCCGTATGGCAAGAGAGTGAGGTGGGGGAAGGGGAAGCCTCCCGGGAAATGGCTGCCCACTCTCTGTCTGGTAGTCCTCAGGGTCTGACAGGCAGCTGGGCACCCCCACAACACCCTGACAGGCAGACAGTCCCATGCCTGGCCCCACCTTCTTGGTCATCACTCTGGCTGGGGCCCCCGGCCCCTCCTCTGGGACCTCATCGTAGTCAGAGTCATCTGGTGAGAGAGGGGTTGGGGGGCCTCAGGGCAAGGGGCCTGGCCTCCTCTCCTGGGGCACCACACTGGGCTTCACAAAGCCTCCCCCATGCCAAGACCCCCATCCCCACCTCCCCCTGGCTTTCAAAAAAAGGCACAGGGGACAGGAAGTGCGATTTATACCCCCAGGCCTCATAGGACAGTACTAAAGGGTGGCAGAGGAGAAGCTGGGACACCACAAGGAGGTCCGAGCCAGTGGTGAGCTTGGGGGTTGGGGTAAGGACTGTCAAAGGCAACAAGAATCAACAAATGTGGCCAACCCCAGGAAAAGCAAACCACCTCTGGCCAGGCGCGGTGGCTCATGCCTGTAATCCCAGCACTTTGGGAGGCTGAGGTGGGCAGATCACGAACTCAGGAGATCGAGACCATCCTGGCTAACACGGTGAAACCCCGTCTCTACTAAAAATACAAAAAATTAGCCAGGTATGGTGGCGGGCGCCTGTAGTCCCAGCTACTCGGGAGGCTGAGGCAGGAGAAGGGCGTGAACCCAGGAGGCAGAGCTTGCAGTGGGCGGAGATTGCACCACTGCACTCCAGCCTGGGCGACAGAGCGAGACTCCATCTCAAAAAAAAAAAAAAAAAAGAAAAGCAAACCACCCAACACCATGGAAAATCAGACCATGGGTAACTGGCAAAGCCGGCCATGGCCCCACACTTAACGGTCAGGAGGCCAGAGAGGTGGGTGCTGTCTCCATTGTGAGGATGAAGAGAATAGCGCTCAGGGAGGCTGTGACCTGCCCGGGGCCACACAGTGGGCTGGTGGCAGGCTTGCACAGAAAGGAGTGTGATCCTTGCATACCTTCCAGAGGCCTGATTCCAGGGATCCCAGGCCATCCACCCAGAGCCCCATCTCCTGGCTGCAGCACTCACCGAACTCTGGGAACAGGCGTACCGGCTTTGGAGGTATCTCCGGGGGGCAGGGAGGTGGAGAGGGAGGCTGGGGAGGCCCCTGGGGGAGGGTGGACAGGGGCTCCTCAGACTGTGGCTGGGGAGGGGATGATAATGATGGCAGCAATGACTCCTCCTCCTTAGTGGGCAGGCTGGGAACACAACAAAAGTTGGGCATCACTAAGCAACAGAGCCAAGACTGAAACATACTGAGCCCCCAGCTCACCTGAACTGCAGCAAAACTCAGGCACTACACAAACTCACACAGACAGGAGCCCTCCTGCACACAGTCCTCCTCAACTCATCTCCCAGACCAAAACCCCTCCTGGTTCCCCGAAGCCTAAAGGAAGCAGGCACCCTCTTTGGCCTGAATGAGGTGTTCACCTATCCCCAGTGCTCTAGCTTTTAGTCACATATATCTACTGGGTCTCCACACTGAAGGAGGGATAAAGACCAGAATGGGGAGTCAGGGAAGGATTCGTGGAGAAGGTGATGCTTGACCTGAGCTTTTAAGGATAAGAAGGCATTGACGGCAAAGAGAAGGGACAGGATTGAAATGAGCTGCAAGGCCCGAGGCACAGACCAGAGCCTCAGAAACCAATTCCTAAGGCCCTGAATTGTGGGTCTCTGTCTCAAGATCACCTTGCTCTTGCCCAGATTTGGATATTCACTACCTCCTGGTGCCCTCAGACTCCTCAAACTCACCTGATCCCACCAGACCCATCTCCCACACCTCTGCTACCTCACCCCACTCACTCACCTCTGCTACCACTCCCCAGGGAACCCTCCCCTGATTCTCCAAGGCCAAGTTCAGGGCCTCCTGGGCTCTCACGGCCCCACAGTGTTCCCATCTGTCTCAGTACAGATCACATTGCTTCTGGCAGGCTGTCTTCTGAAGGGCTGTGGCATCAAGGACATGAATTTGAATCCTGCCTTAGTTTCTTAGTTCTTGTGTGTCCTGGGGTGAGCACCTAGCCCCTCTGAGCCTCAGTTTCCTCTTCTGTGAAACGGGGGCTATATCACTGACCTGGCAGGGTGCTAGAAGGATTAACCAAGACAGGATGTGTCATGTGCCAGTGCACAGGATGCACGGGGACTACAGGCTGGAACAAGGTGCCTGAGCCCTGGAGGCCTGGCCCCACCAGCTGTCTCTGCCAGTGCCCTGCAGGGGCCAAGGAGGAGAATCAGGGTGGATGGCTTATTTTTGGCCTTGTCTGTTGCCCTGGTGTTCCTGGCTGATGGTGTGGGGCTACCGTGAAAGCAAGGAAGGGCTGGGAGGCAGTGACAGGGTCTGCCTGGGGTGTGGTCATGATGCCAGGCCTTTCCTCCTGCTGTTGCCTCCACCAGTAACACCCTTCTCCCTGTTCTCTGCCTGGGAATATCCACTAGTTTTTTAACTTCTTTTTTTTTTTTTTTTTTAAGAGACTGGGTCTCACTCTGTGGCAGACTGGAGTGCAATGGCACAATCACAGCTCACTGCAGCCTCAAACTCCCGAGTTCAAGTGATCCTCTGACTTCAGCCTCCCGAGTAGGTGGGTCTCAAGGTGTAGAGACTGGGTCTTGTTATGTTGCCCAGGCTGGTTTTGAACTCCTGGCATCAAGCAATCCTCCCACCTCGGCTTCCCAAAGCAATCCTTTAACTCTAAAACCACATTTCCCTTCTCTGAAAGTCTTCCTTGACCCTCCTTTATGCTGCTCTCCATTAAGACCTTCATACAAATGGCTGGGTGCAGTGGTTCACACCTGTAATCCCAGCACTTTGGGAGGCCAAGGCGCGCGGATCACGAGGTCAGGAGATCGAGACCATCCTGGCTAACACAGTGAAACACCATCTCTACTAAAAATACAAAAAAATTAGCCGGACGTGGTGGCAGGCGCCTGTAGTCCCAGCTACTCAGGAGACTGAGGCAGGAGAACAGCATGAACCCGGGAGGTGGAGCTTGCAGTGAGCCGAGATCGCGCCACTGCACTCCAGCCTGGGGGACAGAGCAAGACTCCGTCTCAAAAAAAAAAAAAAAAAAAAAAAGATCTTCATACAAATTATTCTAAATGACATTTTTCAAAGTATCTCCTTTGTGCCAAGATCTGAACCCTGACTCCAAAGTTTATGAGCTTCTTAGGACACTTGGCTACTTCCACATCACCTTCTACTATACTTGTCTCTTCTCCAGGTGTAGATAAAAGTTAACCAAACCCTTTCCTCTTCTGTGTGAAGAGCTGGCCTTCGGCTAGGTTTCCAGCTCTGTTCCCCTAGAAACCTGCAAACGGTGGCGTGTCAGCCCTGTTACCAGGCAACCACTGCCTTTGGCAGCATGGCCTGTGGAGGAACAGCATCTGGACGGAGAGAAACTATAAGCAGATTCTATATCTGGTAGAGAAACCGGAGCTTTGAGCTTCGCTCAGTGTGGTGACTTGCAAACTGGGCACATCGCACACAGGGAGTTGAAGCCACACCTGTGGGGATGTTAGAAAACTACTGGCCCCTTAGGTAAGAGCTTTCAAAGCCAGGATGGCTCCCTATGAGTCACTATCCACTGTGAGACCCAGTCCTTCACTCCTGAGCTGTCACTTGGAGGGCCACAGAGAATGGCTCCTGGACAGCTGCATGGGCTGTGGCTCGGATCGCTTCAAAGACCCCATGGCAGACGAAGGCCTGCCACTGCCCTGGCGGCAAGCTGCTCCCTACCCAACGGGCCTCTCTGGGAATCTGGGGCCAAGGGGTGGGCCTGTGGGAGTCTTGAGTCGGAACGTACTCTCACAGCTGGACCTATGAAGACCCCCTGGTGGGCACTGCACCAGGCCGTCTCCCCTACATGACCTGAGTCCCTTTGGGGCAGGGGCAGCATCTGACTTGGTACCCCCGCAGCCCAGTCAGTAGCAATAGCATGTGGACAAGGTGGGTGGACAGGTGGGCAGGTGGAAGGGAAGGCAACGGAAGGGGTGAACGATGACCAAGCAACTGAGGGAGTGCCTGAAGGCCCAAGAGCATGAGCTGGGGTGCTGGCCCCAGCTGGTCACCTGCGATTCCCTTAGAGACTTCTTGATGGGCAAATCAATCCATCACTGCTGCCTCCCAGAGCCCAAGAGGAAGGCGCCTTGGAAACCCGGCCTGGGATCAGCAGAGAGCAGAATTCCAAGCTGTCAGGCCAGGGCCAGTCAGACCTCAGTCCAGGGAGGTGGGGACAGGTGCCATCTCTCCAATGCCAAGCAGGATTGAGGGAGCCTGGCTCCCAAAGCTCCCCCAGGTCTGAGGGCCAGAGCTGAGGGGAAGGTGGTAACCATAAATAAAAACTGCCCACCTGCTCGTCCGCATCCCTGGGGTCCGGCAGCATCAGCCCCCCTCCTCTGGCACCACAGTGCATCTCCCATCACTGTCCTGATCAACTGCGACGGGTCTGTGCATCTTGGGCAGCAGGCACGTTCCCTGAAGCAAGCTCCACACCCTCCTTCCTCATTGGGGTAACTCCAGCACTCAGCAGGGACTTACAAACACCTGGATTCATTAATTGTGTGTATGCGTGTCTACATGTGTGTGTTCCCAGCCATTTTCTGAGCACTTGACATGGATTCTTCATTCATCTACTCACAGCGCTCTGTAAGGCTTGTCATGATTCCACTTTACAGAGGAGAAAACCGAGGCACAGGGATGCTAGGTTATTTGTTCTTGGTGCCACAGCTGGGATGTGAACCCTGGCAGCCCAGTACCACAGCTGAGCAAATGAGGCCATGCCAGGGTCCCAGGGCTCCTCTGAGGCCAGCCTCCTCCCATGGGCAGCCAGGTCTCAGGACCCATCTGAGAGGGAACACATCACTGCCCTGCCCACGGCAAGAAGGGAGAGGGAAACAGATGCAAAGGGCTCCTCTCCCAGCAGAGCTTCCACAGGGAAGGGACCGTGTCTCACGAAGGTGGAACACAGGGGCCTCTCGGAAGCATCTGGGAAATTCTAGCCACCTTCTCCAGGAAGTCTCCTGGCTGCTCCCTGCCTGCCTGCTTACCACAGGGTATCAGGGCACTGCTGAGTCAGGACGGAGCCCAGGAAAGGAGAAGTGCTTTCAGGAAGGCACAACATGTGGGAAAACCCCAGGGAAAAGGCAGTGACCCCCTACCGAGAACAGGGCCCACAGAATGCCCCCGCCATAGCCCAAGTCCCAGCCTCTCACTGCTTGCACCCCTAAGAGTAGGCCCCGCTCCAATCCCGAGGTCCAGCTGAGGCCCGGCTTGGATGTCACCCACTGACTTGTCACCCACTGGACCACGTCCTCAATGGCGCCACCTCCAAGCCTTCACACAGTTTCATCCTCCTCTGCCCTCTCCCTCCCGTAGCCCACAGAAGCCCACCTCCACCTCAAAATGCAGCTCAGCCGGCCTCCTCCTCTAGGCAACCTCCAAGATTCTCCCACAGAGCTGCTCCCCACTCACCCCGCACTGCAGCTCCCTCTCCCCTCTACCCAAGGGGCATGTGAACCCACCTGCTTACCCACTATTCCCGAGAGACTAGGCACCCCGGGCAGCTAAGGGGTTGGTTCACCCCAGCCTGGGCCCTCAGCCTAAATCTATTTTATAGAATCAGAGAAAATACATGCAGCAGACCTCATGCCTGGGGGTTAGGTGACATGGTGGGTAGGCAAAATGCAGAATGGGTAAGAGGAGGGTGCAGCTTGTGCAGAAGTTGAGAGGCAGACCATGGACATCCCATCCTCATTGGGGTATCTCCAGCACTCAGCAGGGACTTACAAACACCTGGATTCATTAACTCTGTGTGTGCGTGTCTACGTGTATGTGTTCCCAGGCATTTTCTGAGCACTTGACATGGATTCTTCATTCATCTACTCACAGTGCTCTGTAAGGTAAGGCTCGTGATGATTCCACTTTACAGAGGAGGAAACCGAGGCACAGGGATGTTGGATTATTTGTTCTTGATGCCACAGCTGGTATTTGAACCCTGGCAGCCCAGCACCACAGCCGAGCAAACAAGGCCATGCCAGGGTCCCAGGGCTTCTCTGAGGCCAGTCTCCTCCCATGGGCCACCAGGTCTCAGGACTCATCTGAGAGGGAACACATCACTGCCCTGCCCAAGGTCACCCTCCTCTTACCCATGACCACATAATTCATTGTATAAACCACAAACACTTCTAAGAGTTAAAAGAGGCACTATTAATAACTATGTCAGGGCAGCAGGCATAAACAGGGCCTGTCCCACGTCAAATGAGATGTGTGGTTACTCAATTAACTAGAGACAGGGCTTGGAGCCAGGCAGACCTGGGCTTGAACTCAGCTCAACTCATTGGTTTGGGACCTTGAGCAGGTCCCTTCCTCTCCGAGCCTCAGTCTCCAGGCTTACTGATAATTCAGTAAAGGAGGGCCACTTGCACATGGCATCAACAGAACCTCTTCACCTTGAAGGAGACCCAGGCCCTACAGGCTGAGCCAGGAACCAGCTTCATAGCCTTAGCGGCCTCTAATGCCACCTCCTTCTCCTTCACCCCTACCCGTTCCTATCTTTCTGTCTATACCAATCTCTGGCCGAAAGAACCAGGTGTCACTGTGAGAGAAGGAAGGCCACAGAGTGGAGCAGTCTGCATATCTCAGGCTGACCCTGGACTCACCCCACTACTCACACTCCAGCCCTCCCTGACTGAGCTGCAGTCTATCAGTGCATACTTACAGGCCTTTAATACTCTGTTCCTTCCACCTGGAACACCCTCCCCTGCCTGGCCAACTCCTAGTCCTCCTATAAAAAGCCCAAATCATACATCCATCCTCCCCACTATCGCAGGCCTCCCCTCACATCTCAGGCTGATCTGGGGCCTCCCTGGGGCTCCCCACAATTCTGATCACTCAATATGGTCATATCAATGTGTGCTTCACTGAACTGCCTCAGAGGACTGAGGACCCAGACCTAACCCCATCCTAGAGTCACCACCTCCCCACAAGATGTCACACAGGTCTTGGAGGGACCTGGCCCAATCCCAGCCCCTGGACTCTCACCATCAGGGCTGCCGGCCCAGTGATCTGTGGACATCTGTGTCCCACCCTGATGTCTCCATTCCACAGGGGTAAACTGTCCCAGCTGCCCGCTTCCTCAATCATGCTCTGGACTCTCAGGGGCCCGGGCCTCAGTCCTATGCCTCCTGCTTCCTCTGTGGCTTCTTCCTTCCTCCTCCATCATGAGACCCAAAGGTCATCCCCTCCAGCACTCTCCTGGTTCTGCTCTGTTCACTTCTGCCTAGCCCCCAGCATAGACAGCCCTTCCTAGGGTCTCACTTGCTAGAATGGGATGTCCACGGTCTGCTTCTCTCAACTTCTGCACAAGCCGGGAGCCCCTAGGGCCAGTCCTCTCCATGCCGCCAGCAGTTCCCAGCACAGAAGGGGCTTTAGTAAGTGGGTACTGAATGACCACCACCCTACTCGCATCCTCATCACTGGAGAAGGTCTGCAGCTCCCCAAACTCTCCATACAGCAGTGCCCAGTTAACCTGGAGCCCATCCTCACAACCGCGCCTTCACCCAGCTCTCAGCACTTCTCCCTGGGACAACAGCTACCACTTGCTAAGCGCTCACTATGTGCCAAACATTCTGCTAGGGGCTTTTTTTCATATAATGACCTGGGATTATTAACTCCATTGTGCTCAGGGCATGCCTCCTCCTCCAGGAAGTCCATCAAACCGCTCCCTCCCTCCTCTAAGCCCACACAACCTGTTTGACCTTCCACCACCAGACCTACACTCAGCTTTCCCACAGGCCAGCCCTGCTGTCTGGGCAGGAGGTGGCAGAGGCCCCTTTCCCATGGCAGCTCTAAGCGCTTCCCAGGCCTGGCCCTGTGCTGGCTCCTGAGGGCAGCAGCAGGAGGAAGTTCATCCTCAGGGAGCTCACAGAAGTACTGAGCTCTTCCTGGGTCCAGCCCAGGCCTGGCCTGGCCTGGCAGAAAGAGCAGGTGCAGTTATCCGCTGGGCCCTATGGAAAAGATGAGCCAAGGGCACAGGGCAGGGCTGAAGAGTGCCGGGTGGGTGGACAGGACTTGGTTAGAGGTCTATGTCCCCAATAAGCCAAGCACAGGATTGTTGAATTCATTAGGGATCCACGGTAACTCAGGAAAGGGGAGACCAGCCCCCACACTCCATAAGCACCCACCACAGCACCAGTCCTGGGGAGGAGGGGTAAGCAGCACACCATCTCCCCATCACCCTGGTCTGGGGGTGAGAGGTTCAGAATCACAGCACCCTTGAACTTGACAGTGAAATAAGCCAAACTAAGCCTCCCCAACGAATCCCCAGAGGGGTGTAGGGAGGTGGGAGCAGAGAAGTAAGGTGATCAGCACCAGGCCCCCAAGGGGCAAGAACCCCAAAGAGGAGTATTCTGTGGGGCAGAGTCTGAGAAAGGCCCAGAAAACAGGCACCGTGGGCTCCTGGTGGACCCAGGAGAGGCGTATGGGGAGGTGGAGACCTAGAAAGCCCAGGGAAGAGGGAGGGATGAGACAAGGGGAGAAAAGGAAAAGGCAGGGGAAAAAGAGAAGAAGTGGGGAAAGTGAAATAAGACAAAACTCTAAGAGAAAAAAAGAGAAGGGGGAGGAGAGCAGCACAGAAAACCAGGCCAGAGGTGACAGACAGGGACTTCAGCCCTCCCAGGGCCTCCCTCCTACGTGCCCAACAGCAACAACAGCAACGGCGGCACCTCGCTTACCCTCAGACGCCTGCTGGGTCTTGGGGCTGAGGACTCCCACAGCTCCGGCCAGGCGGGCTGCGTATGCCCAAGAATGTCGTGTACCTGCCCGTGCAAGCCTGGGTCCCGCCTGGGCTGGTCTCGCAAACAGCCTGGCCCCTGGCCCCTGGGTGGGTCTGAGGCTGCGTTCTCTTGGAGGTTTTTGAGCCCAGGTATGGCTTTGCACCTGTGATTTATGTCTTTAAGTGTTTGTGAATCACTTCTCTACGTGCGTGTGTGTTTGTTTCTGTGTATAACTGTGGATCTGTCCAGGAGGAAAGGACAGAGAGAGAGAGAGAGAGAGAAAGACAGAGGGAGAGAGAGAGAGAGTGTGTGTGAGTGTGTGTGACTCTGTGTGTCTGTGTGTATGTGTGTGTGTATGTCTGCACCCAGCTCTGGTCTCCCGGAGGCTTCCTGCTTTGTGTCTCCCCCACCTCCTGCAGCCGTGGCCAACACACACACTTCCTGAAAACACTGAGAAAGCGAAAAGTCACCCAGAATCCCCCGGGGCAGACACTTCCTCCCCGCCCCCAGGCTGCACCCCCACCCAAGCTGGGAAGAGACAACCAACAGTGTCCACTGATCTTGCAGGCCCTCACAGGGTGGATGCCCAGGAAGTCCTGACTGACAAGCCCTGGCGGTGGCCTCTCCACCACTCCACCCGCATAAGGAGACAGAGAGGCTAGGAAAGAGGCTCTCTGAAGGGCGCAAGTTCTGCCCTGGCAACAAGTGATCAGCCTCCAGGAAGACCAGGGATTGGCTGGACTGCAGGGCAGTCAAGGGCACAGGAGGGAAGCCTTGGCAGTGTGGCTCCAGCTGGGCAGCTGCCTTCTGGGCACACACTCCTTCTTCCTGAGGTGCCTCCAGGCATCCAGGTATCAGAGGGGGACACCAAAGGCCAGAGCAAGCTGGGAGGGGATCTGCGGCATGACCCTGGAACCTCACATCAGAAACGACCCCTCTGCCACCCTCAGGGAAGCCAGTTCACAGGGCTCATGTCTGCGGCATTTAAGAGCTGAGTAGACCTGACCTGAAGCCAGGAGGCAGGGTCTGGGCACCGGCTTCCCTTCTGCAGGGCTGGGTGACTCTGGGCAAGTTTCTCAGCATCTCTGGGCTCCTCAGCAAGCACCCCACCACGAGTTTAAATTAATGGTAGGGTGCCGAGTGCAGTGGCTCACACCTGTAATCCCAGTGCTTTGGGAGGTCGAGGCAGGAGCATTGCTTGAGCCCAGGAGTTCAAGACCAGCATGGGCAACAAAGGAATACCTCGTCTTTACAAAAGATTTAAAAATTAGCCAGGTGTGGTAGCACACACTTGTAGTCCCAGCTACTTGGGAGGCTGAGGTGGGAGGATTGCTTGAGCCCAGGAGTTCGAGGCTACAGTGAGCTATCATGGCACCACTGCACTCCAGCCTGGGCAACAGAGAGAGACTTAGTCTCTATTAATAATAATGATGATAATAATAATAATAATAGCAGGGGGTGCAGACTCTGGGGGTGATGTAGAGTCCCCCTAGGCCAGGCAGAATCATGAGCCTGGTTCTGAGAGTCCTGGGCCATGCCAAGGCCAGGAGGAGGGAACTCCATCCTTGCTTGTTTTCTGATTTGCCTAAACCTTGGTCTGTGGCCTACAATCCTATCACAGCCTCGTTCTTCCCACCTGTCTCCTCTGAAGACCTCTCCCTTCCTAAAATATCTGGGATGACGTAGGTTGGGTAGTAGGATGGGGGACAGGGAGCTGGGGCGGTGAGCTCAGGGCCCTATGGCCCAGCTGTGCTGAGGGCACTCACTGGGTGCTGAGTCACATGCGTGTTTACCCACATGCACCCCAAGCTCAGCACGTGCCAGTACACAAGCTCACGTTGGCAATCATTTACTCACCCACACGATATACTTCCCAAGGGCCTATTAGGCATCCAGCACTGTTCTAGATGTTGGGGATTCTGCAGCAAACAAAATCGACTAGGATCCTGGCCCCAGTGGAGCTGCCATCCTAATGGGCTCTCCCTCTTGGCAGCACATGTACACACACGTGCACACACTGGCTCAAGCCTGACAGTGCACAAATAACACAAATGTCATGTTCTGCTCAAACAGCACGTGCACACTCGCGGATGTACTCACACACTGTTGGGGTCTCCACCACAGCAGTAATTGAGCACAAAGGTCCTGATAAACTCACATACACACCACTCCATGTCACCACTGAAACTGCACAAATCCCTACATGCTTCTACATCTTAGTAGCACACACTCTCAGAACCTGTCTGAATGTGTAAATGCACAGACATTCTACTACCCTGACAGCTTGTACTACCACCCACACCCATCTGTATGGGTGCACACACAGACTGGCCCAGACATGCCTCACACTGACTCGAGACACTGAGAGTACACACATGCACACGCATCCACCCCCAAGCTCCACTGGGGAGCCTGGAGATGACCGGCCTCAGCCACCACATGACCTTGTGTGAAAGGCCCTAAGGTTGAGAGAGTGAGTTCCCCATCATGAGGGGTTGCAAGCAGGGGTAGGAAGGCCATGTCATGAGACACTGTGATGGGACTCCCACAAGGCGGGGGTGGGCAGGAGCAGTGTTCCTCTCTACATGCCATGGAGCCTGGGGATCACAGGAAGGGACTGAGAGCGGACAAGGTGGCCAGTCAGGGTCCATGTTGGCCCCCACCCTGATCACTACAGCACTCAGTCTTGGCCTGGTATACACACATGAGGCTCCATCTGCTGTGAGTTTTTCCTACCACAGGGCTTTGAAGACCATACACTCTCTGAGTTGAGTGTGTACAAAGCTGAAGACTGCATATGCCCATGACTCCAACTGCCAAAGACCCCAGGACACAGGAAGCCAGGCTTGGTAGCTTACCCACTACCATACTCTGCCGTAAGGAATAGTCCCAAATTGCAGGAAATACTTTTCTTCCAATTCTCTTAGCACAGAACAGATTTTGGGTACTCAAACTACAAGGGGCTAGACCTTTTCCCGACCATGGCGCCTGGCCTCCTCCTCATGTTGCCTAAATGGCTATGTTCAGACAGGCTCTGAGAGTAGGCATTGGTACCCTGGAGCCCTGGGGTGTGGACAGGACTTCCTCCTACCCAGCAAGCCTCCTGAACTCAGATGTCAGTGCCAGGAGGGCCCAGAAGTCTATGGAGGACCACAGAGGGCACCTGATGGGGAAACAGGCCCAGAGAAGCAGGTCCTCATCAGAGTCACAAAGCTAGCTGGGCCCGACCCAGGCATCCTGCCTCCCAAGCAGGAACCCAGGCCTCCACTGCCCGTCCGGGAGTCACAGGAAGGGCCTGAGAGGGGACCTGGCCAGGGCCCTGCTTCTTCCCTTTGTTCACCCACTTCCAACCCCAGAGACAGACAGACAGACTTTCTCTTCTCTATCCTCTTCTCTCTTCTAACCTCTCTCTCTCTCTCTCTCTCTCTTTTTCTCTCTCTCTCTCCCCCCCACAAGCTGATGGGGTTGAAATAGAAAACGCTCCTGCATGCAGAAGAATGGTCACTAGAGGGCGCAAGGGCACCAGGAACCTTCAATCTGAGCTTCCCTCCAGGTTCCTGGAGAGACCCTATACCTGTTACGAGTTGTGTGAACCCAGGAAGAGCATGTACCCTTTTTGTGCTTCTACCAATCAACCCTCAAAACACCACAGCACTAGCTTGGTCTTCAAGGCCCCCTGACTTAATGCTCCTCCCTGGGTGGAAAGAATCTCCCAGACCCTCCCCACAAGGCCCCCTGAGTATGTCCTTGGCATGGATCCAGCCAGGGCCCCCTCCCTGCTCTCCCTCTGATTTGTTCATGTCCTGCTCGTAAAGCCAGTACACAAATCTCCCAGAAGGTCTGCTGCAGGGATCATGGAGACCATAGAAACACAGAGCCCAGCAGAGTGCCCAGCAATAAACAAACAGGGACCAGGAGACCTCTCTCCGCACACCCCTTCCTCCTCCAAGAAGCCTTCCAAGATTAGCCTCACTTCGCCCAAGTGCTCCACCAAATCTCCCTCACCCCAAACACATATCTACCCTGTCTGGGGATGCTCCCTGACAGCCGGGCATCCCAGCAGATGGCAGGAAGGGAGGGCGTCTGTGAAGGAGATTAACATGGAATATCCACAGGAGCCAGAGGAAACTCAAGAAAACACAGGGTACCAGAAGCCCCAGAGGGGAAACAGTTCTGAGGAGGGAGGGCATGCCAGATGAGGCCTGAGAAGTGTCCCAGGATTTGCTGACATTTGGCAGTGGGAGAAGGGGACAGGGTGTGAAAGAGCACACCACCAGGACCTGGGCAGTCCCCTCACCCCCAACCCTACCCCGCAGCTTTCCGTTTCCTACACATGTTGCCTCTTGATGCCGGCATGGACCCCGATACCCTGCAGTATCTCACAGTTGCCAGGTCCCAAGCTGAACTCGACTTCCTCCCAAAGTCACTTCTGTCCTTGGGTCTCTGGATCAGTGATGGCACGACTGTCCACCCAGCCACCCAAGACAGAAACCTGGAGGCCTCACTGGCACACGCCCAGCAGCCCAGGCACTGCGCTGAGTACCTGCACAGCTCTCCCCTCCTCCTGAGTCACCAGACAGCAATCCTGTCCTCCGAGCTTTGCACACGCTGTTCCCCCTGCACTTCCGAAGTGCCTTTCTTACCCCAGCACCAAAGGCCACAAACTCCCCATCTACCCTCTGGGATCCTCTGCCTGTGCGCCTCCCACCCTGGGTGGCATCCACTCACCTCACCAGCAGGCGGGGGGGTCCGGTGCGGGGCGGCACGGGTGGAACGCTCAGCTCTGCCAAATGCCGCTTAGCAGGCAGCGGGGGCAGCACAGGGTCTGGGGCAGCTGTGGATGGGGTGGTGAAGCAGGTGGGCGGAAGGCAGCTCCTCCGGGGCGGGATGGGTGGGGCAGCGGGGAGCCCCTCATCCTCTGTAGTGGTGGGCAGCGGCTCGGGTGGAGTGGCAGGCACAGGTGGTGAGCGGAAGATGTGGCGCTTCATGGGCACAGGCCGTGGGGTGGGGCGGGGTGCAGGGGCCGGTGAGGTATGGGCACGGAGCAGGCCAGCCAGGATGCGGCGGCGGTGACCAGGGAGTAGCATGCCCATGTCCATCAGGCGGGTGTCGCTGAGGCCTTGGCACTCAGTGGCCCACACCAGGCCATGCTGCTCAAAGAGCCCCGTGTACTGCTCCAGGTGCAATGCCCGCAGCCACTCGGCCACCGATAGCGCAGCATCCCCAGCCTCTGCCATGGTTCCTGCCAGCGGAGGCCTGACTGGCAGGGCTTTGTCCAGAGCTAGAATAGACAGACAGGCACAGGTCAGAGGCAGGGCTGCCGAGGATTGGTCCCCTCACCAGCAGCCTGCATGGCTCTCTCAAGCCATAGGTTCAAGTTCTGTCCTGGAGCTTCCTCCCCTGTGCTCCATGTGCTAAGCAAGGCCAGGTACTGCCAGGTCTCTGAACACACAGGCTCTTCTCTCCGCCTGAACCCCCTCACCCCTTCCCTTGTGCTATCCCAGCATCCAGCTCATGTTTTCTTCTCTAGGAAACCCTCCATGATCTCTGGGGTTGGTACCACCCCACACCCCAACACACAGCCTTGGCCACTGCCGTGAGAATGGCCAGTGGCATGATTGGTGCTGTGTCTTATACCTCCT
This sequence comes from Homo sapiens, assembly GCF_000001405.40. Lineage (NCBI taxonomy): Eukaryota > Metazoa > Chordata > Mammalia > Primates > Hominidae > Homo > Homo sapiens. The sequence goes on from NC_000011.10 coordinate 72,727,534, forward strand.
CCCCACTGCCCTCTGCAAGACCCACGGCAGGGCTAATTCCCTCTGAGGCACCAGTTCCCAGTGAGGGCCAGGCCAAGGGCTTAGCGAGCATTGAAGGATACCACTGCTGGTCCCTCCTGCAAGCCCAGTCTGGGAGCCGAGACTAGCCTCCCCCTACCTCCATGCCCCTGGAGGAAGTGAAATGCTGTGGGACGTGAGTAAACCCAGCATCACATGGCCTCTGGGGGCCTGGCCCTGGAATTGGGTAAACCCTCCCATCACTAAGGCCATTCATCCATTTGTTCTTTCAAAATAGCCTGGCACTAGGCAATGGGGACTCAGGCTCTACCCCTGCACCCTGTAATCAAGAGCTCCTGGCCTGGTGGGAGTCAAGAGGTGATATGAAGAGGTGACCAAAAGAGGTGATTAGCAGATCAAAGGGAAAAGTCATCTGATTATCTCCACAGACACTAAAGAGGCATATGATAAAACCCAATATCCAGCTTACTTACACAAACAAAAATCTTACTAAAACAGAAATAAATTGATACTTTCTTAAATGAGAAAAGAATATCCATTTTACTGTTGTTATTATTATTCCTCACATTGCTCTGAAAGCTCTGGACAACAAAAATAAACAAGAGGTCTTAAAATCAGAAAGGAAGAGATAAACTATCCATTTGTTGCCAATAATATGAGTGTTGAGTTTGAAAGCCCAAGAAGGTCAACTGAGAAACTATAACAACCAGTAAAGACTTTAGTAAGACAGTTGGGTTCAAAATTAATATAACAGACTGGCCGGGCACAACTATAATCCTAGCACTTTAGGAGGCCGAGGCGGGTGGATTGCCTGAGCTCAAGAGTTTCAGACCAGCCTGGGCAATACAGTGAAACCCCATCTTTACTAGAATACAAAAAATTAGCCAGGCATGGTGGCATGCGCCTGTAGTCCCAGCTACTCAGGAGGCTGAGGCAGGAGAATTGCTTGAACCCAGGAGGCAGAGGTTGCCATGAGCCGAGATCATGCCACTGCACCCCAGCCTGGGCAACAGAGTGAGGCTCCGTCTCAAAACAAAAACAAAAACAAAAACAAAAGAAACAAACGAAAATTAATATAACAGAAATCAACATTTATAAGCAACAAACAGGTAGAAACCAGGATGAAAGACCCCATTTACAAAAGCATCACAAAATAGAAAACACCAATAAACTTCCTAAGAGATAAACAACAGCGATAGGAAGAAAAATTGGGAGTGTTACTGAGGGACAAAAAGAAGACCTGGACAAATGGCAGAGCACAGTAAGTTCTGGATAGAAGACAACATAAAGAGATTAATGATGTCTAAGTTACTTTATAAATGTACACAATCCAATTAAATATGTACAGAATTTTTTTTGAAGCTGATTTGAAATTTCATGTGGAAAAATAAGCAGGAAGAGTGAGGAAAATTCTGGAAGCAGGGGTGGAGGGCGGGGAGGGTAAAGAGTAGGAGTCAACCTCACCACATGTTAAAACATATTATAAAGCCACAATGATTAAAACAGTATATGGTAACAGTGCATGAACAGACAGATCAATTAAACAGAACAGAAAGTTCAAAAGTAGACCCAAATACATATACAAATTTAGGATACACTAAAAGTAGCCTCTCAAACTTGTGGGGAAACAAGGGATTCTTAAGTTGTTGGGACAGCTGTGGAGTGCTCTCAAAAAAAACTAATGTGGATCCCTATCTCACACTTTACAACAAGAAACATTACAGCTGTATCAAAGACTTCAGTATTTTAAAAAACCATGGCTGGGCAAGGTGGCTCACACCTATAATCCCAGCACTTAGGGATGCTGAGGCAGGCAGATCCCCTGAGGTCAGGAGTTTGAGACCAGCTTGGCCAACACGGCAAACCCTTGTCTCTACTAAAAATACAAAAAATTAGCCGGGCATGGTGGCAAGCACCTGTAATCTCAGCTACTCAGGAGGCTAAGGCAGAATTGCTTGAACCCAGGAGGTGGAGATTACAGTGAGCCGAGATCACTGCACTCCAGCCTGGGCAACAGAGAGAGACTCCACTTCAGAAAAAAAAATAAAAAATAAAAAATGAAAGGATTTACGAAATCATCCTAGGGCTGGGTATGGTGGCTCACGCCTGTAATCCCAACACTTTGGGAGGCTAAAGCAAGAGGACTGCTTGAGGCCAGGAGTTTAAGACCAGCCTGGGCAACACAGCAAGACTCTGTCTCTACTAAAAAAAAAACCTAAAAATTAGGCAGCTGCACACTTGTAGTCTCAGCTACTTGTGAGGATGAGGTGGGAGAATTGCTTGAGCCTAGGAGTTCAAGGCTGCAGTGAGCTATGATCACACCACTGCACACCACTGCACTCCACCCTGGGCAACAGAGTGAGACTGTCTCTAAAAAAAAAAAAAAAAAATCATTTCAGAGAGGCAAAAGCCTTCTGGAAATGAAACAAGTCCAGAAGGCACACAGAAAAGACTGAAATATTCAACTCTACAAAAATCAAGCACTCTTGCATGGTAAAAAGCACCATAAGCAAAGCCAAGAGCTAAACAACAAACTAGGGGATATCTGCCACTCATATTCCACACAAAGGGCTCATTTTCCTAAAAGTTGAAAAGCATGCAGAAATAAGAAACGGATCAATAATCTAACAGAAAAATGGGCAAAGAGTATGAATGAAAAAATTTACAAAAAGGAAAATATAAATGGCTCTTAAATATCTGAAAAGGAACTTAACCTCCCCCACACTAGGAAATATGAATGTAAAATATTTTGAAATACTGCTTTCTACCTATCAGATTGTCAAAGAGCAATAAAGTTGGAAAATACAGGCATTGGTGATGTGGTAGGGCATCCCTTCCCTGGCTGTGGAATGCCTCTAGGCATGAAAGCCCTAAGAGATGCAGATGTCTGGGCTGGGCGCGGTGGCTCACACCTGTAATCCCAACACTTGAGGTCAGGAATTCGAGACCAGTCTGGTCAACATGGTAAAATCCCGTCTCTACTAAAAATACAAAAAGTTAGCCAGGCACAGTGGCAGACACCTGTAATCCCAGCTACTCAGGAGTCTGAGGTGCAGGAGAATCGCTTGAACCCAGGATGTGGAGGTTGCAGTGAGCCGAGATCACACCATTGCATTCCAGCCTGGGGGACACTTTGTCCTCCCGCCTCCCCCAAAAACAGAGATGCAGATGGCTGACCCAGCCACCCATAGGCACTTAGCCTGCATTTTTACTGGCACCTGCCAGAATTGACATATATAGAAGGTTACTAGCTACAGTGCCTGTGTTTAATAGCAAAAGAATGGAAATAACCAAAATGGCCATCAATGGGAGAATAGTTAACTAAATTATGTTGTAGTTGTGCAATAGAATACTGAGCGGCCATAAGAATGAGGAAACTCCTCACATATTGACATGGGATGATCTATAAGATACACTGTTAAAGGAGTAAAGAAAAGTGCAGAACAGTTTGTGTAACATTCTCTCTCTGTGAAAAAAACAAGGGGGAGCATGGAGTAGTGTGCAGCTACTGGTAAATGAACAAAGTATCTCTGAAAAGACACATGAGGGCAAGGTGACAACAGTTATCAGCTTCCTCCTAGGACGAAAACTAAGGCCTGAAGGGACAGGAGGGAACAGTGGAAGATGCAGAGTTCACAGGGCCTGAAGTTCATGGGACCTGAAGCTTACACAATTTAAGTGCCCTCTGATATGGTTTGGATGTTTGTCCCCTCCAAATTTCATGTTGAAATGTGACCCCCAATGTTGGAGGTGGACCTAGTGGGAGGTGTCTGGGGTCACGGGGACAGATCCCTCATGAATAGCTTGGTGCCCTCCCCATGGTAACAAGTGAGTTATCACTCTATTTGTTCATGTAAGAGCTAGCTGGTTAAAAGAGCCCGGCTTCTCTCTTGCTTCCTCCCTCACCATGTGACATGCCTGCTCCCGCTTTGCCTTCTGCCCTGACTAAAAGCTTCCTGAGGCCTCACCAGAAGCTGAGCAGATGCTGGTGCCATGCTTATACAGCCTGCAGAGCCCTGAGCCAAATACACCTCTTTTCTTTATAAATTACTCAGGGTATTCCTTGATTGCAATACAAAACAGACTAACACATTCTCCTTAAGAGTATCTCACTTTTGCAAAATTCACAAAAACACATGACCACATGCACACACTGTTCAGGACCCTCTTTAGATCCTGGAAGGAGCCCTGCACCTCAAACTCCAGCTTCCCTGGAAATCCACCTCTGAGGAGAGGGAGACTTTTCACTTCAACATATAAAGATGTCAGTTCCTCCAGGGTTAAGCTAAAACTTTAACACCATCCCAACTAAAATTACCAGCTGGAATTTGTTGAGACCAGCAGATTCTAAAGTTCATATAAAATGATATTAGAGATGTGTTAAGTGGAAAAGCAAGATGCAGAACAGTGTTATGTAAACATCTCGGTTAAAGAAAAAGAAAAAAATATACATATGTTATATATATATGCAAATATAAACACAGAAAACTGGACGGATATATATAAAACTGAGTTTGGGGAGGGGAATTGACAGCTGGGAAGACAGGAGACACTATACCCTTCTGTATCTTTTAAATTTTGTATCATTTTCCAAAAAGTAAATAAAAATTAAAAGGGAATGTGATAACCATGAATAGAGCCTGAGAATGAGAAAGGGAACAAAACTTGCCAGGCAGGGAGGGGAATCCAGTGAGGAGATACATAAACACAGACCTGCAATTCAGCCTGCTGGCCCCTGCCTTGTCCCTCTGTCTCGTACCCCCACCCTGTTCCAAGGTTCCAAGGCCTGCTGGGAGGCTCGTAGCAAGCTCTCTGGGCCTCACCCTCTGCCTCTCAAGCTCAGTTCTCAAAATGGAAAATGGGCTATCAGGTGTCAGCCTCCATCAAGCCTTCCCCGACCTCAATGTTAAGGCCTAGCGTGCCACAGCCAGCCCTGTTCCCACCGCTCCACCTCCTGACTCACCAGCTGGGCTGCCAAGGACGCCCGGGTCCTCCCAGAGACAGCAGCTATTCTGAAGGGCTCCTCATCTCGGCCTGAGGCGGGAGCTGCAAGGACAGGGATGGAGGAGAAAGCCCGTGAGGCAAGGCCACTATGAGATGCCAGAGAAGGAGAGGGGAAGAGGGAGAGGGACAGGGAAAAGGAAAGAAGAAATGGGGGCCAGGCACAGTAGCTCACGCCTGTAATCCCAGCACTTTGGGAGGCAGGTGGATTCGAGTCCAGGAGTTCAAAACCAGCCTGGGCAACATAAGAAGACCCCATCTGTACAACAAAAATACAAAAATTATCCAGGTGTGGTAGTGTGTGCCTGTAGTCCCAGGAACTCAGGAGGCTGAGGTGGGAGAATCACTTGAGCCCAGGAGGTGGAGGCTGCAGTGAGCTGTGATTGAGCCACTACACTCCAGCCTGGGAAACAGAGCCAGACCCTGTCTCAAAAAAAAGAAAAGAAAAAAGAAGAGATGGGGAAGAGGTGGAAGAAGAGGAAGAGAAGGAAGAGGGAAGAGGAAAGGATTCGGGGAACCTCATGCTCATGGAAACTGGCAACAGAAGTCAGACCAGAGGAAGGCCTTCCTGGAGGGAGAAGGCAGACAGACAGGCCTGTCCAGATGTGGGGGCTGCACAGGTGGTAAAGAGGAGTCAGGACTTCCCCACTCTCTGGCCCTGCAAGACCAGTGCTGGGATGTGTGTAGGGGCAGACTGTGGAAGGGACAGCCCCAGGAAGGGTGAGGAAGGGACAATGCAGCCCTGCGACTAAAGAGGTCTCCCTGACACAGAGCCTGTCAGGAGAGGTGGGGGACCTTAGAGGACCCAGGGACACAGGACCCTCTCCACTAAGCCTGGGGACCATGAAGTGGCCTGAGGGCACAAGTAGGGTAACTGAGTCAGGGGCATGAGACCCCAGGGCCCTGCCCCTAAATATGTAGGGGAGGTTGAGGAAAACAGACCAAAAGGGGATGCTTCCAGGCAGGAGGAGAAAGAATAGGATATTCCTGACAGGCCACCACCCTTGCTATGCAGACAGCCGGAGCTCTGTGGGGCTAGGGACCAGTGGAGTGGCATGGACAGGTCTCCCTCCCCAGGACCTGGAACAGTCAGGTCTGCCAACACTAGGGTTAACTTCAAAACTGCTGTGCTCTGCATAATGGCTTCAGTAGGTATTCATGAACATTTTACATCTTACAAACACATAAACAGGTATTTATCTTAAGCAAACTCCATGATTATCACTGCCTAGGATAGGGCTAAAACAGGTATACATTTTTTAAATATTTTATTTTAGTTTATTTATTTTGAGACAGAGTCTAACTCCGTTGCCCCAGCTGGAGTGCAGTAGCGCAATCTTGGCTCACTGCAGCCTCCACCTCCCAAGTTCAAGCACGATTCTCTTGTCTCAGCCTCCCGAGTAGCTGGGACTACAGGTGCGTATCACCATGCCCAGCTAATTTTTGTATTTTTAGTAGAGACGTGGTTTTGCCATGTTGGCCAGGCTGGTCTCGAACTCCTGACCTCAAGTGATCCACCCACCTCAGCCCCCCCAGTTGCTAGAAGTACAGGTGTGAGCCACCACACCTTGCCTTATTTTATTTTTGAGACAGGGTCTTGCTCTGTTGCCCAGGCTGGAGTGTAGTAGTGCAATCATAGCTTACTGCAACTTCCAACTCCCAGGCTCAAGCAATCTTCCTGCCTCAGCCTCCTGAGTAGCTGGAACTACAAGTGCATGCCACTGTGCCCAGCTAATTTTGTTATTTTTTGTAAAGACAGGGTCTCGTTATGTTGCCCAGGCTGGTCTCAAACTCTTGGCCTCAAGCAATCCTCCCACTTTGACCTCCCAAAGTGCTTAAGATTATAGGCATAAGCCACTGCACCCAGCCCAAAAGTCAATACTTAAAAAACAACCTTTAAGTAGCTAGCACTTCAGATGAAAGCATTGGCAAAAATGGCAGTGCTACTCAAACGACAATTTGAAACAAGAAAAAGAGACCACATAAACAGTGCTTACTGCATGCCAGGTATCCAAGTACTTTATATTAACTCATTAAAGCCTCACAGCAGCCCCAGGAGATACATATGATTGCTATCCCTGTTTTAAGGTGAAGAAACTGAGATAAAGGGAGGTTAAACAACTTTCCAAAGCCACACACCTAAGAAGGAGGCAGTATGAATATAGTCTAGCCCTGTGCTGTCCAATAGCAGCCAGCAGTAGCCACACGTGGCTGTTGGACATTTGAAATGTGGTCCCTGGAATATGATGTGCTAGATTTTGAACACAGTGGATTTTGAAGACTGAGCACAAAAAAAAAAAAAAAGAATGCAAAATATCTCAATAATTTTCCCTATTGTTTACATGATGAAATATATTATTAACATTAATTTCACTTGGACTGTTTAAATTGCATTGTGGCTTACACTCTATTCATACTGGAGACTGTAGCTCTCAACTTTTTTTTTTAGACAGGGTCTCGCTCTGTCACCCAGGCTGGAGTGCAGTGGCACAATCTCTGCTCACCGCAACCTCTGCCTCTTGGGCCCAAGCAATTATCCCACGTCAGCCTCCCAAGTACCTGGGACTACAGGCTTGCACCACCACGCCCGGCTAATTTTTCCATTTTTTTGTAGAGATGGGGTTTTGCCATGTTGCCCAGGCTGGTCTTGAGCTCCTGGGCTCAAGTGATCTACCTGCCTCTGCCTCCCAAAGTGCTGGGATTACAGGCGTGAGCCACCAGCCTTTGGCCATCCACTTTTAACCACTCTTCACGGCCTCTCAAAACACAAACTGAGGGCCGGGCGCAGTGGCTCATGACTGTAACCCCAGCACTTTGGGAGGCCAAGGCGGGTAGATCACTTGAGGTCAGGAGTTCGAGACCAGCCCGACTGTCTCTACTAAAAATACAAAAAATTAGCTGGGCATGGTGGTGGGTGCCTGTAATCCCAGCTACTCGGGAGGCTGAGGCAGGAGAATTGCTTGAACCTGAAACGCAGAGGTTGCAGTGAGCTGAGATCGTGCCATTGCACTCCAGCCTGGGCGACAGAGTGAGACTCCAGCTCAAAAACAAAAGCAAAAACTGAGCACCTGCTATATACAGGCCAGGCACTGTACTAAGCGTTTAACACAGATTGATAGATGACGGTCCCAGCAACCCCACTGGAATGACCAGGTCTGGGAAACAGGAAACTACTTATCTCCCTGAGAAAAGCCTGGCTCCCTACTGGGCCTCTCTCAAGTTCCTATTCCTGCACTAAGGGCATCTGGCTAACATCAAAGACACGGTGACTCGGCACTGACACCTCTTTGGAACAGCCATGTTCAAGGCACTGGAAGCATGAACCAGACCTCAGACCTGGACTGGCCCTCCAGGAACCTCAGGCTGGAAGGGATCAGATACCATCAACCAGTGAAAACAGCCCAGGGGGCCCTCAACCAGGCTGAGGTAAGGGAAGGCTTCCCGGAGAAAGCAGCAAATTGAAAAAAGAAGTTCAGAGCAGTGCCCTGCTAAGCCACACTGCAGCCTGAGGCAAAGACAGAATCATCAGTACTGTTCCTCTCTTAATTTAAAATGTTAATGTTTTATATTTTGCTCATCATGGATTTTTGGCATTAATTTTTATTTTTTAAATGGCATTAAATATTATATACCTTGAATACTGACCTTTTTAAAATAAATAGTTATTGCTTTTACATTTTAGTTACCTTTTTTTTTTTTTTTTTGAGACAGGGAAGGTCTCGCTTTGTTGCCCAGGCTGGAGTGCAGTGGCATGATCATGGCTCACTGCAGCCTCAACCTCCTGGGCTCAAGTGATCCTCCCACCTCCCCCTCCCCAGTAGCGGGGACCACAGGATCTCATGACCAAACCCAGCTAATTACTGAGCTTTTTGGTACCCCCTCAAATTCTGCAACAGAGGCAAGTGCCTCACTTGCTCTACCCTAATCCAAGCCCTAGTTTGGAGGTTTAAGCCCCTCAGCTGCTATGACACATCACTGAGTCCTCATCCTCAGGAAGGCAGGGACCTGGCAGAAGGGAGTGTCATCCTGTTGCGACAGCACAGCCAAGAGCTGAGGGGTTTCCCTCCTCTCCACCCTAATGGCCCAATCAGACTTCAGCACCCCCACACCCCCATCCTGCCTCTCCTTCTCTCTCATGTCCCTCCAGCGTCTCTCCACTGTGCCAACTACAGTCCCACCCCCACTCAAAGCCTTTCCATGGTTCCCAGTGCCTTCGAGCACTCCTTGGTCTGTCATTCAACTTCATCCAGCTCTGACGTTTACAGACGAAGAAACAAACACCCACAGGGAGGAAGTGACTTGCTCAAGTTGTCAGTGACATACCCCAACCCCCAGCCAGGCTGGGCTGGCCCTGTCCATGACTTCCTCCATGTCACTTCTCACAGTAGGCACTGGCCTGGCAAACAGGGAGCCCCCAAAGTTGTCTGCTGACAATGAGTGAGTAAACCACATCCTCCCATCTTCAGGTGGCTCCAGGCCAGCTCCTCCAAAAAGTCTGCCCTGACTGCCCCCTCAAGCTCCTAGTCCTCTGAGGCTGAGCCCCATATCTCGGCACTGCTTCTGCTCTCTCTTTGGTTGCTTGTTTTGTGGGGGTCCACCTCCACCCAATCCCCCATGTATCCTGGAGTATCCTGAGAGTCCATACCCCTTCTTATCTCCTCTGCTGTCCACAGTGGTGCCCAGGACCTGGCTGGGCTCACAGGTGCACTCAGTCCCAGTCCAGAGGTAAGGGTCGCCTGGAATCTCTAATCCTTGTCAGCCAGTCCTTCTTCACGTCTGGCTTGAGTACTTCTTGCTGGAACCAAAACTTTTGCCCTTCTGTCCTCTACCTACCATTTCAACCCCAAGGTCAGAGTTCAAATCTCATCACCCCTTCTCTGTCCCAGCCCAGCAACTCCATGGTAATATCTCTACCCACTACTGACTAGTGACCTGTTTCACCGGCCCAGCAAGAAGATGACCCAGAGCCTTAGCCAAAGACAGGCACCCTCCAGCTTCCTTCTTTCCCTAAATGCACACCATTTGGCAACCATGTGCCCAGCCCCTGCTAGATTTTCTCCTTCATCTCATTTGTTCTTTTTTTTTTTTTTGAAACAGGGTCACTCTGTCACCCAGGCTGGAGTGCAGTGGTGTGATCTCAGCTCACTGCAACCTCAGCCTCCTGGGCTCAAGTGATCCTCCTACCTCAGCCTCTCCAGAGTAGCTGGGACTACAGGGGCATGCACCATGCCTGGCTAATATTTGTACTTTTTGTAGAGATGGGGTTTTGCCACGTTGCCCAGGCTGGTCTCGAACTCCTGAGTTCATGCGAGCTTCCCCTCTTGGCCTCCCAAAGTGCTGGGAGTACAGGCGTGAGCCACCGCACCCAGTCCCTCATTTGTTCTTATAACAACCCTAAGGCCTGTGATTCTTCTCTATGTCAATGTCATGGAAGCTGTGTGAGGTAGAAACTCACCAGGTCACCTGCTGGAGCTCACGGGGCCTTCAGAGGACGTGACTGCTTCTGTCTGGTGAAGTAAGGGAGGCTTCTAGAAGGAACCCCTGACTTGGGCCTTGAAGGATAAGTAGGAGGTGGCCAGGTGGAGGCCATTCCAGGCAAAGGGGACTGGGTGTGCAAAGCCCAGGGACAGAAAAGGACCTGGTGAATTTGGTGACAGGAGATGTCAGTGGGGTGGGAACAGAAGATGTTTAGAGAGAAAGGCTCAATGGCTGGCCCTCCGTCACCTGCATAGTCTGCTGACCGTGTGGGTGTGGCTCTCTCTTGAGGCCTCCCTGAGCCTGTTTTGCATTCTGATTTGCATGAGTCAGCCCTGGATCAGGGCAGCCTTAAAGGTCCTAACCCTTTCCACACCCAGCTCTGGAGTCCTCTTGGCCAGGCCGCCTCCCCTGATTGCATCCTCAGCTCCCCTCCGCACAGGCCTCTGCCCTGGGTTCAAGGAAAGACCTAGCCCTATGGGGAGCAAGGAGGGGAGGAAGGCAGGCTAGGGGTCCTAACTGAGGCCTCAGCTTGTCCACCACCACCTCCCTTATACAGCCTCATCCCCTACCCTGGGCCCAGCTGTCCCAGCACAGGCAGGCAGGGCAGCGACCCCAGCATCCAGACCTCAGGAAACTCCTCGGAGCTCCCCAACAGGAACCAAGAACATACACAGCCAGCTCTGGCCAGGCCTGGGTCTACAAACCACACCCCACTGGTACCACAAATGCACACCTCACACTACCTCAAGGGCCACACATCTCCCAGGGCCACACACACCTACCACCCCACCCAATGGCCACACCTCAGATCTGCCCTTTCCCACCACACACAGCTCCTACCAGCAATTCAACTGTGTGCAACAACCCCACAGCCCAATACCCCACCCTTGGCCCCCTCCCCGGCCCAGTCACCAGGTGATACCTCTGCATAGGGCCTCTTCGGTCTGCTGCCCTCCTGGGCCTTCTCCAGGCTCCGCTCACTCAGGCAAGAGTGTTAGAGGCACTTCCGCAGATATGAGGAACTAGTGGGGGCTGGGTTCCCAGCCCAGAGGGTGCAGAAGTGGCCCCCACGCCTCTGCAGAAGCCACCTCCCTCCAGCCCTGCCAGGAAAGGCAGCAGGTACAGCCTTCGAGTGGGCAGCTGACCGATCTCTGGGCCAAGCAGCCTATTTTCCATCTCTCGGGGACTGGTGGCCACCACATAACAGTCTCAGGAAGGCACACTGGGGTCTCCTGTCCTACCCCAGGCCGCATCTCTGCCCTATAACTCTCCCTGGCACCAGGAGATTCCTGTCCTGGCCCATGTGTGGTGTGGCCTGTCTTCTGGGGTCTCCGGAGTGCTGGTGGCTGATGGGGAGCAGCCCCTCAGGGCAGTGAGGACTGAGTGGGACCCCAGAGCCGGGGGAATGAAGAGCTGCCTCAGCTTGCTGGTGGGGAGTTGGGGGTCTATCAGCAATGTCCCTCGGCTCCAGGCCTGGGCCCCCTCCCCACCCAGTATGCAAGGCAAGTCTGGTTCCAGTCCTGGCTCCACCATTTCTTGTCTGAAGCCTGGGGCAAGTCACATCACATTCTGAGCCTCAGTTTCCCCTCCACAAAGTAGAGCTGTCACTCCCTGCCTCCTAGAGCCTGGCACCCAGATGACCATGACACGCCACCGCATGTGTACTGGAGGCCAGCGTGCTCTTCTGCTCACTCCTCTGCCGTCAGGCAGTCACTTCCTGTCCCTAGCCCTAAGGTCTTGGCTAGTCCTGACCCTGGGTGCTAGGCTTGTAGCCAGGCTCTGGGCTAGACTCCCTCCACATCCTGAGGTTCTCGGTTACCCCAGACACCAATGACTACCACAGCCTACCTCCAGCCATGTCCCCCTGCAGAGCTCCAGACCAGACCTGACTTCACGGCATTCTGGACCTCCCCTGGAATGCCCTGGCATGGCACACTCCCATCATACAATGAACTCACCAGCTCCCCTTGGGGACTGTGGGGAGCAGGGGGAGAAGAGCTGTCTCCAACCCAGGTGGGGCCTTTAGGCAAATAAGAAAAAGATTCCTCTTCTTCCAGGAGCCCCACACCAAGGGAAGCAGCTGAGCAAGAAGAGGACAGGCTGGGTTTCAGTCCTCCTTCTTCTGGCCCTCACTTCCCTACACCTGCCAGGCACCTTTGAGCAGTGCACAACACGCACACCCACACACAGTGGACCTGGTGGGAGGCAGGACCTTTTAACAACCTTCCTGCAGCAACCCTACCAGCATCACCCTAATAAAATGCTAAACCACAGTTTTATTAATGACTAAGGGACATGAAAGACCAAGGGACAGTAGGCATTGCTGACCCCACTTTCAGGCCTCACGCTAACTCCAACCCCAATCTTGAAAGACTTTCACTTTCTACAACCTTCATGTCTGCACTGTTTCAAGTTTTCACAATTATCACTTTTATAATTAGAAAAAAATGATAAACATGTTTTAAGTCATTACAATTGAGTTTGTTCCAGTTTGCTCCCCAAAACCATCATTATAAGGTAGCTTTATCATTTAAGTATAACATGCATAGATTACTAACAGAACTATTATAAGAGAAACTGCTAATTTCCTAGGCCATCTGGATGGAAAATAAGAGACTGACACTCAAAGCCCCCTCCCTGCCCCCGACTTACCCTCCCAAGGGTCTAAGACAAAGCTAATCAAATAAGGTCTCCCTCCCAGGCACTGGTGGCCAGCAGCACAGAGCGCAGCCCTCAGACTTTCACATGGGAAATGGACTGAGGCTCATTAATAAACTCGAGACGCCAGGGTCCCCGAGGTTTGTCCTCAAGACACCATCAGACCCCACCCTGGCCCTGACTCTCACCTACCACACCTTAAGCCTCACCCAGGGGCCCCTCATGTCCAAGCCCCAACCCAAAAGAGGGTCAGGTAGGGAAGGAGGTGTGGGATGACTCAGGAATGTCTAACATACCTCACTTGCAAATAAATGAAGCTGAAAGTTAAATGGTTTGGTTTTAGGCTTTGTCAAAAAGCCTATCACATACTATGCCCCTCTGGCCCCACCACATACCCCCGACCCCTAATGGGTCTGGGGACCCCTGCCGCTTCCCCCAACTCCTTCCTGTTTACCATGTTTTGGGCACACCCCTGCCCTGCATCCACACTGCCCCCATTCAACCCAGGCCCCTCAGCTTGCCTGGACTTCTGGGCCCTCACCGCTGCCTCCTGCCTCTGCCCCCTGCAACCAGGACATACTCTAGCCCACCGGGCTCATCTAATACATGGCATAGCTCCTGACCCCAACCCTCCACAGCCTCACCCCAGGACCCTCCCCACTCTCCCAGTCCTCACCCTCGGCCTAGCTCAGGCCCTTCCCACTTAGAAAGGTGACTCAACCAGCCCCACACCTACAGAGACCTGGGGCGCTCCCACCACCAGCAAGACAGGGCTCTGGCCTGGCTCCCTGGCCCTCAGGCACAGACACACTCTACAGGGGCTGGGGACTTCCTGTGGCAACTCCTCCCACAGAGGGCAAGGGGCAGCCTGAGGAGCCACAGGATGACTCCAGGAAGATCCTCCTGTGACCACTGCCCCCAGCGGGAGCAGGAGGGGGACTCCGAACACCATAAATGAGGCAGAAACAGGAAGAGACAGGGCTGACCGCAGCAGGGTGGGAGTGCACAGGGCTGACCACAGAATCACAGGCAGCGGGAGTGGACAGACCCAGTGACACCAGCACTCAAGATACAGACCCTCACCACGTGCCCTGGGGGCCGAGGGCCAGCACCCACCCTGCCCCAAGAGGGAAGGGGAGGCCGCCAACTGACTCCTCTGTGAGCTCACTGGAAACCTAAAGCTCCTGCCCACCAAGGAGGAGGGACTTGGTGGGCTCCTCTGTACCCCAGAACTAGGGGTGCAGGGGAACAGGGACCCAGACCTGCCTACTCTCTAGATGGCCCCTGGAATGCAGAAGACAGAAAATAAGGGGGTCCCTTACTGCTGGCACGTGAAAGGGGAAGCTGCCTGTGTTGGCTGGAGAGGGTGACCACATGGGTGGGGCCGGGACTAGGGTCAGAAGGGAAAGAGGGAGACAGGGGGACCAGCCCCACAGGCTTTGGCCTCCAATTTGATGTGTGACCTCAGTCTCCTGACTATAATCAGACAACAGCTAGGGAAGACTCCCTGACTCAGTCTCCCTCTCGATTCTCCAGCAGGCCCACAGGGAGCCCTGGAACTTGCTCACCTGATCCGGCCACCCCTGCTTGCAGCAACAAAAGGTCGTGTTTATGCAGTGCTTACCGTCTACCCAGCACCACACTAAACATATCACATGGATTGCCTCATAAAATCCTTCCAACAACCTAGCAAGCAGGTGGCTTCAGGCCATGTTACAGATTAGGAAACAGCCTCAGAGAGGTTAAGTAACTGGCTCAGTCACTCAGGAGCCAGAATCTGTATCAAGGGTCCTCTCAAGGGGACAGCGTGAAGACAGGTAAGGCCCAGGGAGGAGAAGGGGAGGTTAAGTGATAGAGGGAGAGGGAGGCTGAGTGCAGACTGAGAAGGGCCTTGAAGGCCATGCTAAGACCCCGATCCTTACTGTCCAGACAACAGGAAGTCATGGAGGACAGCAGGGTGCTCTGGTGATGGAGCACACTGTGACAGACAGGCAGCAGGCAGGGATTCCTCCTGCTGTGGGATTTGGGAATTCAACTAACTTCTCTGAGCCTCAGTTTCCTCATCTGTGTAATGGAATTAGGATAGCTCCACCTTGCAGGCTTGTGAGGGAGGGATGAAGCAGATCTCAAATCTGATCAGTTCTCACTCCCCAGTGACTTGCCACCTCCCTCAGAGTAAAAGCCAAAGCTAGCAGCCGGCCTGCCAGGCCTGTGCAACCTGTCCCTGTGTGCCCCCACTCAACTGCTGGGTCCCGAGCTCCTTCTGGCTGGAATGTTCTTGCCCAGGCATCTCCATGACTCCTCATACCCATTCGGGCACCTCCTCAAATGCAAGGCCTTTCTTCCCTGACCACTCTATCCTAAAAAGCACCCCATTAGCCTCTATCTCCTTACTCTGTTTCCTTTTTCAGCATCCCACTTATCACTACCGGACACTGCCTTATATGGATATTTGTTAAAGTCAGACTCTTTAACTGAGAGGCACAGACTTTGTCTTATTCACAGTTGTATCTTCCATGGCTAGGACAACGTCAAGAAAATGCTCAATCGATAATATTTGTGAAATGTATGAATGGAAATCTACAAAGGCCTGGCTTGCAGGCATATTGAGCAGGCACTCAATATGTGGCACCTTCCAGTGTTTTCAGCCTTTGCTGCCCACCCTTCTGAAGTGCCCCCACCCCCAACCCCCACCTCAAATCCCTCCCCAGGGAGCCTCCTGAGCCACAGCAGCTGTGGCTGGACACACACACGGAGGCAAGAAGAGGGTGGCCAGGGGCAGGGTCTGCAGAGGGTTGGACTGGGAGGCCTTTGGTCAGGGCCTGACCCCAGCTCACCCTGCTCAGGAGGCTTGGGACAGGGGCTGCCTGGAGAGATGGGCAGAGTGAGGGAGAGTTGGAGGAGGCAGGTGTCAAGGTTCAGCCTGGAGGTCTAGGAGTTGGAGATTGACTCTGAGGCTCCCCGGCACCCTCCATGGCAAGGCCTGTCCCTTCTTTTGACCTCTGAGGCTGCCCCAGCACTTCCTGCTGGACCGGCCCCTTAAACACTGCTGGGGATGCCCTCACCCACACAGGGGAAGTGTGACTCTCAGTCCCCCTCAACCATTCCCCAGACCAGGGCAGAACCACCCCAGACTTCTAGGAGTCTCTGAGACCAACCCCCAGCCCTCAGGCAGGGGCTACCTCTCCTGCCTGCCTACCCCTTGCCTGACCCCCCATTACCCAGTGGGGCTCAAGGGGCTTCCACCCACTGGCTCCTGCCACCTGCCCCTCCCCTCTGGTCTCATTTCCTCCACTCTCACGCTCCAACACCAGGGCTTCACCACCAAGCCTTTGCTTACCCGGTTCCCTTTGCCTAGAACATCTTTCTCTACCTCACCCTGCAAGCTCAAGTGCCACCTGCTTGAGGAAGCAGTCTCCGACTCCCACAGTCACAGCCCTGATCACACCAGATGTCACCATCTGTGACTGTGTGTGTCACCATCTGTGACTGTGTCTGTCACATACATACTCTCTTACCCCCAACCCTGGCTGGGTGCTTTCTCAGGCAAGACCAGGGATACCTGTGTCCCAAAGGTGGCACACAGTGAATATCTGTTGACTGAACGAACATTTCCCAATTTTACACATGGAGAGCCAGGCAAATGACAACTTGCCACTGCAAATCAGTGGCCAAAGTGTGGCCAGAACCCAGCCTCCAGCCTCCCAATACGAGGTGCCTCCCATTCCACCCAGTCCCACCCAGTTATAGTTCTACTATAGTTCTACTACCCAGCCCTGCCTTCTCGACCAGTACCACACAACCCAACCACCTGCTCCTTAGGCACTTAGGAACCACCAAATCAACCTTCCACATTTCTAGAAATGAAAGTAAGTCCCAGTCCCAGAAGGGGCAAGAACCTAGCCAGGGCCGCACGGGCAAGTCAGGACCATGACTCAGACCTTGGCCCCCGAGCCTGAGCTCAGATATCTCCAGCAGCCTGTTCCTTGGAAGAACTGGGGAGGGGGCCTCAGGCAACATTAGAGATACTGGAGCAACCTCCCTCCCCCGTCCCCCACATATCTCCAAGTGGGCTAAGCCAGTTCTGCACTGAGAAATGTGGGTTTTCAGGCCACAGGCAGTAGAGGCAAATGAGTGTCCTGGTTCATGTCCGTGGAACAGAAACTGGAACAGAACCACTAGACACCCCCTGGATCTTCAGACTCCCTAGGCTTAGCATGTCCATCTTTAGAGCCGAGAAAGAGACAGAAGGAAGAGAGCAGCCCCAGGCAGAGCAGGGGAGGGAAGCCTTTAGCCAAGGCTCTGGTGCCCCTTCACCAAGCACGGGAGCCGCTACCCCAGAGCTTTCCTGTTATCATCTGGAAAAGTGTCAGTCTCCAACTCTGCTCCTGGAGTGGAAAGGGGTGGCCCATTCTCCCTACCAGGCACACTGTGGCCACTGGGAACAAACTTGCATTTAAGCTGCAAACCCACACAGCAGCCCAAGTTTCTTTCTTTTTTTTTTTTTTTTTTTTTTTTGAGACGGAGTCTCGCTCTGTCGCCCAGGCTGGAGTGCAGTGGCTCGATCTCGGCTCACTGCAAGCTCCGCCTCACGGGTTCACGCCATTCTCCTGCCTCAGCCTCCTGAGTAGCTGGGACTACAGGCGCCTGCCACCACGTCCGGCTAATTTTTTTTTT
This sequence comes from Homo sapiens, assembly GCF_000001405.40. Classification (NCBI taxonomy): domain Eukaryota; kingdom Metazoa; phylum Chordata; class Mammalia; order Primates; family Hominidae; genus Homo; species Homo sapiens. The sequence goes on from NC_000011.10 coordinate 72,745,366, forward strand.
TTTTTTTTTTTTGTATTTTTAGTAGAGACGGGGTTTCACCGTGTTAGCCAGGATGGTCTTGATCTCCTGACCTTGTGATCCGCCCGCGTCGGCCTCCCAAAGTGCTGGGATTACAGGCATGAGCCACCATGCCTGGCCACCCGAGAGACCAAGTTTCAAGTGGGTGAAAGCCTTGCCCAGCTCACACATCAAGGGGTGCAGAACTGGGCCCCTCCTACCCCAACCCATGAGGAATGCTGACCATACCCGCATGGAGTACCCACTGGAGGGATGTGCTGCAGGCTGGGGCTGGGAAGCACGACCCCGCCAGGAGCCTGGCCAGGCAATCTTCCAGGAGACACTCCTGTGTCCCAAAGGGCACCTGTGTCATGTCTCAAAGGTGGAGAGGACCAGGGGCCACACCTGGAATCTTGGCTGTCAGTGCCCTTCTCCTGGACGACTGCCTGGCTGGGCTCCTGGCTGGGTTGTGCTTCTCTGAGGGGCAGAGCTGCTCCTGACCCGCAGCCTCTTGAGTGCAGCTGCTGTGCCCACAGGCCCAGACAGCACGGGAAACAGCTAGGGATGGTAGCTCCTAAGTCCCTCAGTCAAGCCCAGCCTTCTATACCCTAAGGCAGAGCAATACGTCCCCTCAGGCTCTTGATCTCTGTCCACCACCTTCTGCAGAGGCTCCTGAGCCTGGCTCTGACCCTTCAAGGCTTAACCTTGGTCTGCTGAGCCACATCCCATACTGGCCCTGATGGCCAGCAGTGTGACCCTGACCTTGCTCTTTGAATTAGCCAGCCACCAGCCCTCCCCAACCCCGCCCTAGTGTCCACGGGAACAGCCCCACTACAACCCGTGAATGCAGAGGGGGCCTGGCCCATCTCTCCCCACTGCCAAGATAACTGAGTGCCCCTCTGCTACCACCTAGTCTGCAGGGTTCCCAGATTTCTTGAAGGGGAGACAGCCGGGTGTGTGCTGGGGGTGGTAGATGCAGGGAGCACCCGGCACCTGGAGACCAGCTGTGCCTCTGACCCACCAGCCAGCACTGAGAAACTCTCCAGGCCTCAGCCGTCTGCACCAACCAGGCTGAAGCACGGCACATGCCCCAGCCTCAACTTGGGGGTGACCCAGCCCAACTCGAGGCTTTTTAGGCTCTCGGAACCTAGAATTTCGGAAATTCAGAAGCTGGGACTCACAGGCACATAAAACCCTAAAATCCTCGAATCTCACCAGCCTAGAATCTCAGACTCAGAATCTTAAAATTCTAGCTGCTCAGTGTGAAGAGAAGGGAGTGGAGAGGAGTGGAACAGCCCCCTCCCCCCAACCCCCTCCCCCTCTCACCTGCCCAATTTGGTTGGTTTCTGTCCTGACCTGTTCACAACTGGGGGCTGGTAAGCCTGGGGGATCCCCAGAGTCGCTCCTTACTGCCCCTCCCTGAAGCTCCAGGGAAGTTGAGTACAGTAAAGATAAATGCCCAGCCAAAGGTCTCTCACTGAGCTAGAGGCCTGAGGCAGACCCTGGGTTCCTGACTCTGCACCTGACTACAGGCAGACCCCTGCCCTATGCATTATGGGTTGGGGAGGAGAGAGGGGGATGCCCAGGGTGGGGCAGTGCTCGCTGGGCCAGTAGGAAAGCTGGCAGGGGAGACCCTGGCACCTGGAAAGCCGAAATGCAGTGGCAGCTCAGCCTTGCTCCTGGTCTTCTGTCCCGGGGGTTAAGCCACCCCAGCACTGGCCTGGCCAGAAGGAGGCAGGGCCAGCCCAAGCTCCCCCAGGGCCACTGACAGCCAAGATTCCAGGTGTGACCCCTGGTTCTGCCCTGAGAATGGGGATAGAGAAGTGGCCCTCCTGATCTTCTCCCACCCTCTTGCCTTTACCGTTGCCCTCACAACAGTGAGGATAAGGACAGGAGGGAGATTTTAACACATCCCCTCAGGGAGGACTCTCTGATGCCTTAATCTTCCTCTAGGCCCCTCTGACCCTGAGCCCCACACACTGGACCATAGGTGGTCCCTGTCTCTGGGCTCTAGAACCATGTTTCCAGGGTTGTTCAGTTACTGACACCCTGCTGTAGCAAAGCCCCAGCATCCCAACAGGATCAGGTTCCTGGTTTGGTCAGGGAGAAAAGACTTGGACCTTGTAACAAGGCAGTGTGGGCAGGGTCTGAAGGAAGCTCAACACTTCAGGAAGCCCCAACCAGGCCTCAAGCAGAGAGGTAGAATGCAGGCCTCAGAGCGCCCTGCCGGGGTTCCAGGGCCTGCTCTTGCTTTCCTTGGCTGAGAGACTGCAGGCAAGTCACCACCTTCTACTGGCCTTAGTCTCATCAGCAAAATGGGGTCTGGGAGAACCACTGTATGAACAAGAGCCAAGGTGGATAGGACAATAGCAGAAACCAAACCTCCACAAGACGCTTATCCCAGGGCCAGGGCCACGGGGGCTCAGGATTTGACGGCAATTAGTCCCGTCTGCAAGCAGGATACCCCTGTACCCTTGAGGGCACCCCAGATCCACAGTTGGTCACCAGCAATGTCACCTGACCAGGTGGCCCTCTAGTCTCTGCCTATCACTGACTAGGCATTCCCAGGGTAGGACTGGGTTTAGATCTCCTCTGTCTGCAATGCCTCCCAGTGCTTGTGGTTTTCACTGTGAAGCAATGGAAATGTAGATTCCCAGCTATTCTATGTAATGGATGATCTTGGACAAATCACTTAACTTCTTGGGACCTCAGTTTCCTCATGTGGAAAATGGGAATGGTGCCTACCTCAGAAGACTATTTTGAGGATTAAATGAATTCAGTATATAAAGTGCTTAGCACACTGCCTGGCACATAGTCAGCTTCCAAGAAACAATAGCTACTGCTACTATTATTACTACTATTAAATAATGATTTGTTGACTGGGCCCAGTGGCTCACACCTGTAATCCCAGCACTTTGGGAGGCCAAGGCGGGCGGATCACGAGGTCAGGAGTTCAAGATCATCCTGGCCAACATGGTGAAACCCCGTCTCTACTAAAAATACAAAAATTAGCTGGGTATGGTGGCGCGTGCCTGTAATCCCAGCTACTCGGGAGGCTGAGGCAGGAGAATCGCTTGAACCCGGGAGGCGGAGGTTGCAGTGAGCCGAGATCATGCCACCACACTTGAGCCTGGGCTACAGAGCAAGACTCCATCTCAAAAAAAAAAAAAATGATTTGTTATTGAACTGGTCACTTAACTCCACGTCCCCTCCCAGCCACTCTTTGACTGTCCCAGTGGCCTAGGACAGATAACCTAACTATGGGACAGGCTCTTCCCCTCTGTACTACGGCCCAAGGATGAGAAAAAGAGACATTCCACAGGAAGACCATGTGGAACACAATCCATGCATTGCCCCCCACCATCTTTCACATCTGGGGTCATCTGCCTCCAGGTGGGACTGTCCTCCTCAGATCCCTGGTTGGAATGCACATACAGTCTGGGGGCCTGGCCAGGGGTAGGGGAAGGTGGAAAAAATGTTATCTCTGATCAGAGCTGGGGACACTGGGGTTGATTCAGCGGCAGCCTCTGAGTTTTGTGGGGCATGCACATTGGATGGGGATGTCTCCCCACCCACCAAATCCTCATGCTGTTCAGAACCCTGGAGTGGCCACCCTTAGCACAGAACTCCTTTCTAAAACATAACACCTCTCTGCACAGGGCTGTGGAGGGTGCTGACTCTAACCTGCCCAAGACCAGAGAAAGAAATGAGAAGAGCTGCCCGAGGGACTGGACTCTGCTCCAGAGCGGGGACTGGGTCAGCTTAGCTGGGGTCACACACTGTTCAAGGCTGCCTCGGTCACCACCCGGGGAAAGCACCTCACTCAGCCCTGGGAGGTGCTCAAAGAGTAAGATCAAAGTGAAGTCAGACAAAGGAGGCAATGAACACCTGGGTCCTGACCCTGTCTCTCTACCACCCTCCCAATGTATTCTTACACAAGTTACTTAGCCTCTCTGTGCCTCAGTTTCCTTATCTGTAGAATGTCACCTAATTTCTTGGGTTATTGGCAGGGTGGAATTGGTTAATATGGATAAAACTTTACAACAGTGCTATAGGCATGTTTGCTGACCTCATTCTCACTGATGTTATTACTCAGCTTTCTCTAAGGCTGTTACTTCCACTATGATATTGGAGGGTGATGGTCGTCTTATGCTCTTATGCAATTATGTAAATCATTAGATGACAAATGTGCAGTGTCCAGCACACAGCAGGTACTCAACAAAGAATGTTCCCTCTCCCAGCCGGGAGTGGTGGCTCACACCTGTAACCCCAGCAGTTTGGGAGGCTGAGGCGGGCAGATCACGAGGTCAGGAGATTGAGACCATCCTGGCTAACAAGGTGAAACCCCGTCTCTACTAAAAATACAAAAATTAGCCAGGTGTGGTGGCGGGCGCCTGTAGTCCCAGCTACTCAGGAGGCTGAGGCAGGAGAATGGCATGAACCCAGAAGGTGGAGCCAAGATTGTGCCACTGCACTCCAGCCTGGGCAACAGAGCAAGACTCCGTCTCAAAAAAAAAAAAAAAGTTCCCTCTCCCTCTCTCCCCTTTCCCCCAGAGAGGCCAGACTAGGAGACAGAACCTGTCCTGACCCCCACCAGGGGTCTCTGTGTGATCCTACCCTCATCTCTAGCTCTTGGCCTCAGTTTCCCCATCTGTGAAAGAAGCTTTTAGGCCAAATGGTCTCTAAGTGTCCATGGCCATATCTGCTCCAGCCTGTCCCCCACCCTTGTTCCCTCCTTCCTTCCCCATTTCCTACTGCATCCCCTCCTGATGTGACAGAACCCTTGGGAGCCTGAAGCGGGGTAGAGGGGACAGCTGGTGAACAAGAATCACCAGCCCTCAAGGAGCCCAGGGCCCGGTCCAGGCCCCCAAGGGTTAAGACCTAGAGTGAGGGGCGGGGGGCCAGGGTCAGCGCTGGACAGGCGGGCCTGGAGCCCAGGGCCTGCCTCCCCTCCCCCTACCCTGGGAACAGAGGCCACTTGTTTGGGCAGTGGCGGGTGGCTTTGAGCTCAGCCAAGGGAGAGTTGGGTGGGAAGGAGAGAGGGCTCCGGAAAATGGAAGGGACTCCCCACCTCCAGCCGATGCCCTAGGCCTGGTCCACCACTAGCCCCCGATACTCTCAGACACCCCCCCAACCCCTCTAAACTGACCCCTTCCCCTGGGTTCTCTCTTTCTTTCATTCAAACTCTCAATGCTGGAGACAGGACTTAGCAGATAGGCCTATTGCCCCAGCATCTTAGCAGATAGGCCTGACTATTGCCCCAGCACCGTCTCTCTTTGGGGCATGAGGCCAGGGCTGATCACTCCATCCTGCAGATGGGGAAATGGAGGCTCTGAGGAATTTGGGGACTTGTAGAGTCACATAGTGATTGGTGGCTGCACAAGGACTCGGGGCCCCAGGTCCCATGATCCCCATGGCTCTGCAGGCCCCATCCCCACAGAGCTCCAAGGAGACCCTTCCTAAGCTGTGCCATTACACAAGACTGAAGGCTGGGCAGGAAGGAGGGGCAACAGCAGCCCATCTCTGAAACCTGAAGTCCCAAAGGACCTGGGGATTTGAATGGGGAGGAAGCTTCTAGAGGGTTGGGAGGAGGATTAACAATCTGTACAAAAAGCTGAGGCTGGATGTGTGAAGCATGGCTGGAGCCCAGGTGGTGGGGGTATAAAGCTGGGGTTGAGTAGGAGGCTTGAATGCAAAACAAAACCTGGGGGCCATCAGGGCTCTGGTGGCCTCTGCCCCCTCCACCTCATCAGTCACCGGTACTCTGCCTGGGACACCCCCTTCCTAAACTACTCCAATATGCAAGTAGCCAATGGGGAGGCAAGGTCCCCAGGCCCAGTCCTGACAATCCCCAGCCAGGAATGGGACACAGGATGAGTTCTCTCTACACCTCTGCCAGCCACACCCACCTTTCTGCCATTCCTCAGACACACCATCCAAATTCCTGACTTTGCACAAGCTACGCCCTCGCCTTTGGAGGGTCCTTATCCTTGTAAATTGCCACTTAACTGCCAAGCCCATTCCAGTCATCCCCTCCCCTGGGGCCTGCACCTGTCCACACCTGTCTTCAAGGCTCTGCTGGGCTCCTTCTACCCTGTGATGATCTTGCTGGGCAGTCTCTCCCAGCCTGGCCTCTGGGGACTCTCCGCGAACAGGTATCATGAGTGCCTCAGTCTGGGACCCTGGGACCCACCAAAGAGTCAAATCCTTCCGAGTACCCCCAGGTATCTGGCCCTGAAGCACCCCCCTCCCACCTATCTGGGATCAGGGAAGGCTCCCCAGGATATGGGATGTGGGGGAAGGGACGGTATATAGCAGAAACCACAGCGTGATGGCTTCTGGCCAGATTCCCCCCCTCCCCGCCGGCCCTGCACCAAACACCCATCCCCTGCCCCCAGGCTGCACCCTAAGCCTGCTCTCTCCAGGCCCAACCACCCCACTCCCAGCGTGACCCCATTCCCTGAGCACATACTTTCTTTCACCAGCAACTGGGCCAGGTAGGGGCTCTGGGGAAGCCATGCCCCATTTACTGGTGGGGAATTGAGATGCAGAGACCGGAAGTAGCCTGCCCAAGGTCACTGGAGCCCCAGGCCCAGGGCATAGGGTCGTACAGATCTCCAGAAATGTAAAGGTCTCAGCGGCCAACGAGGTGGGAGCCTTCACTTCACAGATGGGAACCCCAAGGCGCCCGAGGGCGGCTGACTCCAGAGACCCTTCACGCCAAAGGGCTACGGGCTGGAAGCCCCGGGTCCCGCTGGTTCACCCCCCTTCCCTACCGTCTCTGGCCCGCTGGCTTATCCTCAAGAGGCGACCCCCCCATCACGCCCAAAAAGGTAAACAGACAAGATGACCCGGGGAAGCAGAAGCAGCGCGCGGCCTCGGCGTTCCTTTCTGCAGAATGGGGAAACTGCAGGCCAATGTGGCGAGGGGCCTGCAGACGGGGAGGCTCCGGCAGCCGCACTGACCTGTTTTGAGTAAAGACTCCACGCGGGGACCAGGCGTACCGGCGCCGCCACCGACTTACACCGCCACCGCCAAATTGCAGCAAGGGGCCGGGCGCGCCCACCCCCCCGGGCGCTTCCGCCCGCCCCACGTGACTCCCGGGGAGGGGAAGGTGGGGCTGGGGCAGGGCAGGGCAGGGCCCCGCCCCCTCATCGGCCCCTCCCCCCGCCTAGTCACGGTCCTGGAGTTGGTTGGCCTGGCCCGCCCGCCGGACCCGTCGGTCTGTGTCTCTCTCCTGCCCCTCTAGCTGCTTGCGGGTCTTCCGACTGTCTCCTGAGGCTCAGGTCTAACCCCCGCCACCTCGCCCGCTGAGTCCACCTCTCCCTGAGTCTCCCTGCTCTCGCCACCCCTCTTCTGGTGAGTCTGCCCTGACATACACCCCACCCACAAGAGGGCCACACCCCCAGGGGGATAGGAGGCAGTTGAAGGCCGTCAGTGGTGCCTGACCACCTCCTCTAGGAAATCCTTCCTCCACCACATTCTTCAAGGGTATCTCACTTCCCTCCCTGGGTGCCCACAGGCAGGGTTGTGGGGAAGCTACCCACCCAGCCACACCTCCCAAGGATCCCTCAGCGGAAGGCTGCAGCCTGAGGTTCCAGCACCCACACCTAGAGAACAGGAGATTCCCACCCATCCTCCCAGCACATACACAGATGAGGGTACCAAGCTTGGCAGACATTTCTGGGTCCTGTGTCCAGAACACCTCCGGGGCCAGCCACGCCAGAGACCTTCCCTGGGCTTCAATTTCTTTATATGCACAAAGGGTATATTTGGAAGAACAGATCTCACATTGCGGGGGATGAGGGTTTACCCCCTGAGAAGAGGAAAGTGTCATTAATTGGAGCACCTACTGCATGCTAGTCCCAGTGCTGGGCAATTTATTCCTTTTATCTCAATCCTTACATTCTGCTTGATGGCAAAAATTATCATCCCAGGTTATGGGTTAGGAAATAAGGCTCCAAGAAGTCTGAGGGCTTGCCCAAAGTTACAAAGCCAGTGTTGGGCAAAGCTGGGAAGCAACCCATTTTTATGAGTTCTAGAATCTCCTGCCTGCCCCCCACTGGCCATTCACCCTGTCCCTCTGGGAAAGAGTTGACTGAGTAGACCGTGTCTTCTGGTGGTAGGGCTAAGGCAAAGGAGCTTTCCGGGAGGGGAGAACAGGGCCAGACCTTGCGGAGAACTTCCGGGCCCCAAGTTCATATGGGGTCAAAAACACTGCAGAGGAGCAGAGCATAGGCCCCTCCTCTGGTCCTGGCAGCAGGGGTGTCCCTTGGGCAGCAGAGGGCACCTGGGGGCCACAGATCACAGGGGAGGCCCAGGCGTCCCTCTAGACTTCAGACCAGCGAGGTGCAGCACAGGGTGAGAAGGCTGGCATCTGACCACTGGCAAGGGGATAGGGGGTCTGGGGACCCTACCATTTCTGTTAACACAGTCCTGAGGTCTTCAAAATGACCTAGGGAGGGCGTGAATCACCAAGCCTGGTCCCCACCAACTGCACTGGAATCTGAGGCCCCTCACCTGCACCCTTGACCTCCCTCCAGGGTATGCTGCCCCAGCCTCAGCTCTGAGACCCACAGCCCTGTGGCTTGAGACCCACGGACCCCTCCACCTCCCTTCTGGGATGACAGGAGTGTCAGACCCCAGTCCATAGGTTGGACCCAAAGGGCCTTGGGCCGAAGGACACAGAGTAGAACCTCACCCTCTGACTCCTGACCCAGGGTCTCTGTCAAGGCCTGCTCCTTCCCTTAGAGCAGAGGTCCCCAACCCCTGGGCCACAGACTGGTACTGGTCCTGTCAGGAACCTGTTAGGAACCAGGCTGCACAGCAGGAAGTGAGCAGAGGCTGAGCTAGCATTACCGCCTCCTGTCAGATCTGCAGCAGCATTGGATTCTCATAGGAGGGAGAACCCTATTGTGAACTGCGCATGCGAGGGATCTAGGTTGTGCGCTCCTTATCAAAATCTAATGATAAATGTGATGCACTTGAATCATCCCAAAACCAATCCTTCCCCAATCCTGATCCATGGAAAATTTGTCTTGCACAAAACCAGTCCCTGGTGCCAAAAAGGTTGGGGACCGCTGCCTTAAAGCAGTGAAAAAGAAAGCAAATAGCCTGGCGTGAATGCCAAAATGACCGCTCAACAAGGACAGCTGGATAGATACGGGCAGAGAATGGAACAGAGTATGGACAGAAGGGGGGCAGTGATAAACCCCGTCTCCTCCCCGCTACACAATGGGAAATGAGGAGATGCTGGAAGGATCAACGGCCGGATGATCAACAACCTTAACAAAATTAAGGGCAGACGCAGGGGACCGCGGCAGCGGCCATGAGGCAGGTGGGAAGCAGGCACAGTGATGAGCCGGCTGAGGCTGTGGGATCGTTTATTGGGGCTCTGTCCAGCCAGGCTGCAGCACCCGCCTGGGCCTGGCCCGGTGCCACCAGGTGCCGGGTGGGGGAGGGGAGAAAGTGCAGGAGCGGCCGCCGCCCCAGGGCTCGCCCGGTCCTGTCTCCGTCCCTGAAGCGGTGCGGCGCTCAGGTGAGCGAGGTGTCGTCGTCGCTGCCCTCGCCGCCCGCGCCGCCCATCCGCTCCTCTCTGCTCTCGGCCACCGCGCTCTCGTCGATGTTCTCCAGTGAGTCCGCATGCTGCACCGACAGCTCCGACAGCGCCAGGCTCGGCAACGGGCTCTGCTCCGGGTGCAGCCACGGCTTGAAGTGAGGCAGGTGCTTCTGTTTCCACTCGGGGTACTTGAGGCACGCCTTGTACATCTTCTTCATGGCCTGTGGGCCCGCCGCCCCGCCGGGTCAGGGGGTGGCTAGGGGGCAGGTCTTCTCCACACCCCCCTCCAGCGGCTCAGCCCCCAGCATCCTGACTGGCTCCCTTTCAAAACTTCACTCCTCAGCCCTACTTGCCCTCCCTGGGCCCTAGGCTCCATTCTCCATTCTTTTTTTTTTTTTTTTTTTTTTGAGACGGAATCTCACTGTGTGGCCCAGGCTGGAGTGCAGTGGCATGATATCGGCTCACTGCAACCTCTGCCTTCCAGGTTCAAGTGATTCTCCTGCCTTAGCCTCCCGAGTAGCTGGGATTACAGGCACCCACCATCACACTCAGCTAATTTTTGTATTTTTAGTAGAGACAGGGTTTCACCATGTTGGCCAGGCTGGTCTTGAACTCCCGACCTCAGGTAATCCACCTGCCAAGGCCTCCCAAAGTGCTGGGATTACAGGCATGAGCCACCACGCCTGGCCCTCAGGCTCCAGGCTTGACTCCACCCACCTCATTCCATAGTCCTCTTTCCAGTCTTCAACACCCCTCCCCAAAATCCCAAGGCCACTCACCTTGGGAGCCAGGAACTGAGAAGATTTATTCACCACCCACTTGGGTAAGGAGCCTGTGAGGGCAGGGAAGGGAGGAAGCAGCCTCAGGGACCCAGCCCCTCCGCCCCTGACAAAAGCCCCACCCTCTGCCCAGAGCTTCCAGGGAGGCCACTGTCTTCCCCATGAGGAGGAGGTGTGTGAGGCAAGTCCTACAAGCCTTTACCCTCACTCCCTTCCACCTCAGACCGAAGTCCTCAGGCTTAGCTCTGTCCCCCACTTTCCCTCTGCCCAGCCTCAAAGATTACGTGGAAGAAAACCACAGGGTCCTAGGTAAGCACAGGCTATACATGGGTGGAAACTCTGACCCACCCTGCTGCACCTGCTGCCTCACTCAATCACACTGACATCCCTTCTCAACCTAACCTCCCTCCCAGGAATGCCCCTGACGCTCAGCCCCTCCCCTGCCTGTCCTTCCAAGTCCTCCCCTGACCACACAGGCCTCTGGCTGAGCACCCCAGCCTGGCCTGACCTGGAATCCACTGCCCAGCTCTCCACCCTATCTCATTCCCAAGTGTCCACTCCACCTCTGACACCCAACACAATGAGGTGCCGGGGGAGTGCTAGGCCTGGACCACTGTGCGCTCTGGGGCTTGAAGCATTTCCAGGCAAGGATGCTCAAGGCTTCCCCATCCTCTAGTCATTCACTCACTCACTCACTCACTCACTCCATGTTCACTGTGACACCCACCCTGGGCCAGCCCTGGGGACCCAGAGAGGAACTCACTGGGGGCCCAACAGGAGCCGACTGTTCTACTAGAGGGGAATGGACTACAGAACAGGGAGCCAGTGACTCCCCTGAGTGTCAGGGATCAGGAGGTGACACCCACAGCACCCCTGGAGGGGCGAGGAGGGGAGGCTTCGGGGAAGGGCTGCCTGGGCACAGAAGTGGGGATGGGTGAGGTGTGAGAGACACCAGGAGACCTGGGACAGGGCTTAGGCTTTTCTTGGAGGGCAATGGAGAGCCACAGAGTAACTTCAAGCAGATGAGAGTCATGAGGAGATAAGTGTTTTAGAGAAATTCCTCTGGCCGCTGTTATACACAGACAAGGTAGTTGGTATGGAGAGAAATGCCAGACTCAGGAACTGCCGAGGAGGAGGCAGAATCAATAAGAATCAGTGACGGGGGCTAAGCGCGGTGGCTCACGCCTGTAATCCCAGCACTTTGGGAGGCCAAGGTGGGTGGATCACAAGGTCAGGAGTTCGAGACCAGGCTGGCCAACATGGTGAAACCCCATCTCTACTAAAAATACAAAAAGTTAGCTGGGGGTGGTGACAGATGCCTGTAATCCCAGTTACTCGGGAGGCTGGGGCAGGAGAATCATTTGAACCCGGGAGGCAGAGGTTGCAGTGAGCCGAGATTGCACCATTGCACTCCAGCCTGGGAAACAAGAGTGAAACTCTGTCTCAAAAAAAAAAAAAAAAAAAAAATCAATGGCTGGATTTGGCTGAGGAAGAGGGAGTGACCCCAAATGATGGCAGGTTCTGGGCATGGGTGACTGAAAAGTGGAGACTTAGGGCAAGGGGCAAGTTAGGAGGAAAGATGGCGAGTTCCCCACTGGACACAACGAGGCTTAGGTGCCTGGAAGACATCCGAAGGGAGATGTCCAGGTGGCCGATGGCCACAGGAATCTGAATCTCAGCTGAGAGAGACATGGCCACTTGTGACAGAAGCCACAGGGGTGGCTGAGCCATCCCCAGGGAGAGAAGACTAAGGCCTAGAAAACCCAGGCATCCAGGACAGGCAGAGGGAACAGCCAGTGAGCAGGGAACAAGGCAGAGCATGGGGACGGCAGAGCCCAGGAAAAGTGCTCCCAGCTTCATCAGTGGGGCAGTGGCACCTCCCTGGCCCACTCTTTTCAAACCACTGTAAAGTCCCAAGCCTTGGTTCAAGGAAGGCTTTGGATGGAAATGCCCCAAAATGCAAAACAGCTCCTAACAGATGCCCTTCTGGATCCCTAGTAGATCAGGCCCCACCCCTGTGGTATAGGGAAGGATCCCATGATAGGCTGCCAGGGCCAAGCCCTCACCTTTGGGGTCCACCTGGGCCAGGTAGGTGATGACGCAGCTCTTGGGCCCTGTGCTCTGGATGAGGTAGCCCGTCTGGATGGACACAGCTCGGACCAAGTCTTTCCGAGGTGGGTATTTCTGGGGATGGAAGGCACAGGGAGGTGAGACTCGGGGTGGGGGCAAAGAAGATGTTTTTGTGAGTATACACAAACGCGCACGCGCACACACACATACAGTTAATTCACATGCCGTGACATCTGTTACAGATCAGTCCTGATTCTGGGTGCAGAGAAAGGGAAGAACCAGAGTAGGTCATCCTAGCCCCTCTTGAAGCTTTTCCTGTTCCCCTCAGAAAAGCCCCCAGTCTGGGGTCAGGGCTCATGAGCACATATGGGCACTCACAGACACACACACTCACCCTTGCCCAGGCCAGCTATACCTGCCTGTCCTTGCCCAGGGAGATCAAGGTGGCTTAGCCTCAGGGAGGACCAGAGGACCCTGCCTCTCACCTCTTGTTCCTCATTTCCCTGTCCCAGAGCCCAACCAATCGAAGTCAGCCCATCCCACCCACTTGCCACAGAGGTGGCCACACTGCCCTCTCCTGATCTGCTCAAGAGACCCAGCAGGGAGAGAGGAGCCATTATCCTCACTGTACAGGAAGGAAACTGAGGGCCAGTGGGCCCATGCCTGCCCGAAGTCATATTGAAGTCATGGTGGCAGCCTCAGCCTTGCGCTGCCTGACCCTCTCCCCTGCTCCACCGCAGGGAAGGCAGGTTGACTCACGGGATGTTTGACTGAGTAGTTCATAATGATGTAATCAGCGCCCATGGGGAGCCAGGAGCGGAGGGTGATGACATCACGGTTCTTCAGGGGCTTGGGACACCTCCCTGTGGGGGGCAAGGGACAGTTCAGCCAGACCACTGGTCCACCTGCCTACAAGGGAGGGTGTGGCAGAGGCCAGAGATGCAGGGATGCCTAATTAACTGCCAGCTCTCCAGTGCAAAGATACACCTCCCTCCCAGACCACAGTCCCACAGCTGGAGCCAGAAAAGAGACAGGGCAAGACCTGTCCCTACTGTCTCCAGCCAGCCCTGCTCCTTACAGCCTCACATAGCCCTTACATTGTTGGCCTGGCTGGTTTGTCTACGTGAACGTGAGTGTACAAGAGAAAAACAGTATGAGTGTGCATGAAAATGTGTGCCTGGGACTATGTGGCATGTGGGTGGGGGCTGTGTGCCTGATTGAGTGTATGCCTATGTGTGTATGTATATACGTGAACATGTGAGTGCATATGTATTTGTAAGTGTATGGGTGTGTGCCTAAGGGTCTAGGAGTGGACAGGGAGGGCAGCTCTATCTCTCAGCACTCAAGTCTCCGAGCAGCTTGGTCATGTGAGTAACCACAGGAGGGAGGGGGGAAGAGGAGGCTTGGTGGGAGGCCTGGATGGAGGCCAAGGGGACTGGGATCAGCGTGCTACGCCTGCTCACAGGAGTAATAGCCCACGTCAGCGTTGACTGTCAAGCGGGCGATGTCAAAAGTCTCAATGACGTTGCTGTCCCATTTCTTGCGGTACTCAATGTCGTGTAGGACGTCGTAGAGTGTCTCGGCTGGCACATCACAGCACTCCATCCGGCACTGCAGACAAGATATATGGGTTGTCAGGATCATATGGGGCTCAGAGCCTTGGCCAGGGGACCAGAAGGCAGACAGGCAGAGGGGGAGGAAGAGAAAGAGGACAGCAAAGAACAGGGGCCTCTGAAACCAGCATGGACTTCCTTCTTGCCACAAGCCCTGTCCAGCTCCCCAAAAAGCCACCTGTGCCAGGAGACAGACAGCCTCTGTATCCAGAGACCATCTCCCCCGACTCAGCCCAGTCTCCTCCTCCAGGAAGCCTTCCCAGCCAGACCTTCTGGGCTCCCACACAATGCATCTCTATGTCTGTGCCCTCCCAGACCCCTGTGAGCTCCTCGTGGGCAGAGGCTCATGGTTGCTTCAGCCTGGAGCCTGGAATAGCTACATGTTAAATGAAATGAAAGCATAAATGAAAGTCGAATGCCAAAGTGGATGATTTATTTCCTCCCTGGTACTTATCACGCGGCCATACCACCTGTCCTCTTATTTGTGGTTTGTTTGTTTGTTTTTCCTTCAACAAACATCTTTGGATTTTTTTTTTCTTTTTTTGAGATGGAGTTTCGCTCTTGTCACCCAGGCTGGAGTGCAGTGGCGCGATCTTGGCTCACTGCAACCTCTGCCTCCCGGGTTCAAGTGATTCTCCTACCTCAGCCTCCAGAATAGCTGGGATTACAGGCACGTGCCCAGCTAATTTTTGTATTTTTAGTAGAGATGGGGTTTCACCATGTTGACCAGAATGGTCTCAATCTCTTGACCTTGTGATCCACCCACCTCGGCCTCCCAAAGTGCTGGGATTACAGGTGTCAGCCACCACACCCGGCCTGGATTTCTTTCTTTTTTTCATTCATTCATTCATTCATTTATTGAGACGGAGTTTTGCTCTTGTTGCCCAGGCTGGAGTACAGTGGCGTGATCTCGGCTCACTGCAAGCTCTGCCTTCCGGTTTCAAAGGATTCTCCTGCCTCAGCCTCCTGAGTAGATGGGATTACAGGCACCTGCCACCACTCCCGGCTAATTTTTTGTATTTTTAGTAGAGACGGGGTTTCACCATGTTGGCCAGGCTGGTCTCTAACTCCTGACCTTGTGATCCACCTGCCTCTGCCTCCAAAAGTGCTGGGATTACAGGCATAAGCCGCCGCGCCCAGCCTGGATTTCTTACTGTGTATTAGCCTTGCCCTCAAAGAGCTTTCCATCTGGGTAGAAGACGGCCAAGGACACCTTGTTTTATTTAACCCCCTCACCAACAACTCTGTCAGATAAGAAATCCAAGGAGGAACTTGAGGCTCAAAGAGGTTAAGTAACTCGCCCAATGTCACTCAGCTGGTAAGTAGCAGAGCCAGGATTTAACCCAGATCACATGTCTGGAAAGCAAGTAAAATCAGAACGAGGTTTCCCTAGGTTTGCACTCAGTGAGATGAAACTCAATATCCTTGTTCTGTGATTTTTTTTTTTTTTTACCCAAGTGCCCTATCCCCAAGATCAAGTTCCTCTCAGCAAATGGACAAGTTTTCTTGTGTAGTTTAAAAAGATCTCCCAGAACTGGCATTTAGACAGTGCCAAGGGAACCCTCACATAATACTTTTCCACTCACAAGAGGAGATAAGCAACCATATGAGGGAGAGGTCACACTGTCTTCCCCCTCATCCCAGAATAGGCCTTGGCCCCACTAATGGTGGTGGGATGCCGCAGGAAGGACACACCGACACCTGCTAGCTATTCTAGGCACCAAGAAACCCATCACGCCTTGGATATAACTTCAGTTTACAGAAAATACAGAGGACAGAGGAATGAGCTAAGTGACACCACATGAGAATGCAACCAGACAGAGCCAGACAGTGAATCATTCCACGGGACTCCTGGCCCAGGCTCTTCTACTGGTCAACGTAAACAAAGGGGCTGGGTGGGACTGACTGGCAGGACATAACAACCACATGTAAAGTGTGTCTCTGCATTGCAAACTGATTTGGACACACCATCTATAAAGGGGATTTTTGGGACAACTGGAGAAAAGTGAACATGATCAGAGTATCAAATGCACTGAAAATTTACAGAAACAAAATGGTGGAAACTGCTGCCTAAAAAAAGGTTACAAAATAGGTTGGGCGCGGTGGCTCATACCTGTCATCCCAGCACTTTTGGAGGCTGAGACGGGCAGATCACTTGGGGTCAGGAGTTCGAGACCAGCCTGGCCAACCATCTCTACCAAAAATACAAAAATTATCTGGGCGTAGTGGCACATAACTGTAATCCCAGCTACTCAGGAAGCTGAGGCAGGAGAATCGCCTGAATCTGGGAGGTGGAGGTTTCCGTGAGCCGAGATCATGCTGTGTGCTCCAGCCTGGGTGACAGAGCAAGACTCCATCTTAAAAAACAAACAAAAAAAAAGCAGCATAACCTCAATTGGGGGAAAAAAAATATACGCATAGAGGAAGCTCAGGAAGCACAATTGCTAAGGTGTTAACAGTGGAGATCTCTAAATGATAGATAGGAATGTGATGGTTTCATTTTGCTTGTCTGTATTTCTTTTTCTTTTCTTTTCTTTTTTTTTTTTTTTTTTTTTTTTTGAGATGGAGTTTCGCTTTTGTTGCCTAGGCTGGAGTGCAATGACACGATCTTGGCTCACCGCAACCTACGCCTCCCGGGTTCAAGTGATTCTTCTGCCTCAGCCTCCTGAGTAGCTGGGATTATAGGCACCCACCATCATGCCTGGCTAATTTTTGTATTTTTAATAGAGACGGGGTTTCACCATGTTGGCCAGGCTGGTCTCAAACTCCTGACCTCAGGTGATCCTCCCGCCTCGGCCTCCCAAAGTGCTTGGATTACAGGTGTGAGCCACTGTGCCCGGCCACTTGTCTATATTTCTTATTATCTAACATGTATAGTACTAATTCTGAAATAATGAAAACAATTTGGAAAGGTCCCCCAGCAATACTGACAGGTGCACCCACCATGTGCCAGGTATTACACTAAGTGCTTTATACACATTATTTTATTCTTACAGCAGCGCTCTGGGATATTGGCCCCATTATAGGATTAAGAAAAACAAGGTTCAAGGACAGACTCGAGACTGCAATATTGTTTGTGTCACCCTAAACAATTCACCCTCCCTTTCTACCCCATTTACCTTTCTGCTCTATAATGGGGCATAACTAGATCCAACCATTTAATCAGCAGCCCCCAGCTCCAGCCCTGTACTGAGCCCAGAAGAGTCAGAGATGAATTCGAGGCCTGTCTTTGAGAGGTCTGCAGTGAAAGGAGGAGCCCACCTTGGAAATGGGGAGATGTCCTAAAGTGCTCATTGGGGGCATAAGAAGGAAATCAGCTCCATGGGCTGGGTCGGGGGATCAGGCTTCATGGAGAATCTCAGTGCAGGAGGTAGGGGTTTGCCAAGTGCCCCTGGCAGAAAGAACAGCCAGCCAAGGTGCAGAGGCAGGCAAGAGTGTGGCCTGTGGGCAGTGAATGAGTTCCATCTGGCTCAGTCTCCGTGGTGTGGTATAGCCTGCTACTCAAAAGGTCCCTGGTTCTAGGTCTTCTTGGAAAAATGGGTGATTCCAGGGCTGGGTCAGAGAAAGTATAAGATGAGCATGGAACATCTTCTTGTGCCAGGAAGTAAGCAAATACTCAAAGAATGATAGAGATTTTGGACACCGGAACCAGCTTGAAGGGCTCTTCCCCTGGCACAGTGGCCAACTCTTCAAGGTTTACCGAGGACTTCCCCAGTTTTACCACTGCAAGTCTCACATCCTGGGAAATCCCCCAGTCCCAGGCAAGCTAGGACAGTTGATCACTCTACCATGGGCTCAATCTGAGATAAGCTGCATATTAAACTCAATAATGACCATAACTGTAGATATTCCATCGAATAAAATAGGAAACCAAAGTCTATACAGGTATGAATAAACAAGTAAATGGAATGTTTGATGAGGAATGGGGGATTTACATAGTTTTAAAGTAACTTCCCATCAAAATACTTATTAATTACAAAGGGAAAATTAGTCACTTCATAGTAGAGAAGCCTGGCAAATAGCACCTTAATCAAGTGATCAAAGGGAATCTCATTAATCACAGGACAAGTTGCTGTCAGGTGTTGCCTGGTAGGACACAGTGAGAGGAATACAGGTATCACTTCTGTGCTACCTCTGCCACAGAGACATAACATAAATAGAATCACAAGGGAACCTCAGACAAACCCAGAATGAGGGCTTGTCTCATTTTATAAAATAATTGGCCTATAAGTGTCAGGATCATGACAGTCACAGAGAGAACTACATTAGACTGAGGAGACTAATGAGATGTGAGTGACTGAGTGAATGAATGAAGGAACAAAGTGAAGGGAGGAACGCGATGGTGAGAAAGGGGGTTGAAGAAGACAGAGGCCGGATCTGGCATCATCGTTAGCATCCAAACAGCCTCCTAAGCGGCCACAGGGAGGTCCAGGCACTGCCCCAAATGTTCAACACGCACTCATTCTTCACCCTAAACCTAGCTGGTGGTCGCTGTTATTATTCCTGCACTGAAAAATAGAAAACTGAAGCTTGGGGGATTCAGCAACTTGCCCAGATCATAGGGCCTGAAAGCAGCAGAGCAGGGACTCAAAATCGGATCTCCCTGTGTTCTTAACCATCAAAGAGCACTCAAGCGTGGCTTCTGAGGAAACCAGAATTTCTCTAAATCCAAATTTGGATGCTAGTTGGCTCTGCAAATCTTCAAACATGTTATCCTGGACCATGAGTGGATGGAGGGGCAGTGACAACAAAACCCTGCTTCCCAGGTTAGAATCCAACCTGGGACTGCCTCTTCCCTAGCCAGGCTCAGTGCTCCCAGGGCCCAGCTGCAAAGCAGCTGAATGCACACTGGGAAGGGGCCCATGCTGCCCCATCCTCCTTCCAGAGGCTCCCAGAGCAGGGCTGTTGAGGCTCCAGAGGCCAAAGACCCACCTCTGGGACAGAGGACAGTGGCCGGAGCATGCAGAGCCACGAGACAGACCAGTTGCTCAGCGTAAACTCTGAGTAGCACTTTATCTCATAAAGAGAAACTTCAAAGGTTTCCCAGGCTAGTGGCAGACTCTTGTGGAGGAAGGCCTCTGCCCAGAGAGTAAGAACCTTTGCTGTGGCAGCGCAGGTGAAGAAACTGAGGCAGGCCGGGTCGTGGGGGTCAGGTAAGTGTCCACAGGCCTCCCTAGCCTGGCCTGGCTCGTGCCCTTTCCATAGCCCCCAGCAGGCAGCACTGCTGCGCTAAGCAGAAGAAATTACACCCATCTTTGTTCCTGCGGGCGGCGGTGGCCACGCCCCAAAGGTGTAATTCTAAGAGGCTTGGGGAGGGACAGGTGGCGGGGTAGGGCTGAGTCTCTGGAGAGCACCAGGTGGGCGGGCCGGTACCAGGAACCCCCAGCTATTAGGCCCTGGCTGAGTGAGTGTCCACACCAGATGTTGCCGTCAGGTGTTGCCTGGTAGGCCATCTTGGCTGCCCCCGGAGAAACTCCCCCTGGAAACAGGAACCCAAGGGGTGTTGCTCCACCAAGGAGCCATGCTGGGCTTGAGTACGTTTAAAGCCTGGTGACAGCAGGGACCCCGACATGCAGTGGTATTACATTTGAGAAAACAGGCCAGCCAGGTGCGGTGGCTCACTCCTGTAATCCTAGCACTTCGGGAGGCCGAGGCGGGCAGATCACCTGAGGTTGGGAGTTCAAGACCAGCCTGACTAACATGAAGAAACCCCATCTCTACTAAAAATACAAAATTAGCCGGGGTGGTGGCACATGCCTGTAATCCCAGCTACTCAGGAGGCTGAGGCAGGAGAATCGCTTGAACCCGAGAGGCGGAGGTTGCAGTGAACCAAGATTGTGCCATTGCACTCCAGCCCAGGCAACAACAGCAAAACTCTGTCTCAAAAACAAAAAGAAAAGAAAAAGAAAACTGAGGCCAGGGGGAGCAAGTGACACCAGAGAAACTACAGGCTGTGTCCCAGGCACTCCACTCTCCAAACCCCCTCAAGTTCTCAAGGTGAAAAACCGGGATTCCCGAGAACCCCTGGGACCAGCACTGCACTCCACAGCTCCCCAATTCCCATGAAGCCACAATCAGAAGGGACTGAACAAGCAAGGCGCAGGAAAGACCCACACAGGCTTTGAGGCTGGCAATCCCAGGCTCAATCCCAGCTCTGTCTCCTGGGCACAAGAGTTAATGCTTAGGAGTCTTCATTTCCTCATGTGAAAAATGGAAATAATAATAGCAGCTATCTCATGGGGATGTTGTGATTAAATGAGATAACGCATGTAATATGCCTAGCGCGTAGTAAATACTCAAAAATAGGCCGGGCACAGTGGCTCTCACCTGTAATCCCAGCACTTCGGGAGGCCGAGGCGGGTGGATCATTTGAGGTCAGGAGTTCGAGACCAGCCTGACCAACATGGTGAAAACCTGTCTCTACTAAAAATACAAAAAAAAAAAAAAATTAGCTGGGTGTCGTGGCGCACACCTGTAATCCCAGCTACTCGGAAGGCTGAGACACAAGAATCACTTAAACCCAGAAGGAGGAGGTTGCAGTGAGCTGAGATCATACCACTGCACTCCAGCCTGGGTGACAGAGTGAGACTAACTCAAAACAGAAAAAAAGAGTAGCTATTGGCTGGTCCAAATGTAGTGAGTGATCTCAATTGATTATTCACAGTAAGTTACAGATCGAACTCCTTGTTCTACTGTTTTCCCCCTTCTCACTACTGCATTTGACTAGTCTTTAAAAAAAAAAATAGTAGCTATTATTACTCCAGTGGGTTTCCGTGAGTAGCCATGCACCCTTCCACGTGGCCAGGACTAGGCTGCATTTGCAGATACTATGTACCCTGGGTGCCTCCCACATCTCACCCTGCCCTGCCCTTCCATTCATCCTTTCACCATTCTCTGAAGCCTGCTGTGTGCCAGACCTGTGTGCAACTGTGTGGTGGGAGACCGGCGGTGAACCAGACCTGAGCCCTGCCCCAAAGAGGTTCCGCCAAGTAGAGTGGTAAGGGACAGGGACACAAAACCTCAAGATAGCACGAGCAGGGCTAGGAGAGGCGAATGCACATGAACTGCATGGTAGAGTGCACCTGAGCCCAAAAGGATAAGGCCCTGAGCCACTGAGGGGCAGGAAAGGGCATTTCAGCAGGGGGACGAGTGGTGCAAAGGCCTGGAGGCTTAAACAAACAAGTACAGTGCAGGGTCCAGTGCCCAAGCTGTATCTCACTCTACCCCCCACCTCTCTCCCGCCCCCTGACTGTGTTCTCTGGGATGTCTTGCCAGTGCTGAGCATTAGAGAAGGTGGACTCTCCACTCCAGGGAGGGGCAGCAGTCTCTCCCAAGACCCAGGGAGATGGTCGACCTGAGATGGGAAAGGAAGTCAGGTCCCCTCCATGGGGCCACGTCCTGGCCTTGAGAGCCAAAGGCCCAGGCAGTTACAAGCAGACACACACACAGACAGGTGGACCTAAGGCTAATCCTCCCTCCAAGACCTTACACAGCAGGACGCCAGTATCCTTGCCCATGGGATATGTGGGGCACACAGATTATCCCAAAGTCCTAGGGACCCAGGAAATGATCTCTTCACTCAGAACCCTTCAGGTGACCACTGGGGAAACCTGGCTTCAGTTGGGCTCTGAAATATCCCACAGGCTGTTCTAACTTCTCCATACATTGCATTTCAGCAGATAGTTTTGTGATGAGAGTAACTGTTAAGCAAATCACCCTTTCCCAACAGAACCATATTCAAATGAGAGGAAGAATTCCTGATGGGGTGGGGCACAAAGTATCAAATCAATCACAGCCCTGAACAACAGCCCCAACCTCCATAACCATTACCATTGCTCGAAATCACTGACCATTCAGCACCCCGCAAAGGAGACAGGGGCACCTGGACCATGGACCCCACAGGGGCTGAAATTTAGCTCAAACCACCTCTGCCAGCTGTCAAGGGCACAGAGCTGCATCCTTTGCAGATATTGCCTCTGACCCTTCCAACACCCCAGAAGGAAGCATCGCCCCCATTTTACAGATGCTGAAACTGAGGCCCAGGGAGGTACAATCCACACAGCTAACAGTAGTGAAGCAGAGAACCAGAGTCCAGGTGTGACTGACCCTACAGTGTCAGGACTTTCTGCTACCTTCACCAAGGGGCAGGACTGGCCCAGCTAAAACAAACACCCTGGCAACTGGAGGCTGCCTTAGTTGATGGTTATAATGCAGCACTTTGCTGACCAGGGAGGCAAAGCTCACAGATTCCTCCTCCAAACAAAGCTCCTGACCCAAGTTCCAGATTTTCCAGAACCCAGTGCTGGGGCTCCAAACCTGAAGCACCTGTCGCCTGCAGGCCCAGAGTTCATACAGCAGTGCTGGTCCATCTGTGTCAGACAGACCTCTGCCCTGCCATGTCCCAGCTGTGTGGCCTTGGCTTGGGCAAAGAACTCTGAGCCCCAACATCTCATCTGTCAAGCAGAGATAATCCTCTCCTCAGAGTGGTCCTGTAAGGATTAGATGAGATTGGTCCCTAAAACCCTTGGCAGTAGCTGCCCCTCCTCCAGCCCCAGGCCCCAGCAACTTTCCCTGATTTCTCAGGCCCTGCCCTGGGGGAACACCTCCCACTAACCCCCAAAGGACAGGACACACAAGGACAACAAGGAACAAAGTTTAAAATAACAAAAATGCCAAGATCCCTCCACAGCGTGAGTGCACAGCGAGGGGGTGGGCAGCTCTCTCACACCCCACACAGATGGCCCCTCTACCCTCACAGCCCACAGCCAGGCCCTGCCCTCACCATGCTGGACCAGGAGAGGAGGCTCTGAGAGATGCAAAGCCTGGCCCACAGTACACAGCAGGTCCGAGCCCCAGCGCCAGTGCCCCTCTGCTCTTTCTGCTCCTGCTTCTCCTCCCATGACCCACACACCAGCTGCTGGCTTCAGGGCCCTCCACTCTGCCCTTCCCTGAGGCCCCCACAAGGCAAGCATCAGGCCAAGCTGATGGAGCACCTGCCTCTTGCCTCTGGGTTTCTGGGGCCCCCAAAATGGAGACCACCAAGACCCTTCACTTTACACTCCCCCCGCCCCCCAAAAAAATCCCAAGAGCTGCGCCAGGGCACAGACCTGAGGGTTCAGGGGAAGAGGGGAAGGAGAGAGGTCTGCTCAGTGCTGTCATGAGGGGTGCTGAGGCACCTCCTCCTCCAGCACTGCCCAGAATGCTTTCCCAGGACTTCCTCTCACTAGCTCCCTTCCTATTATGTCTTCAATATGTCTTCAAACTTCAGACTGGCTGCCCCCTGTCCAGGCAGCCTGCCCTATCCCTAAACTCTCCAGTATGGGCTGGAGGCCACCTTTCCTTGTCTCCTAGACCCCCAGCAGCTCCCCCCTCAGCATGCGTTGTCATGCATTCATTTGCCTGCAATGCTGTGGCCCCTTGCTCATCTTGGCATCCTCCATGCCTTGCAGGGGGCCTGGCCTACAGCAGGCGCTCAATAAGGAGCTGTTCCTGAATGGAGGGATGGGCAGGTAAGCCAACAAAGAGGCTGAGCCTGTGTGGGTTTCTCTGACTTTTAGAATGCTGGAGCCCTGGTCCGTGGCCCTCAGTGCATCTGTATAATTCAGAAGGAGGTGCAGCCGTGAAAATCCCTGAACTCTTGTAGATCTCTATAACACAAGGACAACTACTATTACTACTTCCGCCATCATCCTCTTAAAAAGGGGTAAAGGGCTGGGGGGTGGAGGCATGAGGCGTCAGAAATACCAAGAGACAGGTTCAGGGGAGATTCTGGGACTTGCTTTAAGATCTTTAATAGTCCTGACAGTCAAAGAAAAGTAAAGTAAAATTGTACTGAGGTACCGATTTATGCTCAGTAAATTACCAAAAATATATAAAATACTCACTGCTTATGAGGTACTCACTGCTTATGAGGTACTCACTGCTTATGAAGGTATGGTAAAACTGTTACACAGTTAGTGGCAGCAAAAATTGGTTCCATTATTCTAGAAAATAATTTGGCAAATACTTTTTAAATCATAAGAATGATTTAAAAAGAAATTTCTCTTTCTTTCTTGGTCCACTGTGGTGATCACAGTTCACTGTCCCAGTAGCTGGGACTACAGGTGTGTGCCACCACGCCTGGCTAATTTTTGTATTTTTTGTAGAGATGGGGTTTTGTCATGTTGCCCAGGCTGGTCTCAAATTCCTGGGCTTAAGCGATCCTCCCACCTCAGCCTCTCAAAGTGCTGGGATTGCAGGTGTGAGCCACTGCACCCCACCAAAAATGTATTTTTCAATTCAGTTCCCAGAATCCCAGGACTACAAATTTGTACTCAGAAAAAAATATAAAATAAGAAAAAAAGTTATGTTACAATATTCATGAGTATATTATTGAATTTGCAATTAGCAAATTATACTGGAGAACCACCTGAACACTACCAGCAGCAGCCCCAGTTCGGGTAAGAGTGACATCACCCTAATGATGACGCACATCACAGAGGGTGGAGGGTTCCCCCGAGCAGGGGTGGCCACTGAGCTAGCTCTGCACCTTCAGAACCCAGACAGGCCTATAGGGAACAGCTGCCAGAAATGTTCCTGCATTAATAATTCTGTAGCAATATGAGAAACTTCTACAGAGCAAGATTAAATAAACAAAACAGGATACAAACTAGTACCCGTGACATGGTTTAAACTATGAACAAACTCTACACCTTTGAATGAGAGCTGGAAGGAACCAAGAAAAAGTTCTACTCAGGGAACTGAGGCTCCGGATGATTTATCTTTATTTTTCTTTTTTGGATTCTCATTACTGGTGCTACAGTATCATTTATACAAGAGATAAAAATCACTTTTTTAAAAGAATTATTTTTTTTGAGACAGAGTTTGGCTCTGTCGCCCAGGCTGGAGTGCAGTGGCACTATCTTGGCTCACTGCAACCTCTGCCTCCCAGGCTCAAGGATTCTCGTACCTCAGCCACCTGAGTAGCTGGGATTACAGGTGTGTGCCATCGCGCCCGGCTAATTTTTGTATTTTTAGTAGAGATGGGGTTTCGCCATGTTGGCCAGAATGGTCTCAAACTCCTGGCCTCAAGTGATCCACCCATCTCAGCCTCTCAAAGTGTTAGGATTACAGGCGTGAGCCACCACACCCAGCCTTACTTTTTTTCTTCCTAATTAAATGCATTGCCCAGAACCCCAACTCCTTACTCCCTGGACCTGAAAGCTGGGACTCAGCTGAGTTGGGGCCTGAGACTACCCATCTGATGCTGAGTTAACCTGGGAACACTCTGCGTTGTCTGGCAGGGCTTGCAGGCACAGACAATGACAACTCTTTAGGTTCAAGGAAGGCACAAAGGGAAGCCAGAAATGCAGGTAGAGGGAGGGACATCTAAGCTGGATCCTAAAAGATGACCAGGAGAGGAGACGGCACCCAGATGAAAGGGAGGGGGAAGGGGCTCCCGGCAGAGGTGATGGCCTGAGAACTAGAAACGGCATGGACTGGTTGGGGGAAGGAGAAGGATCAATGCAGTGCCACAAGGTAACCCAGGTGAACAAGCACAAAAGTGGGAAATGGAGCTGTCCTTTAGGGACCTGTTCATTCATTCATCCATTCTCAGCAAATGTGGATGGTGTGTGGCTCTGTGCCAGGCTCTGTGCTAAGAGGTTGGTATAATAAATTCACTGAATTCTATCCTCTCAACTATCTGGGAGGAGGGACAATTATACTCATTGGTAAATGGTGGCTCAGAAAAGTGAAGTGGAGGAACCAGGTTGGAACCCCCAGCGTGATCCAAAGTCCATCCCTGAGACTATTCCCTCAGAACTAGGCTCTGTTCTGTGTAGGACCCAAGGAATCAGGTGGGCCAGCACCTGGCCAGAGGAGGACAATCCCTGACAAGTCCATGCTGGGAGCTAGGGCTTTTGAGGGTGTGTGTGGAGTTCAGGGGATGTTGGGGCTGGCTTGCCTAGAGCTGGCATGGGGGTTGGAAGGACACAGAGCACAGTGGTGTGGGCCCAATGCAGGGTCTCCTTGCCCCATCTTTGGACTCAGTATTCCCACCTGCAAAATGACCAGGCAATCCCTATGGCCCTCTCCTGTGAAGTGAAGGGGATCTGGCAGCAGCTACCTCCAACTCATCTTCTTCCCAAAAGTGGAACCCCTGAGACTGTAGTGGAGAGTAGAGATGTTACCATGTCTCACCCAGACAGAGCTCCCTGAGCAGACTGAGCTAGGCCTTCTCCGCCGCTCTCCATGCAGGGCTGAGTGACTCATCCCTGCTCTGCCTCTTTCCCCCTTCCCTCCCTGGTCCCCAGCAGCCTCCCTGGACCTCCACCCCCACCTCCACCTCCAGGCTCCAGAGCAGCAGGCCCAGCTCTGCAGCAGTGATGAACGTTGCAGAGGCTGGCCTCCTGCCCTGTACCTCTCCACTTCTATCCTGGGGGGGCGAGGGGGAGCCAGACAGAGAAGGGAGAGCTGAGAAAGGGAGGCAGAGAGTGGAGGACCTAGAAGAAAAGGGAAGGGGTAGGGGATGCCAGTGGGACAACACAGAGGCCAGGGCTGACTTCAGACATCAAGACAGGCAAACACAAAGAGGCAAAAAGCCTCCCAGGGCTTCCGGGATCACCAGTGGACTGACGCCCCCAGAGCTCTCCAGTAAAGTTCCAGGCTTCATCCCCAACAGCCCCCAGAGCACCACACCCTGGGCAGCCCACGGATGTCTCCCGCTCCCCATGCTTAGCGCTGCCATAGCAGTCACGGTTCTCCCTGTGCCTGGCACTGCCATAGTGGGCATGGTTCTCCCTGTGCCCGGTGCTGCCATAGGGGGCATGGTTCTCCCTGTGCACAGCGCTGCCATAGCCATAGTGGGCATGGCTCCCCTGTGCCCGGTGCTGCCATAGTGGGCACGGTTCTCCCTGTGCCCGGTGCTGCCATAGTGGGCATGGCTCTCCCTGTGCCCAGTGCTGCCATAGCCACAGTGGGCACGGTTCTCCCTGTGCCTGGCGCTGCCATAGGGGGCATGGTTCTCCCTGTGCCCAGCGTTGTCATAGTGGGCATGGCTCTGGACTTGTCCCTTATGCTCTTACTCTCAACCTCTAGCCAACTCTGCCCGTTGGATTCCACTCGGCCACAACCTTCCCAGCAGCCCCTCTTCACTGCCCAGACAGGCCTCACCATCCTTACTTGGACCCCTGTAGCCACATCCTCTTCTCTGTCCTCTGTGGCCAGGGAGCTTTTTAAAACCCAGAGCTGGTAATGGCTCTTCCCAGCCTGAAAGCTTCTGCTGTCTGTCTGTCTGTCTATCTCTCTCTCTCTCTTTCTCTGCCATCAGGATAAAATCTAAACTCCAAAATGTCCTCCCCACCCTGGTTCTGCCTCTTCTTTTCCTCACTGTTATCCCTGAACCCCTGCCACAGGGGAGCCTACCTCCCTGACCAACTCACCAAGACTTTCTCAGCTTGTTGCTTTATCCTGCTGGTCCCCTGAGGCCCCATCCAAACACCAGCTCCTGGAGAAGCCCCTGTACCGTCCCCCAACCATGCTGCCAGTCATATACTCACTCAGCCTGAGTATATGTCTCTGTCCCCACACTGCTCACAAAAGGCTGTCACTGTCTCCATGTGTCTCCCCATGAGGCCTTGAGTCTCTTAAGAGCAGGACCCAGGTCTGATATCTCCAGGTGGCTGGCAGGATGGGTGGGAGGCATGAGAAGAGGTTTGTTGAATGAATAAACAACCGGGACAGGAACAACATGACCAGTATAAATATTAAGGACAGAGTAACCTTAAGACACAGGAACAAAGTCACCAGTAGAGACATTAAGGACACAGCCAGTAACCATTAAGGGACAGGGGAACAGAGATGGATAGAAAACACACCCCAAAGGGAAGACCTTGAGACCCAGAGACAGGCTTGAGGTGGCTGCACCCCTCTTGGTACCTCCCTCTATCCCCTCTGGCATGCTTGGACTGGCCTTGATGCCCTGGGGCCCCTGGAGGCAGGACAGGGGGCTTCAGAAGGGGAAACCACAGCACAGTCAGAGCTGAGCCAGGGGCGGGAGCTGCCAGGAGACAGCTGAGGAGACATAATTGGATCACAGACAACTCTGCTTCTGCAGTGAGGGGGTGTGACTCACACACACAGAGTAACGCCAGACACAGAAACACACACAGAGTCTCACTCACAGGCACAGGCGCACATACCTTCAACACAGATTGACTGACCCTGTCAGGCCCCTGTCCCGGGGCTGTCACGTGGGTAGGAAGGGGGGAGATGGGAAACCCAGCACCTGCCCCTGAGGAGCTCAGTGTCTGCCAGACTAAGGGCCACATCACACACACAGTCACCCACAATTCAGCTCCACACACGAAGGCCCCAACAGAATCCTCAATCCCTATCACGTTATCTCGTCCTTATGCACAACCATCATCTGGTGTCTTATTTAGTTGTTTGCTTCTATTTTGCTCGTCACCCGTTCAGGATGTAAAACCCATGACAGCAGGGTCTGATCTGTGTGGTTTGCCCCTAAATTCCTAGATATGACACAATCCTTGGAACATAGTATGTCCTCAATAAACATACTGAAGCAATGAATGAATGCATGCATGTATGCAAGTGGAGACACACAAGGGAACTCCATCCTTCTGGCTATCAGGCCTCTACCTCAAGACTCATCACCTCTCTGGCAAAGTACCAGGCCCCAGCCACTCTGGCAGGGTCCAAAGACGGCAGGCAGGGGCAGGAGATGGTGGAGGGGATCTCAGGAAGCCGGGGGAGATGGAGGTGGTAACAAAACCCAAGGATGAGTAAATGGCTCAGGCACCAAAGGGGAGAGCAGAGGTGGCAGTCACCCCCTACTTCCCATTAGGCAGCAGGAGGCAGTATATATGTGCAGACATTGCTCACTGACCCCAGGACATAGGATTCCAGAGAAGCATCAGAGGTGGCAAGTACCTGCCTTCAGGGAGCCCAGGCTGAGGGGCAGGAAGGCAATGGTTATGCTAAAGCCCCAGAGAACAGCTCCAGCTGCCCTGTGCCACCTGCCCCGTGCCACCTGCCCCAGGCTCTCTTTAAAGACAGGTGAAAGGAATCTACTGTGATTGGCATGGTACCCTCTGCTGCCCATACTTTTGAGTCTCCAGGGGCCCCAGGGCATCAAGGCCAGTCCAAGCATGCCAGAGGGGATGAAGGGAGGCACCAGGAGGGGTGGGGCTGTCTCAAGCCCAACACGTAGTCTGAGCTGCTTTCCCCAACCTGTTGCCAGAGCACCACCATCTGCCCAGTCAGGGGCAAAGGTGAGGGATCGGGGCTGAAATAAGGTTTCTATCCCCATCTATCCTCAGTGGCAACCAGGCACCCAGGCCAGGTCTCCTGCTCCTCGGGAACAAACTGGAACAGCCCCGCAGAGGCCCCGGAGCCCCACAGAGCACAGGCCTCTGGGGTCACGGCATCCACAGCCCTGGCTCCAAGTGGCCCAGCCAGGCATGGAGATGCAGGGGAAGAAAGAAAACCCATCTGTCTCCAGGACTCCCTTTCTCTCATCTCCTGAAACTTTAAAGACTCTCGGCTGGAAACTGAGCTGGGGCTCGTTAAAGTTTAAAAGCGGGAGCCTGGGCAGCTGGGTGTGGAGGGCACAGAGCCAGCCTGGGGGCTGAGGGCTTCTCTAGTCCCAGCAGGGACACAGCCTGGAGGCACCCTCCACTCCACTCTGGCTCATAAGGGTTCCTTGGCCTGCTTAGGATGCAGGCCCCATCCATGTACAGGATGGCTGTACATCCATGCCGTCCTGCATCCCAGCCTGCACAACACTTCACAGTGCGCACATCGCAAAGAGTTATGCTATAACCATCATATCCCGTCCATGATCATGCCTAAGGCTCTCTGGATTCCATCCCTTGCTCCATTCCCCACAACCTGGCTTTAAGGTGGGCCTTGGCACCTCTGCCCAGACAAATACAGCAGCAGCGCCCTCTTACCAGTCTCCCTGTCTAAAACCTTCCCCTGGCACCCCAGAGCCTCTAAGACTCAAGGCGTGGGGCCTCGGTCTAGCTCTCTAATCACCTCCAGCCCCCTGAGTTCTGAGCCTGCACTGAACCACCTCCCATTCTCCAAATGTACTACCCTGTGATCCACCTCTGGGCCTTTGCACAGCTGCTGCTCTGTATGGAATGCTCCCGACACGATCAAACTTGTAATCTTCATTCCCCACCCAAAAGGATCACCTGAACATTCCTCCTCCGTGGAGTTCCTTCCCTGACCCCCAAGGCTGATTCAGATGCCCTCTCTGGATTTCCAGAGCTCCTGTGACAAGTGTGTGTCTCAGCACCCAGCTGGAGGCTCCTTGAGGGCAGGGCTTGGATCTGATTGCCCTCTCCATCCCCCACCTCCAGCACAGGGCCAAGCAGAAAGAGGGTAATGATGGATGCTTGCTGAATGTGTGAATGAATGAAGTCTCTGAAGACAGGCAGGGCAGATAAGGAAGCTGAGTCCCAGGCAGAGAACTTGCCCAGGGCCACACAGCGAGGACTCTGGATCCTGGTGTTCTTTCCCCAACATCCTCAACCCAAACCAGGCACCTCCTCCAGGAAGACTTCCCTAACACCTCCAGCCACCTCTGATCTTTCCCTTGTCTGAGCTCCTCCAACCCAAAGTCTAGACACTGACTACCTGGGGTCATGCTCTCTGGGAGCCTGTTCCCCAAGGACAGCTCTGGAACTACTTCTTCCAGGTCCCCCCATGCCAAGTCAGAGCTGGAACCAGGCAGCTCAGGGCCTAACCCTGGATTCTGGATCCCCTTCTAGGGACCTCTCTGATGGCATAGACTGGCAAGACCTTAGCCACCATCCTCACTCTGTGTCCAGCAGGGCAGCCTCCCCTACGCTGGCCTAAGGTTAGGACAGCCTCTACAGACCACCTGCCCAGCAACTTCCTGTATGGGGAAACTGTGCCCCACAGCAGGCAGAGCCAAGCTAGAGCCTGAACTGACCCAGTCCAAGGCCCTAAAACTAGATGAAGTCATGCGCCTGCCACCGCCGATAAGAAGACTGACCCAGAAAGGTGAAATGACCCCCAAAGTCACATAGTGAGGACTGGACTCTTGCCCAGCTGGGTCTCCTCTAAGGTGCCCTCCCACAATGACACAGCACAGGGAGACCCACGGGCCCAATCATGTTAATAACCCAGCCCAAGGGAGTGGCGAGATCTCAGCCTTGGCGAGTCAAGGACCTAGGTCCTGATCTAGCTTCAGCCATGTCCGGCTGTTTGGCTGTGCACAAGTGAATTCCTGCTCTGAGCCTCAGTTTCCACATCTGCTTGATGGGATTAAGGAGACCTGTCCCACACGTGGCCCTGACCTTCCCCATGACCCTTTTAAGTCCCAGAGACTAGTAAGAGTGGGAAGGGCCTTGGAGACCCCTGAGCCATCTGGCATTTCATAGGGTGAGAGGGTGAGGTGCTGAGGGGTCATGAGCTGAGCACTGGCTTTGGTGTCTGGAACCCAGGTGGCCTGTGGTGTGGGGTAGGTGGACAGTGAGACAGGGCTGGGAGGGGCCGCCTGAGCTTTTCCCAAAGGGGAAGGGGAGGAGCAGCAGGACAGGAAGTCAGAGGAGACAGGTCCCCACTGCCCAGCTTCCTGTGGCCAGCAGAGCCTCAGGCTCTCAGCCACACCCCCTCCCACACCTGCTCCAGGGCCAGGTCTCTCCTGTCATGGGCTCAGGCTCTTATCAGGCCTCATTCCTGCCCCAAGGCTGCCTGTGCAGTGGGTAGGAGGTCACCTGGAACTGTCTGTCCTCTCTCCACCAGGGTCTGAAGACCTCTGAGGAGATACGCAGGTCTCCCCTGCCTCTCATGCGGCCAGCCTCAGGAGAACAGAGCACGTGAGCATCCAGGCCAGGGCCTCACAGGCCACGTCCTCTGCTGTCTGCCTGCTCCTCATCTCTCCCCAGCTGGGTGCTGAGTTCAGAGGCTCTTGGAGCCAAGAGGGCCCAATGGCACAGACGGGCAAGCAGCCCAGAGAGGGGCAGGAATGTGCCCAAGGTCACATGCAACAGCCAGGACTGGACCCCAGCTGGCCCTGGTTGAATGACTGACAGAAGCTCTTGGTCTCCCGTTTCTCACACCAATACAGGTGCCATGAGGAAGCTGACCTGGGCTTTGAGAGACCTGAGTTCAGGCTCCAAGCTGCCCCCTGCCTTGTACCCAGGATCCACATTCAGCATCTGTCCCTGGGACAGGGACTGAACTGTCAGGAGGTAGTGTCTGTCTCTTTTCCAGTATTCAGAGCACAGTGCAGCCCTGGGGCCAGGTCAGGCTGGAGGCCAGGAGGGAGGGAAGGGGTGGAGGTGGCCTCCAACAGCCCCTTTCTCTTTGTCCTGGCTCCAACTACTGGGCCTTGAGCCACAGTGGCTTCCAGGGACCTCTGGACCCAGGTAAGGGGAAGAGAGATGAGGAAGAGGAATTGAATCAGGTAGATAGCTAGGTGGAGTCCCACCCCCACCCTGGGATCAGGAGCACGGGGCATGTCCAGGGGTCAGCTGGCTTTCCCAGCTCTGGGGACAGGCCCAGAGCAGGCTGAGGCAGGAGAGGGGAGGGGGAAAGGGGGGCAGAAGCTCAGCAAACACCTGCAGTTGAGTCCCAGCCTCCTGGAGTGACCCAGTCATCCCCAGGGATTCTGGCTCCAGACCTGCTGGGTGACCTTGGCAAGCCACTCCCCTTTGTGGGCCTCGGCTTTCTCATCCATCAAACAAGAATAGGATGATGAGAACAACGCGTCCTCCAGGCCTTCAAAGAGTTATTGATGGGGTTAAAGGCCACAGTGTTGACTAAGATGCGAGCCCATGTGGAGAGGGGCAGGGGCTCTGGAGCCAGGCTGGCATGGGTTCCACTCTTGCCTCAGCTGTGGCATGACCTTAGGCAAATAACATTACCTCACTCAGCCTCAGTTTCTTTGTTTGTAACACAGAGACAAGACTACACTGCCCCAGACTAGCCTCGGGGTAAATTAGATGATGGGGAGAAATGCTTGGCTCAGAGCAGGGCTCTCATTATCAGAAATGGGATTATCTGCATGGAACCTGGGAGTCCTGCAATCTTGGGGATGGGAAGCTCACAGGCCTCTGTCCATCTCTCCCAGAGCTCCAACTAGCTGTGCTGAGAGGATCAGGAGTGGGAGCTGGCACCTTGGGGTGCCCATAACCAGGGTCCCAGCCTCCTTCCTGGGTCTGGGCTCTGCTCACCTCCTCTCCCCACCCTCTCTCCATTGTAGGGAGCAAAGCTGGGGAGGCACCCTGCAGGGAGAAGCAAGGCAGGAGGACTGCCAAGATGCTGTAGATCTGGGTTCCAGACCCAGCTCTGCTGAGACAGCTGTGTGACTCTAGGCAGGTCCCTGCCCCTCTCTGAGCCCCAGTATCCTTGCCTGCATCCCAGGGGCAGGAGGGGTATGACATAGGGATTACCAAGGGCTCTTTGGCACCTCCAACATCTGTTCAGTCTGAAAGAAAAGGAGGGTAGGGTCCTGGCTGCCCAGGGTGTATGCCTGTCCAGAAGCCTACAACACCCCAGTTTTTCCAAGTCCCCGCCACCCACAAGGAAGGCCACCTGACAAGTCTGATCTGGCCACGAGTGGTCTGTTGCAGTCAGCCTGGCCCCAGACCCACCAATTCCAGGCCTGGGCTGGGTAGGGTTTATTCATTAACCAAGCCAGATGGAGGAGGTAGCTCCGCCCTATTGACACAGAGGGTGGGAGTACTGGCCTCAGTTCAGACCCCTCCTCCTCTGACTTTCTGGAGTGCCAGCTTGGTGGGGAAACTACACTTCTCCCCCAGTGTGCACTGCCCGCCTGAAGCCTTTCCCAGGTCACAGTCAGGCTCTCGTGAATTCCCTTCTCACCTTTCATTCAATTTGTTCCTTGGTTCTTTCCTCCCCCCTCTCTTCCACCAATATCCCTGCTCTAACTGTGTTGGATGCTGGGGACGCAAAGAGGACAGGACCTGAGAGGCTGAAGCGGGTGGATCACTTGAGGTCAGGAGTTCAAGACCAGCCTGGCCAATGTGGTGAAACCCTATCTCTACTACAAATACAAAAATTAGCTGAGTGTGGTGGTGTGCACCAGCAGTCCCAGCTACTGCTGGGAGGCAGGAGAATCACTTGAACCTGGGAGGTGGAGATTGCAGTGAGCTAAGATCTCGCTACTACACTTCAGCCTGAGAGACAGAGTGAGGCTTCTCAAAAAAAAAAGAAAAAAGGATAGGAGACCTGTCCCTGCTCTCAGGGAACAACCAGCTGGGACATGCCAGCTGCCTTCCCCATCCCTGCTCCTCAGGCTCAGACACAGGTTCTGAGGCCCTGGGCAGCGAATCCCAAAGTGGGAGACACACATGGAAACCCAGAGGGAAAAACAGTCAGATGGCCAAGGTGCAGACAGAGTCAGAGGGGAGAAGGGGAGGCAGAAAGTGAAAAGCAGATAATCGTGTGGGGATGGACAGAACTATATGTAAATGATTAAGACAAAGTGAGGCAGAAGGGCTCAGGGTCAGAGGGGAAAGGTCAGACATCTCAGGTCTTGGTAAGGGGCCAAGATACATGCCTGAACTAAGTCTGAGACTAGGTCCCAGGCAGAAGGGGAGGGTGGACTCCTCCACATTTCCAGGAGGATAGCAGAAGGGAGAAGGCAAGGAAGAGGAAGGCGAAGGGCACAGCCTATTGCCAGAGCCCATTGCAAGGGGACCTACCAGCCCTGGAAATGCAGCACCCACAGCAACATCAGATGTGTTGGGGGCAGCTATTGAGGCCCTTAAACCAGAGTCTTCACGAGCCCCTGCCCCATCTGGTCCCCTGGGGGATATGCGTTCCCAGGGTCCCAAACCCCAAGCCTGCCCTGCACGGCAAAGAGAGGAGAATTGTGGGGTTGGGAAGAGCAGGGGAGATGGCTGTGAGCGACTGATGTGTCTGCAACTGCTCCCTATGTTGGCTTCCCTTGACCCCAGGCCCCTTCCTTCCCCAGCCCACCTGTAGCCTGGCTCTGTGCAAGGCAGGGGTATTGGAGCCCTGCCTTCAGGATCTGCCAGCCACAATCCTGAGTCCCTGCAGGAGGCTAAGGGAGCAGCCAGGGAGGGAGGGAAGGGAAAGAGCAAGAGCAGGGCATCGGGCAGTAAGGAATCGGGTCCTGGGCAACCCAGGGTGCAGAAAGCGGGGAAGGAGACCCAGCTCAGGCTGAGAACCAGGAATCAGGGAGAGAAGGGCCCAGTCTCCCACCTGGAGTAACTCAAGTCAGGAACCAGGTGCAGGCTTCCCCAGCAGAGGGGTCCCTGAGGGAGACCACTCTCCTAGAAGGGCCTGGCAGCAGCCCAGATCCCTGGAACAGGCAGGGGCATGCAGAAGCCTGGGTTCCAGCTGAGAGAGGCAGGGTGAGTCACTCCTGCTCTCCAGGCCTCGGTTGGCCCATCTGTGTGATGGGGCTTGGCCCAGCAGACTGTGTCTCCTCCCGGTCCCTGGAAGGAGACTCTCTCTGGGCCCAGATATACAGCCAGGTGTCTAGCCCGGAGAGAGGACCAGGAGACTCCGGGAGAGAGGCAGTAAGGGTGCAGTGGAGGCTGCAGGTATAGCGGGCAACCCTACCTTGATCTTGTGCAGCGTCCGATCCATCTCCACAGCCTGCACCCAGACAGACACCCCAGCCCTGCTATAGGTCAGGTTCCAGCCCACCTCAGCCTCACACTCTGACCGGAAGCTGCGAAAGTCTTGGTCATCGGGCACCTGGACACTCTCACGGCCCAGGACCGGCCGAGGCCCTTGGGGCTCTGTAGAGGCCGCCAGCTTCTCCATGGGGAGTGTGGGGAGGCCCAGGGCCCTGGTCCTAGTCCGGCTCTCCTGGGTCCTCCGCGGAGGCTCCGACAACGTCGACGCGGCTGCAGATGCTGACGCCACCTTCCTGGGACCTGCAAGACCGGTTTGGGGACGGGAATCAGTGCGCTGGGGGCGCGGGTGGGGCTGTTCGGGGTCCTGGCGGGTGGGGAGCTGGAGAGAGGTAGGGGCTGGCCCCAGGGAAGGGCGGACGGGCGCTGGACAGCCTCGGGGTCCCCCTCCCGAGGAGCGCCCCAGACCCCCTGGGGCCGGCGTGGGGACTGCGTATGGGACGCGGTGGCCGGCGGGCGCCCGTCGGGACCCAGGGACTGGCCGGGACCCGAGGGGAGGGACGGTGCGGCGGGGCCCGCGGAGCGACCTGCTCAACTAACTCGCAGCGACGCCGGGCGGGCGCGGGGCGGGTGGCGGGGCAGGAGGGGCGCCCTCCAGGCCGGGCTGCTCACCTTTGCCCGCCGCTCCGCCGGGGCCCGCCGGGGCCGGGGTGCCAGCGCCGCCGCCGCAGCTGCCCGGGAGACCCGGGGCCGCGCGGGGGCTCTGGTGGGAGGAGCAGTGGGTCCCGCCGCCCGGCCCCGCCCCGGGCCCCAGCCCCGCGCGCCCCTCCCGGCTAGGCTGGGGGCTCGGGGGCTCGGGGGCTCGGCGGCCGCGGCTCGGGATTTTCCAGGCTGCGGAGGTGAAGCTGACGGATCTCCGAGCCCCGCCCCGCCCCACCCCGCAGGGTCCTAGCGCCCGCCCCCGCCGGCCCTGGGAGGGGACCCTGCGCGCGAGGGGCAAGTCCCCAGCGGGGACAGGGAAAGGGGTGAGGAGATGCCAAGACAGAGTGGGCTCTGCGAGGAAGGGCCACGAGGTGCAAGAAGAGGAATTCTGGAAGTTAACGGTGAACCCCTTCTCTCCACCACCTCCCATACTCACAGGTACACACCTCTGCAACAACCTACAGTATTTACACACAGGCACGCTGTCCCCAGAACAACCCAGAGACGCCCCCATGCAATACCCCAGAGATCCAAAGATGGGCACACACCCCCATGACAATCAAGAGACTAACTCGCAGGGATGACAGCCCCACAGCAGCTCAGAGATGCCCACAGCTTGCATCCCCCACCAAGCTAGAGGCACACCAAGCCTACACACACCCAACCCCATTCCCACTGGGCTGTGCAAACCCAGCAGGAAGCCGATCCAACCCACAAGGCTCAAGGTTCACAAGCTGGCCAGATGTGGGCAAAATCTCCACCCCAGTCTCACTCCTACCTGGGAGCTTGAACCGGGACTCCCTCCAGCCCCACACTCTGGCCCTTGTCCACCAGCACCCCTTCTCAGCATGCACACAACGCGCGTGTACACACACACACACATGCACGCACACACGCACACCTGCTATGGACTAGACTAGGCTCTCAAGAGCATCTGGCCCAGGGCTCTGGGCTCTCTTACCTCCCCAGGCAGAGTTGGCCAGAGCTCCATAGCTACCTGCACCAGCGCTCCTGCCATCCCTTCCAGCCAGGGAGGCTCCCCCCTGCCCCCTGGGTCCTAGTGCCAGCTCTTCCTCCATCTGCTCTGTGTGAACTGAGGCCAGTAGCTCAACTTCTCTGAGGCCAGGCCAGGGTGAGTGTGGCAGTCTGTCGCAGTGACTGTGGTGAGCTCCTCTGGATGAGCAACTAACAGGGCCCAACAAGAACCTGCCACGGTCATCCTGACCAGCACGCAGATCTCAGCCTCCTCCCACCTCCGTTCCTGTCTGTGCCCCGCTGCCTCCTCCTCTCTGGTCCTTAGTTTTCCATTTCCAGAAAAGGGAATCAGAATGGATAACCCTAAGGTGCCTCCTAGCCTCACCAGCCTAGAGCTCTAGGGTGGAACAGATTTTCTTAAATGTGCTAAGAAAAAAACGAGGAGTCGAGGATTTGTCACGGTGCTTCACAAATAGAGGTGTTTCTTCCTGAAGTGCTTAAAGCACTGAGATGTTTGTAAATTAGGCCACATTTTAAAAATGAGTGGGGGTGAGCGGGGAGCTATGATGGCAAGTGACCCTAAAGGGCATCCTGCAAAGTGAATCCTGGACAATGTGCTGCAGGTCCTCATGAGGCCTGTGTGAATGACCTTAGATCTCCAGGCCTTCCATCTGCAGTGTGGGAGGCACAGTCAGATAATCACCCCATCCCTTCTAAACCACACTCCTGAAAAGTGTCTGGGAATGAGTAGGTGGCAGGGGGCTGGCTCTGGGCTCAGGATGCCCAGGCTCTGATTCTCTGCTATCTACCTCCTCTGCCTCTAACTCTAGGCAGGTCACTGCCCCTCCCCAGGCCTCAGCAGTTTTACTTGATACCCACACTGCCTGGGTGGGACACTCAGGCAGTGTGGGTATCAGATAAAACCCAAAGGGGACCCCATTAGAGCCAAAGCCTGCTTTGCTTTGTGAACTGTATCCTCTTGGATCTGCCACGAGGAAAAGAGGTGGCAGCACTGGCCTGGTGGCTCCTGCCTTTTTAGGGCCCCAATAAAACACACCTCAGCAGATAGCAGGTACCAGGGCAGCAAACCTCTCATACCCACCATCCAGTCCAGGGTAAAAAAGACAAGGCCAGGAGGTAGCAGTGAGGGCAGACTGATAGAAGGACTTCCCCACCCTAGAGAGCTGCCAGAGAGATAAAAACTCAGAGAGGTGCAGATGGCAAGAATGAAACCATCACTCAGAGCCAAACACAGAAGAACCAAGAATCTTTTGGATCTTGGGTCAGTAAAGGTGGGCGACCTGGCAGGCAGCCAGGCCCTGGGCTCATCCCCTGGGTCCTAGGTTTAGGCCAGGCTACCTCGCCAGCAGGTGGGTAGAAGGGTATCACCTCATTCTACTCATCATTAATTTGCCCTTGCAAATGCCACCCCTCCCAGGAATTTCAGTATCTCTGGCTCTGGGTCTCATGAAAACCTCTCAAACGTGACAAAGCCCATTCATATCCTTCTCAAAACACCCCTAAGCAGCCGAGAAGGGCCCCATCTGCTCCAGAGCAGAAGAATGAGCCCAGGAGGGCTGGAGGGGCTCTGGGAGAGGAGTCTGGGGAGGACCCACAACCTAGCAGCACAAAGGGCCTGTGGAGCTGGGTTCAAATCCTGGCCCTCTGATTTCCTAGCTGTGTCACCAGAAGCCGGTGACAGGCCTTCTCTGAGCCCCAGTTTCCTCATCTGGAATAATAATACCTATCCTCTGAGAATTGTGGCAGGGAAAAGAGTTGTATATGTGCCAGTTTCACCCCCAGATAAGTAACTAAAAATATAACTGGTGGGGGTGACTGGGGCAGGGAGGAATACACTGTCCAAAAATGCATGGTTCCAACAAAAAGTGTTAAGGTAACATCTTTACATGATGGTTTGGCAAGTTTTGATTCTCATGGAAGATCAAACAATGGAAACAGCTTTGGCAAAGCATGACCCCTGCTCTGCCCACTGCAGTCCCCTGCCCCAGATATGGTCCCCTCCACAGGAAGTGAATTGAGATGTCTCTCTGAGCCCCGAGGCCAGAGTCCAGGTCTGGCTGCTCTCTGGGTCCCAGTTCCAGAATGGGGCATCACGGAGCAGGAGCCAGAGTGGGCATAGAAGGTGAGACTGTGTACGAGAAGGCGCTTGACAAACTGAGAAGCGGCGTGGGAATGTGAGGCATCATTACACAGGGCACTGGGCAGGCCTGGATCTCACACGTGCCCCTCGCAGACAGAGCAGCTGAGGTTGTGGGGGGCACGGGGCACCCCTGCATCACACAGCAAGTCAGAAGCCCTAAGGGGACTCCAGTAACTCAGGATTGATCTAGACTCCTGCAACCGGGGAAGGGAGCACTTGGAAAGAGTCACACCAGACTTTTTGTTCACTACCCCCTGATGGCTGTTGGGGGAGGGGTCAGGGCACCTGCCTGGAGCCAGCCACCCCATGACCTGGTCCCTAACACTCCCCTCAACTCCCCACAGCAGAACTAAAGACCCCTCAGACTAAGGGCATCTGGCCCCACCCCCTCCCTGTACAGATAGAGAAACAAAGATCCTACTAGCAGGGACAAAGCAGAAATAAGAACCTAGGGGCCGGGTGTGGTGGCTAACACCTGTAATCCCAGCACTTTGGGAGGCCGATACGGGTGGATCACCTGAGGTCAGGAGTTCAAGACCAGCCTGGCCAACATGGTGAAACCCCATCTCTACTAAAAATACAACAATTAGCCAGGTGTGGTGGCACGCACCTGGGAGCCTACTCGGGAGGCTGAGGCAGGAAAATCGCTTGAACCTGGGAGGCGGAGGTTGCAGTGAGCAGAGATTGGGCCACTGCACTCCAGCCTGGGTGACAGGGCGAGGCTCTGTCTCAAAAAAAAAAAAAAAAAAAAAAAAAAAGGGAATAAGAACCTGGGCCTCTCAGCTCCTAACCTGAGGGTCCTGTTCCTCCCACCCCGTATTACATACCACACCTTCCACTTGCCTGCCGGTGACCTTAACACGGTCACTGCCCTCTCTCAGCCTCAAGAGTCAGCCTCCCTCGGTGGCCCCCAACCTGCCCAGTGTCCTGGACAGTGAGGGGCCTGAAAGTCTAGCCTTGCTCCAGGATGCCCACCCCTACTCACCATCTAGTTCGACAGATGATGGCTGCCTTGATCTCCCCTCTGGGAGATGATAGGGTCCCACCCCTACCCCTTCTCCCCCACCCCCTCCTCAGGGGTAACCCTGCCTGCCAGTTTTGATGGAGCAAATTCACAGGTTGTGCAGGGCAACAAGGCAGTGTCCTGGCACTGTTCTAGAAGATTAGGCAGTGACCTGTGTGATGTCACCAGGAAGCAGTGACATGGAGGAGGAGTTCCAGAGACCCTCAGGGTGCAGCAGGCCGGGCGCGGTGGCTCACACCTGTAATCCCAGCACTTAGAGAAGCCAAAGCAGGCAGACTGCATGAGGCTAAGAGCTCAAGACCTGGCTGGGTAACATGGTGAAACCCCGTCTCTACTAAAAATTTAAAAATTAGCTGGGCGTGGTGGTGCACACCTGAGGTCTCAGCTAGTCAGAAGGCTGAGGCAAGAGGATGGCTTGAGCCCGGGAGATCAAGGCTGCAGTGAGCTGAGATGTTGCCACAGCACTCCAGCCTGGGTGACAGAGCAAGACTCTGTCTCCAGTTAAAAAAAAAAAGGAAAAAAAAGGTTCAGCACCAAGAACTCTGAGGCCCCCAGGGCTGGCTCGGCCTTGAGAGGGATGTGTCCTTCACAGTGGCGATAGGTGTTCCATCCCAGTCCCACCTGGAGCCGGATCTAAGTGTTTGCCCAGGGTGGGTCTCATACCTTGCTGGGCCTCACTGAGCAAACAGCTCACACCTGCCCTTAGGGAGCTGCTGGAGCCTCAGGGAGCCACACTGTAGTGCGCAGCCTCAAAGTCAGTGCAGGTCAGGGTCACCCCCACCTGCACTTCTCCTAATGTCCTGTCACAGTCCCATACAGAAACACTCCACCTTGGTATTACACAGGGCCAGACCTACACAGCTACACACACTTGATCATGCCAGGCCACACATGGCACCAAAGTGGAGTTGCCAGATAAAATACAGGACGACAGCCAGGTGCAGTGGCTCACACCTGTAATCACACCTATAATTCCAGTGCTTTGAGATGCTAAGGTGGGAAGACTGCTTGAGGCCAGGAGTTGGAGACCAGCTTAGGGAACATAGTGAGACGCCATCTCTACAAAAAAATGTAAAACTTAGCTGGGCATGGTGGCACATGCTGGTAGTCCCAGCTACTAAGTAGGAGCCTGAGGTGAGAGGATCACTTGAGCCCAGGAGTTCGAGGCTGCAGTGAGCTATGATCGTACTACTGCACTCTAGCCTGGGTGACAGAGAGAGACCCTGTGTCCAAAAAAAAAAAAAAAAAAAAAGGAAATGGGACAGCTGAGACACAGAGAGGCTAAGTAACTTGTTCTAGACCACACACCACTAAGTAAGCAGTTTCAACCCAGATGGCCTGGCCAAGCCATTATACAAGACCACTGAGCAGGGAACTTTGTGGCATCTGTCCTGCTTCCTCTTCCAGCCTTCTCCCCACCCCATCCTCTGATCCCTGCACCTCTGAACCCTGGGAGCTGCCCTCTGGGCCTCGCAGGGGCCGTTGCCTCCCCTAGGCTCAGGGGAGGGAGAAGTCTAGCTGCAATCCCTACCGCCACCACCATACAGGACTTCAGAGTTGACAGAATCCCCAGCAGGTGGGGAGGCCTCTTGACAGGAGAACAGGCCTAGAGAGGGCCAGAGGCTTGTCCCAGGTGGGCAGGGCCTGAAACAGAACCAGGTGGATTCTCCTTCCGGAGGGTTCCCAGGCCCAGATGGCCACACCCCGCTCTGCCTGCTGGGTCCTCCCGCTGTCGATGTCTATTGGACACTGGCGCCTGCCAGGAACTCAGTTCGATTGCGGGGTCGATGCGTCCTTCCAAAAGCCCGGGAGTTTCCTGTCAGAGGCGCCTGATCCATCTGCCTGACCCCAGGCCCTCCCTTCAGCTCTGTGCTCAGGCTGGGTGGGGGTGGGGGCATCGGTGTCTTGTGTCTTCAGGAAGGACAAGGTTGTCTAGGCCTTCCTCCACCAAGGTGGGCAAGAACTCCAGCCCTGGGACCACAGCTTCTTTTCTGGCAACCCACACAACTTCCTTCTTTTGGTTTCTTCTTCTTTTTTATCTCAAAGTTGGGGCCTCAGTGTCCTGACTCAGTACAGTTTCCACCTCCTGGAACTGGTGGGGACTCTGGGGAGGGCTCAGGGACACCGTTTGGGTGATAGGAGAGGTTTGGGGGGGGCAGCCCCAAAACATAGCCTAGACTGTTACTGTTCCTGAGGGAAGGGGCTCCTCTGGGAGGCTTTGTGGCCTGAGTGCTGTGGGCCTGCTTGGGGATCCTGGACCTACCCAGGGAGATAGCATGGCCTCAGGTATAGACCAGCTTCCATACCCAGGGACCATACGCTGGGACATTTGGGGTAGGGTCTTCTCTCACTGGGCCTTATTTTCCTTATCTGTCCGATGGCACTAATGGTCCCTGCCTGACCTTCTGCCTGAAGGGGTTACGAAGGTGAGACCAAGTGTGAAAGGCACCTACTGTGCCCAGTGCCCCTCCCTAGAGAGGGTGTGCAGAGCCGTGTGTGAGTGACAACCTACAGACCTCTGTCACCTCGGTGCTGGTGTGCACATTCTCCAGGAGCACGAGTGACTGAGGCCTATGTGGGAGCTGGGGTGTGGCTGTGTCGCACTGCAAGGTTTCTCAATGTGGGTGAGGCAGTGCCTTGGGTGTAAGATTACCAGATTTAGCAAATATTTGGGATGTACTTATAGTAAAAATGTATTTGTTGCTTATCTGAAATTCAGCCTTTTTTTTTTTTTAGATGGCGTCTCACTCTGTTGCCCAGGCTGGAGTGCAGTAGCACGATCTCAGCTCACCACCACCTCCCAGATTCAAGTGATTCTCCTGCCTCAGCCTCCCAAGTAGCTGGGACTACAGGCATGCGCCACCACGCCCGGCTAATTTTTGTATTTTTAGTAGAGATGAGGTTTCACTATGTTGGCCAGGCTGGTCTCAAACTCCTGACCTCGTGATCTGCCTGCCTCAGCCTCCTAAAGTGCTGGGATTACAGGCGTGAGCCCCTGCTCCCAGCCCATTTTTTTTTAAAAGATAGGATCTTGCTCTGTTGCCCAGACTGGAGTACAGTGGTGCAATCATAGCACACTACAGCCTTGAAATCTGGGACTCAAGTGGTCCTCTCTCGTCAGCCTCCTGAGTAGCTGGGACCACAGGTGTGCACTGCCACGCCCAGCTAACTTTGTAATTTTTTGTAGAGATGGGGTCTCCCCAGGCTGGTCTCGAACTTCTGGCCTCAAGCAATCCTCCTGCCTTGGCCTCCCAAAGTGCTGGGATTATAGGTGTGAGCCATTGTGTCTGGCCTCAGTTGTTCCATCTAAGTTGGGTGGACTAATAGAATTTCTGTCATG
Source organism: Homo sapiens (assembly GCF_000001405.40). Taxonomy (NCBI): domain Eukaryota; kingdom Metazoa; phylum Chordata; class Mammalia; order Primates; family Hominidae; genus Homo; species Homo sapiens. The sequence goes on from NC_000011.10 coordinate 72,789,194, forward strand.
ACAATGAGGATGAAGTGAGTTAATCCCGTGGAGTGCTTAGCACAGTGCCTGGCACACAGTGAGTGCTCAATAACTGCCACAGCTACTATCAGTTCTCAGTTCCTGAGCTTCCTTCCGCCAGGTCTGGCATCTGTCTCCGAGGCCTGGCCTCTGTCCTACATCTTTGTTCCTCAGTCTGGAGGCAATGATTTCTTTCTCCTGAGTGGGGTTAACCTAGAGCCTGGAGGGTTGAGAGGGAAGAGAGGTAGCTGAAATGACATCTTGTCCCCCTCCCTCACCCCCAATCCAAGCAGAGCTGCGAAAGGCCTGGTGTCAATGGCATTTGCTCCTTGCACCCACACAGCCCCTCCTCAATGTCTGACAGCTGCATGCTGGGACAGCAGTGAGGCACAGGGGGTCTGGCCATGTCTAGCCAGAGGGCAGCATGGCACTGAGAGGTCCACATTCCAGGGGCTGGCTCCCAGGACCGCGTGAGGACTGGTGTGGGTGGAATTCTCTAGGGGCTCTGTCTGAGAATGGGGCTGAAGGCTCTGCCCTGGGTCAAGGTTCACCCTAGGTTCCAAACCCACACCTGGAACAGGCCTGCAGCAGGCTCAGCTTCCATGGGCACTGCTATCTGGGGACTCCTGCCAACCACTGCTCCCTGCCGTGAGTCCCTGGTGTTCTGGGTCAGCAGGTATCTCCACAGGCTTCCCGGGGGAAGACTGCCTCTTTCAGCACCTTCTAAATTTAGGGCTTGGGCTCCGTGACTCACTCCTCTGAGCCTGCTTTGCTCCCCTCCTCCAGGAATGTGCTCCCACAGGATCTGCATCCTCTGCTGCCTCAGACTGATGAAGGCCCCACAATCCTGCAGCAGCCACACGCACACCAAGGAGAGCTCTCGGCCCCACTCGCCCCAGACCGGCCCTGGGTTTCTCCCGACTGGGCCCTGTACTCTCCTTCCCTTACCTCTCCATCTTCCCAACCCTCCCTGCAAACCACAGCCCACCCAGGTGGCTACATTGGGAGCTGGCTCCAAGCATGACTATGAGGGTAGTGGGGGGAGGAGAGGTGGAATCAAGCCCTGCCCCCTCCCATGTGGCTGTGGGCAGAGCCCTCACCTGAAGTCAGGAGGCTTGAGTTCTGGACCAGACTCACGCTTACCTCGCCGTGGGGCTCTCAGTGAGTTCTGGCCTCTCTGGGATTCTCTTTCCTCCTCTATAAATAAGGAGTTTGAACCAGACTTCCATTAGGGAAGCTTGAAACAGAGCTAAAGTGAGCACAGGGCCAGGCCTCCAACTACTAACAAGGTGGGCCGGGGGGGTATCTGATGTCAGGCCCTGTCTCCCACCCAGGCGCCCCTCTTCCCCCAGCCCCTGCTCCATGAGGGGAAACGAGGACCAAGAACCTGCTGTTAGCATTCATGGACTTCTGCCATGCAGGGAGGAAGCTCATGCACAACCCCACACCCTGAAAGGGCCAGAAAGAGCCCAGGATCTTGTTCTGGTCTGACTGTCCAGGGCTGTAATGTGTAGCTTTGAGTAAAAACCATCTTCACTCTTGGCCTCAGGTTGTGGGGAAGAGAATCATGTGCATGTGCAGGTGTAAACACTCGAGACATTTCTCCCCTGCCAGCTTCCCAGAACTGGAGGAGGAGATGGGGACATGGGTCCTCCCTTGACTTTCAGAAATGCAGGCACCCAGGGCAGGGTGTGGAGGTATCTAGAGATGGTCAGACCTGGGGCTGCTGCTTCTCTGCCCCTGCATTGACTTTTGGAGAACCCCATCTGCGGCCTGCCTCGACCTGTGTTCACAAGTAACAACAGTGGCTAACAGTTACTGAATGCTTACCACGGGCCTGGTGCTGGTCTATGCACTTAACAGGTCTTAACTCATTTAATTTATAGGTAAACCTTGATAACAGGTCTTAACTCATTTAATTTATAGGTAAACATTGAGACAGTCCCAAGGCTTAGCATCCCCACTTTACAGACAATTTGAGGCTCAGAGAGGGGCAGGGACTCACCTGGGGTCACAGTCTTAAATCACTGGGAGGGCTGGTTAAAAGCCAGGTCTGAGGGCAATCCTGGCTTCTATTTGCTACCCCAAGGTAGTCCTTCTCGGAGTATACATTAGACACTAAATAAATGTTTGATGAAGATGTTTGACTACTGCCATGTAATGGAAAGATCCCTGTCGTAGTCCAGTTCTACCCCAACTCCTTGTGTGTCCTTAATAGAGTCCTTTTCTGGCCGGGCGTGGTGACTCATGCCCATAATCCCAGCACTTTGGGAGGCCGCGAATGGATCACCTGAGGTCAGGAGTTTGAGACCAGCCTGGCCAACATGGTGAAACCGTGTCTCTACTAAAAATACAAAAAATTAGCCAGGCATGGTAGTGGGCACCTGTAATCCCAGCTACTTGGCAGGCTGAGGCAGGAGAATTGCTTAAACCCAGGAGGCGGAGGTTGCAGTGAGCCAAGATCGCACCCTTGCACTCCAGCCTGGGCAACAAGAGTGAAATTCCGTCTCAAAAAAAAAAAAAGAGGTCCTTTTCCTTCTTTAGCCTCAGTTTCTCTGGCTGAAAAACAGAAATGATAAGTGAAGGCCCAGATAATTAAATGCTTGGAGGTGAATCCAAGATCCACCTCCAGATAATTCCATTGAATTATCTTGGATACCTTTTTGTTGTTGTGTTTTGTTTTGTTTTGTTTTGTTTTGAGACGGAGTTTCGTTCTTGTTGCCCAGGCTGGAGTGCAATGGCACCATCTCGGCCCACGACAACCTCCGCCTCCTGGGTTCAAGCGATTCTTCTGCCTCAGCCTCCCGAGTAGCTGGGACTACCGGCATACACCACCACACCTGGCTAATTTTTTTTTTTTTTTTTTTTTTTTTTGAGACAGAGTCTTACTCTGTCAGCCAGGCTGGAGTACAGTGGCGCCATCTCGGCTCACCGCAAGCTCCGTCTCCCGGGTTCACGCCATTCTCCTGCCCCAGCCTCCCGAGTAGCTGGGACTACAGGTGCCCGCCACAACGCCCGGTTAATTTTTTTTTTTGTATTTTTAGTAGAGATGGAGTTTCTCCACTTTGGTCAGGCTGATCTCAACCCCCAACCTCAGGTGATCCGCTCGCCTCAGCCTCCCAAAGTGCTGAGATTACAGGCGTGAGCCACCGTGCCTGGCCTATCTGGGATATCTTGAAGGATCTTGGATTTCTATTTCTACATATACCTGCCTTTCATGACTTGCCTGGGGAGGCCCAATCTGTAATGAGACCTCAGGGTCTCCCAGCCCTTCCCCCAACCTACCCCCAAAACCTCTAAGAGCACTCTAGAGAGAATCAGCTGCATACAGCCCAGCTCCACCGCTCCAAGGGTCAGAGAAAAGTCCCCTTCCCTGGGGTTAGCTGCATGATCCTGCAGGTGCCATGGTGTGCCTAGGTGCCACCTCGCTTCACCTGGCTGGGGAGTGGCTCCTAGACCTCAGCTCAATGCGCATCACTTCCCCTTCTCATCAGCCAGGCCAGCCCAGGTATCACCTCCAGCTCCACTGCCCCCAGATGGAGTTACCTGAGTACCCAATTCCTCCCAAGCTCAGAAACAGTGTCCACTGCCTTCCCACTCCTTTCCATTCAGAGTCTGTCCCCTTAGTGCTGCCCCCTCATCTGTCACACCTGGGTTCTTTCCCTTACTTGGGCCACTGACCTGAGAAGCAGGGTCTGTACAGCTCCAGCAACACTCTCCTCTTCCTCCAGAATTCTCCAGATCCTCCTCAGCTTCTTGGCTCTGGTGCTCATCTCAACACAGCAGGGTCTTCCTCCATCAGGCCAAGGTGGGGGTAGGAGAAGAATTGGGAACAGGGACTCCCCTAGGTTCTCAGGGTACAGTCAGTCAATCTAAGCCTGTATCCAACAAAGACACTGACCCCTGGGGTACAAGGAAGGGCTCCAGGCCCAAAGGCAGGAGGATTAGGCTTTAGCTCTTGCTCACAGCCTGCTGAGACCTGGGGCAAGCCCCTGTCCCTCTTTGGGCCCTCAGGTTTGCAATTTGCAGAATGAGGAAATGGGTTCCTCAATCTACAATCACCTGACTATAATAATATTTTGCCTTTATATACCGCGTGGGTAAATTCCTGAAAGTAAACTAAGCTGTTTTCACCCCTGGATCTCATTTGATCCTCCCAACAGCCTGTTTGCATTTACAAATGAGAAAGCTCAGTTCCCTAAGGGAACAAAATTACCCAAAGTCACACAGCAAGCTGGAAGCAGAGCCTGGGTGCAGTCCTTGAATCCTGATCCTTCCCTGGTCCTTTACTCTCTATGATGCTGGAAATCTGCCTGACTTCCTCTAACCTGTTGTCCCATTTGTAAAAGGACTGTTGTGAGGACTGAATTAGGAGAGGCGATGAAGAGGGTCATTCCTTGTGAATCATAAAAGAAAGGACCACAGAACGATGACTGGACCGTTAGGTTACTATTTATTACGGTTATCTTCGCTCAGGCGCCCCCACGTGTCGATCCCGAGACTCTCGGCTTGCGCAGGCGCTCTTTGGTGTTTACAGCGGCCGCGAAGCCCCGCGTTTGCGCGTGCGCTTCCCGCCCGGGACCGCCCAGAGGTCCCGGACTAGGGGCGGACTAGGGGCCGCTCTGCCTCCCGCCCCCTAGTGGTTGTGGCCGCTCTGTCACCACGGCTCCCGGGGCCTCTGTCGGCTCCACTTTGGTTGAGACGTCTCCACAGCCCAACAACGGCGGCGATCTGAGGAGAGGCAGGAGAAAATACGGCGCGCTCGGCATCGTCCTTCTGACCGGGGACTCCAGCATCTCAGTCATCGCGTCACCAAGCCCCACGTGCAGGTTCTGGCATCCATCATGGCAAACTGGAGACCGCGGTGAATTCCACCGGAATGGCGCGCGCATTGCCACATGGGAACTGTAGTTCTTGGCTAGGACCTTTCTGGGGCTGGGCCGCTGGAAAAACTACATTTCTCAGGAGCTCAAGAGTCAGGCTGACAGAAAGGGGGCCCGCGGCATGTTGGGAGATGGAGTTTGGGGGGTTCGTGCTAGCAGGGAAACAGTGAAGCAATGGAGCCAAGTGTTCTGAGCCTGGGCCTGTGGGTTTGAGTTGGGCAGGAGTTACACAGTAGCTCTTATAAGAGAGGAGTAGCATTGTTGCGGCTTTTAGAAAGAATGCTACTTATTAGTTGTGTGATCTGAGCGATCAAGACAAATGCCCCTTTATCTTTTTTATTTATTTATTTTTTGAGACAGGGTCTCTGTCTGTCAGGCTGGAGTGCAGTGGCCCCAGAACTGCTGGCCTCCCGCCTCACCCTCCCAAAGTGCTGGGATTATAGGCGTGAGCCATCAGGCCTGGCCAGATGCCTTTTTATCAACTACGATGGACCTTAAGGTTAAGGTTAAGGAAACAAACGTTGCCTACCTCAGGGCTCAGCTGTCAGCTGGCATGGCAACTTCTTAAATTTCTACTGCTGCCAGAAAAACCACACTCTTACTAAACCCCTAGCAATAGGAGCTATCATGCAAATTGTCAGACTCTTCTTTACTGAGATTTACAACTCAGACCACTACAACGCTGATCGACAGAGGACAGGCCTTACAAACATTCTTTCCTGATAAGTAACTGCAGACCTCAGGCCAGTTTCAGCAAGCTCATAGAGACTGCACGCAAACTGTGTTTGTGTCCTATAGTCCACCTTATGATGCAAAGAACCAAATTCCACCTCACTTTAACGCAAAAACCCCATCCCAAAGTGAACATGGAACATATGTTACAGGTGTTTACCCATTGTGCATGCACTCACATCCCCTCATAAATATGTATAGCTTTTCCCCAAAACCTGCTGAATATGTATGATTATTGTGAAATACAGACCCTGTGAGTCATAAACCAGCCTAGGCCGGGAGTGGTGGCTCACGCCTGTAATCCCAGCACTTTGGGAGGCCAAGACGGGCGGATCACGAGGTCAGAAGATTGAGACCATCCTGGCTAACATGGTGAAACCCCGTCTCTACTAAAAATACAAAAAAATTAGCTGGGTGTGGTGGCGGGCGCCTGTAGTCCCAGCTACTCGGGAGGCTGAGGCAGGAGAATGGCATGAACCTGGGAGGTGGAGGTTGCAGTGAGCCGAGATCGCACCACTGCATTCCAGCCTGGGCGACTGAGCGAGACTCCGTCTCAAAAAACAAAAACAAAAAACAACCAGCCTGCCTTTTCCCTATACAAAGAGAGAGCACCTTTGGTACCTACAGGAGAGTGTCTCTTTTCAGTTTGCAAACTGATGTCGCTAATGAAACTGCCCTCTACTATTTAGGCATCCTGGTGTTCTAGAGGGTAGCAGTCTGCACCTCTCACAGGGCTTCCTCTTCCATCACTCCTCAGAGACTGTATTCACAGGGGTCACCTGTGTGTGAGATGCAGTTTGTCTTTTTTGGGGGGAGGGCAGGGGCTGTTCGTTTGTGGTTTTTTTTTTGTTTTTTGTTTTTTTTTTTGAGACGGAGACTTGCTCTGTCATCTAGGCTGGAGTGCAGTGGCATGATCTGGGGCTCACTGCCAGCTCCGCCTCCCGGGTTCATGCCATTCTCCTGCCTCAGCCTCCTGAGTAGCTGGGTCTACAGGCACCCGCCACCACGCCGGGCTAATTTTTTTTTTTGTATTTTTTTAGTAGAGATGGGGTTTCACCGTGTTAGCCAGGATGGTCTCGATCTCCTGACCGTGTGATCCGCCCACCTCGGCCTCCCAAAGTGCTGGGATTACAGGTGTGAGCCACTGTGCCCGGCCTTGTTTTTGTTTTTTTGAGACAGGGTCTCATTCTGTCACCCAGGCTGGAGGCAAGACCATTGTTCACTGCAGCCTGGACCTCCTGGGCTCAATCTATTCTCCCACCTCAACCTCCTGAGTAGCTGTGTTTATAGGCACACACCACTACACCTGGCTAATTTTTTTTTAATTCTCACTTTAATTATGTTTTGCCTTTTTTTTTTTTTTTTTTAGATGGAGTCTTATTCTGTCACCCTGGCTGGAGTGCAGTGGCTCACTGCAACGATCTTGGCTCACTGCAACCTCCGCCTGCCAGGTTCAAGGGATTCTTCTACTTCAGCCTCCCAAGTAGCTGAGATTACAGGCGCACACCAACACGCCCAGCTAATTTTTTTTTTTTTTTTGAGAAGGAGTCTTGCTCTGTCGCTCAGGCTGGAGTGCAGTGTCGTGATCTTGGCTCACTGCAACCTCTGCCTCCTGGGTTCAAGAGATTCTCCCGCCTCAGCCTCCTGAGTAGCTGGGATTACAGGTGCTCACCACCATGCCCAGCAATTTTTTTTTTTGTATTTTTTTAGAGACGAGGTTTCACGCTGTTGGTCAGGCTGGTCACGAACTCCCGATCTCATGATCCACCCACCTCGGCCTCCCAAAGTGCTGGGATTACAGGCGTGAGCCATCATGCCTGGCCTAATTTTTGTATTTTTAGTAGAGATGGGGTTTCACCATGGTGGCCAGGCTGGTCTCAAACTCCTGACCTCAGGTGATCCCCCTGCCTTGGCCTCCCAAAGTGCTGGAATTGCAGGTGTGAGCCACCGCGCCCAGCCTAATTTTTTGTGATTTTTGTAGAGACAGGGTTACGCCATGTTGCCCAGGCTGGTCTCAAACTCTTGAGTTCAAGGGATCCTCCTGCCTTGCCTCCCAAAGTGCTGGGATTACAGGCGTGAACCACCCCACCTGGTCTCAAACTCCTCTTTGGAAAAAAAGTATGGGCCACAGATTCTACTGTGGCTGTTGTCTCTTTCCCAGGTTTGTCCTCAACCATGGTAAAATAAATCTCTAAACTGATAGAGACCTGTCTCAGGTACTTTTTGGTTTACAAAATTGTATTAATAGGCCGGGTGCAGTGGCTCACGCTTGTAATCCCAACACTTTCAGAGGCCAAGGCATGGGGATCACTCGAGGCCAGGAGTTCGAGACCAGCCTGGCCAACATGGCGAAAACTTGTCTCTACCAAAAATACAAAAATTAGTCAGGCATGGTGGTGCACACCTGTAATCCCAGCTACTTAGGAGGCTGAGGCAGGAGAATCGCTTGAGCCTGGGAGGTGGAGGTTGCAGTGAGCCGAGATTGTGCCACTGCACTCTGCACTCTGGCCTGGGCAACAGAGTGAGACTCTGTCTCAAAAAAAAAAACAATTTTTTAAAAATTATATGAATAAGAATGAGGCCGGGTGCTGTGGCTCATGCCTGTAATCCCAGCACTTTGGGGAGGCTGAGATGGGCAGGTCACTCGAGGTCAGGAGTTCGAGACCAGCCTGGCCAACATAGCGAAACCCTGTCTCTACTAAAAATACAAAAATTAGCTGGGCATGGTGACACGTGCCTATAGTCCCAGCTACTCGAGGCTGAGGCAGGAGAACTGCTTGAACCCGGGAGACAGAGGTTGCAGTGAGCTGAGATCATGCCACTGTACTCCAGCCTTGGTGACAGAGTGAAACTCCAGCTCAAAAAAAAAAAAAAAAAAGAAAAAGAAAAAGAAAAACACTTGCTTGGAAGATCTAAGTCACTAAATAGACAGGGTTTATAATGCAGGTACAGAGATCCAGGTAAGGAAGTTTTGAACACAATATTCTACATCTATCTTATTTTTTCCAAAGAAACAGGACTGTAGGTCCTGTGGCAGTCCAGAACTGATGCCAGCCCCTTTATACACAGTTCTGCTTTGCTTTGAGCCTATCAAAATATTGCTTCATTTAAATTTCACCTCATCTCCACCCCCTCCCAAACCCTGTAAAACTATCTTCCTTTGTGCTTAGTGGGACACTCCTTGGTTTCTCCAGTGTGCTGTCTGTCTCATTACAAGGGGACAAGAAACCTGACTTCATCAAACCATGGGTTTGTTCCTTGGTGGTCTTGGCTGATTGGGCTAGGACAGCCTGAAATACTGGTGTCCTCCAGGTCTGCCACAGACCCTCTCTTTACTCTGCACACTTTTTTGGGATGACCTCATTCACTTCCATCCATATGCTTATAGCCCCCAAACCTCCAGCTCAGGCCTTCTTCCTGCCTCTAGGACATCTCCCTCTGGTCGACTCACAAGTTCCTTAAACTAGGTGTGTTCAAAACTGACTTTTTTTTTTTTTTTCTGACTCTTTGGTTGGAGGGCAGCTACTCCTCACTGGGCCAGGTCCCTCTTTACCCACTGCCCACAAACTGCGTCACATTGAATCGGCTGTTTTTCACATAGATCAATATCCTAAAACCTTAGAAAGCTGGGAGGATTTCAAGGTGGGGGAAGGTAGAAACTGGGCCCGATTTGCTCCACCCCCTCATCCCTGTCTCTTGACAAGGGGTTGGGCCTCAAGGTGGAGGCTGCAGAGGAGGTCCCGCCTTTCTACCCCTTCTCCTGATCTGAGCTCTCATGGTCTCCTACCTTGAAGACTTTCTAGTCAGTTTCCCCACCCCCTCCAGTCTTGATCCCTTCTTGTGTCTTGGGAATTTCACAGCCACCTCTCTTCTCTGATCCTGGTGGCTTTCTCCTGGGGTCAGCTGAGATCTCTGCAGAGGGGCAGCCTGTGGCCTATCTGCTGCTGGGAGGGGGAGTACTGTGACAGGAAGCTTCCCTGTGGCTGTGCCTGGTTTTCCTTCTAACACTTCTTGAAACCAAACACACTTCCATAGAGGGTCTAACTTCTTTGTGAGGGGATCCTCTTGCCACTTCATCCCAATCCACCTCTGCCACGTCTCATACCAAACAAATTTGTATTCCTTTTATTCACATGACTTTGACCTGGCTTCTTTTAAAATAATATGGGGTCATCTTCCTCTCTCTTGCCTTTTTTTTTTTTTTTTCTGAGATGGAGTTTCGCTCTGTCACCCATGCAGAGTGCAGTGGCACAATCTCAGCTCATTGCAACCCCTGCCTCCCAGGTACAAGTGATTCTCCTGCCTCAGCCTCATGAGTAGCTGGGACTACAGGCATGCACACCGCCATGCCTGGCTAATTTTTTGTATTTTTAGTAGAGATGGGGTGTCACCATGTTGGCCCGGCTGGTCTTGAACTCCTGACCTCAAATGATCCACCTGCCTTGGCCTCCCAAAGTGCTGGGATTACAGGCATGAGCCATTGCGCCTGGCATCTCTTGCCCATTTCGAAGCATTTTCCACATTAGCCAATATTGAATGATGCTTGATTCTTCCCTTGGGGGGAGGAAAGGTATAATTTCAGTTCACTCCATCCCAAACACTGTTTTCCCTTTAAGGTGTCAACCTAAATAACAGAGAGGCTCTTTAAAAGAAAATGACGTTTATTTGGGAATAGAACATCGCAATGGGAATACACATGCTATAGAAACCAGTGTGTATTCAGGGAGGTAAATGAAGACAAATGTTTTCAAAGGGAAAAAATGAGGAGGATTATATAATTGTTTTGAAATAATTATGCTTGGCTACAGAGATCAGGTGACACCAGTCTGGGGTTAGCCAGGCAGTTGCTGGGCAGATTCCCTCACAGAAGTATTTTTATTTTTTTTAATTAATTAATTTTTTCTTTTTTTGTGTGGAAGGTTGCAGGTTGTGGTTTTTATAGTCGTTTGTGATTGTTTTTCTTTTCTTTTCTTTTTTTTTTTTTTTTTGAGACAGAGTCTGGCTCTGTCGCCCAGGCTGGAGTACAGTGGTGTAATCTCGGCTCACTGCAACCTCCACCTCCTGGGTTCAAGCGATTCTCCTGCATCAGCCTCCCGAGTAGCTGGTATTACAGGCGTGTGCGACCGTGCCTGGCTAATTTTTGTATTTTTGGTGGAGACAGGGTTTCGCCATGTTGGCCAGGCTGGTTTCGAACTCCTGACCTCAAGTGATCCTCCTGCCTTGGCCTCCCAAAGTGCTGGGATAACATGTGTGAGCCACTGTGCCCGACCTGTGATTGTTTTTCTTTTTCTCTTTTTTTTTTTGAGATGGAGTTTCACTCTTGTCACCCAGGCTGGAGTGTGATGGCACGATCTTGGCTCACTTGGGTTCAAGTGATTCTCCTGCCTCAGCCTCCCAAGTAGCTGGGACTACAGGTGTGTGGCACTACACCTGGCTAATTTTTTTTTTTTTTGTATTTTTAGTAGAGACGGGGTTTCACCATTTTGGCCAGGCTAATCTTGAACTCCTGACCTCAAGTAATCCACCTGCCTCAGACTCCCAAAGTGCTGAAATTACAGGCGTGAGCCACCATGCCTGGCCTGTGATTATTTTTCTTAGGAGGCATATAAGCATAACAATTCTCTCTTCATATCCTTCCCTGACCGTACTGTCAGGGTTTTTTTTTTTAAGTTAATTAATTAATTAAGCTGCTAAGTTCTAGGTAATTTGTGCTAAAATAAATTATTAAAATTAATTGATTAATTTTTTTTTTTGGAGATAGGGTCTCACTCTGTCGCCCAGGCTGGAGTGCAGTGGCACGATCTCGGCTCACTGTAACCTCTACTGCCTGGGCTCAAGTGATCCTCCCCCTTAGCCTCCTGAGCAGCTGGGATTACAGGTGTGCACCACCATGCCTGGGTAATTTTATAATTTTTTGTAGAGACAGGGTCTTGCCATGTTGCCCAGGCTGGTCTTGAACTCCTGGGCTCAAGCAATCCTCCCACCTCAGCCTCCTGAAGTGCTGGGATTGCAAGTATGAGCCACCACACCCAGCCTTGTTTTTTTTTTAAATACTAGTGACCTCTGTTTGGTATGGCTGTTTTTTTTTTTTTTTTTTTTTTTTTTGAGATGGAGTCTTGCTCTGTCGCCCAGGCTGGAGTGCAGTGGCACGATCTCGGCTCACTGCAAGCTCTGCCTCCTGGGTTCACACCATTCTCCTGCTTCAGCCTCCCGAGTAGCTGGGACTACAGGCACCCGCCACCACGCCCGGTGAATTTTCTTTTTGTATTTTTAGTAGAGATGGGGTTTCACCGTGTTAGCCAGGATAGTCTAGATCTCCTGACCTCATGATCCACCTGCCTCAGCCTCCCAAAGTGCTGGGATTACAGATGTGACCCACCGCGCCTGGCGTTTTTTGTTTTTTTTGAGACAGGGTTTGCCTCTGTTGCCCAGGCTGGAGTGCAGTGGCGTGATCAGGGCTTACTGCAGGCTTAGCCTCCTCCTGGGCTCAAGTGATCCGCCCACCTCAACCTCCCAAAGTGCTGGGATTATAGGTGTGACCCACCGCTCTGGGCCAAGTGACTCCATTTTGATTCTGGCAACTTTCATAAAATAATAGTGAATAGTGAGTGCATGTGGTATGCACACAAGGTCAGGGAGTGCTGAGACCCCATTAGCAACTGCTATGGTCTGAATGTTGGTATCACCCCAAAATCCATACATTGGAACCTGATACCCAATGTGATAGTATTCAGACGTGGGGCTTTGGGGGAATGATTAAATCATGAGGGCTCCACCCTCATGAATGGAATTGGTGCCCTTATAAAAGAGGCTCAAGAGAGCTTCCCAGGCCTCTTCTACCATGTGGGAATAGAGAGAGAAAGCACTGTCTTTGAAGCAGACAGCAGCCCTCACCAGACACTGAATCTGTTGGTGTCTTGATCTTGGACTTCCCAGCCTCCAGAAATGTGAGCAATAAATTTCTCTTGTTTATAAATGACCCACTCTAGGGTGTTTTATTATAGTAGCCCCAAAAGACTAAGACAGCAGCCGGGCACGGTGGCTCACACCTATAATACCAGCACTTTGGGAGGCAGGTGGATCACAAAGTCAGGAGATCGAGACCATCCTGGCTAACACAGTGAAACCCCGTCTCTACTAAAAATACAAAAAATTAGCCGGGTGTGGTGGCGGGCGCCTGTAGTCCCAGCTATTCGGGAGGCTGAGGAAGGAGAATGGTGTGAACCCGGGAGGCAGAGCTTGCAGTGAGCCGAGATCGCGCCACTGCACTCCAGCCTGGGCGACAGAGAGAGACTCCATCTCAAAAAAAAAAAAAAAAAAAAACAAAAGACTAACACAGCTACAGCTGAACCCACTTTCCCCATACAATGGATGTTTTTAACCATTTCAGACTTTTAAACTGTTTAGTTTATTTTTTACCTTTAGTAGAGATGGGGTTTTGCCATGTTGCCCAGACTTGTCTCGAACTCCTGGGCTCAAGTGATCCTCCTGCCTTGGCCTCCCAAAGTGTTGGGATTACAGGCGTAAGCCACCACACCTGACCTGTTTAGTTTTTAATTCTATTAATATATTAGTTTATCATATTTAGTGGGCTATTGGTTATGGATATAAATAACTAATTAAAAAGAAGCATAAAAATAAACCTGCAAATTTGCCTCAAGCTGATTGTTACCAGATTCTTGCATTTATCTGCTCCAAACTCATATCCAGATGTCACTAAGGCTGCAAAACCACGGCTGGAAGGAAAAAAAAGTAGACATGATGATCATATCTCATTTGGTTTTTCATATACTGAGAAGAAAGCCAACCTGCCCCTAAAGGTGTCATTTGTGAAAACTGTTTGCAAACAGCAGTCTGAACGCTTAATCTCATCATTTATAATAGAAACAGAATATGGCTGGTTGAGGTGGTTCATGCGTGCAATCCCAGCGGTTTGAGAGGCCAAGGTGGGCAAATTGCTTGAGTCCAGGAATTTGAGACCAATCTGGACAACATGGCAAAAACCTTTCTCTACAAAACAAACAAACAAACAAAAAACAAAACTTAGCAAGGTGTGGTGGCACATGCTTGTGGTCCTAGCTACACGGGAGGCTGAAAATGGGAGGATTGCTTGAGCCTGGGGGTGGAGGTTGCAGTGAGCAGAGATCACGCTACTGCACTCCAGCCTGGGCAACAGCGCAAGGCCCTATCTCTAAATAAATAAATAAATAAATAAATAAATAAATAAATAAATAAAAAGCTTGGTGTGATGGCATGCCCCTGCAGGACCAGCCACTTGGGAGATTGAGGCAGGAGGATCACTAGAGTCCGGGAGGTCACGGCTACAGTGAGCTATGACCACACCACTGCACTCGATCCTGGGTGACAGACAGAGACCCTGTCTCAATTAAAAAAGAAAAAGAAGGCCTGGCACGGTGGCTCACGCCTGTAATCCCAGCACTTTGGGAGGCCGAGGCGGCCGGATCACAAGGTCAGGAGATCGAGACCATCCTGGCCAACATGGTGAATCCCCGTCTCTACTAAAAATACAAAAATTAGCTGGGCATGGTGGTGCGTGCCTGTAATCCCAGCTTCTCGGGAGGCTGAGGCAGGAGAATCGCTTGAACCTGGGAGGCAGAGGTTGCAGTGAGCTGAGATCGTGTCACAGCACTTCAGCCAGCCTGGGCAACAGAGCGTGACTCCATCTCAAAAAAAAAAAAAAAGACAAAGAAACAGAATATAACATTAGAAACAAAAATAAACCTGTCGGGTTTTAAGAAGTATTATGAAGTATTTCAGACATATACTTACAATGTCAGGACACATAGATCCAGCTCCTTCTTTGAATTGCATTGGATTCTGTCTTATGAATGTACCATGATATCTGTAACCATTCATCCTGTTGCACACTGGAGTGCAACTGCTGGGTCCAAGGATGTGCATATATATCAGTGTGTAGATGGCCAAATTGTCCTAAGAGATTAAACCAATTTACACTCCCACCAGCAACGAACAATGGACTCCCTTTTCCCCACGCTCTCACCAACTCTGAATATAGCCATGGATCACTTAACAACCAGGATACGCACTGAGAAATGCATCGTTAGGTGATTTCATCCTTGTGTGAACATCACAGTGTACTTACACAAACAGAGGGTATAGCCCACCACACACACCTTGGCTATATGATATAACCTTTTGCTCCCAGGCTATAAACCTGTACAGCATGTACTACACTGAATACTGTAGGCAACTGTAACACAATGGTTTGTATTTGTGTATCTTAACATAGAAAAGGTATAGTAAAAATACAGTCTTATAATCTTATGGGACTGCTGTCTTATCTGAAGTCTGTTGCTGACTAAAACATCCTTATGCAGTGCATGATTATATCTTGCAATGTCTTAACTTTTGCCAATATGATGAGTAAAAAAATGACCCCTCATTTGTACTTTAACTTACATTATAATTTTTTGTGGTTAACTTTTATTTTCCTTTCTTTTTTTGGGGGCATGCAAGATCAGTGAGTTTTCTTTCTCTTCTGATGATGAAAGCCATTGCTCATTTTTATATTGCGTTTTCAGTTTGGTTGATTTGTAGAAGTTCTATCTTCTGGATTTTACTACTTTGTTTTTCTGGTTTTTGTTTTTGTTTTTTGAGACAGAGTCTCACTCTTGTCGCCCAGGCTGGAGTGCAGTGGAGCGATCTTGGCTCACTGCAACCTTTGCCTCCTGGATTTAAGCAATTCTCCTGCCTCAGCCTCCCGAGTGGCTGGGATTACAGGAGCGCACCACCATGCCCGGCTAATTTTGTATTTTTAGTAGGGATGGGGTTTCACCATGTTGGCCAGGTTGGTCTCGAATTCCTGACTTCAGGTGATCCACCCACCTGGGCCTCCCAAAGTGCTGGGATTACAGGCATGAGCCACCACGCCCGGCCTACTTTGCTTTTGTTTGTTTGTTTTTTGTTTTTGTTTTGAGATGGAGTCTTCCACTGTTGCCCAGGCCAGAGTGCAGTGGTGCGATCTCGACTCACTGCAACTTCCGCCTCCTGAGTTCAAGTGATTCTCCTGTCTCAGCCTCCCAAGTAGCTGGGACTACAGGCGTGTGCCACCATGCCCAGCTAATTTTTGTATTTTTAGTAGAGACGGGCTTTCACCATGTTGGTCAGGCTGGTCTTGAACTCCTAAACTCAGGCAATCCACCCGCCTTGGCCTCCTAAAGTGCTGGGATTACAGGTGTGAGCCACTGCGCCCGGCCTCCTAAGATGATGTCATTCTTTTTTGAGTGAGGTTTAAAAAAAAAATTGTGGTAAAACATAAGTAACACAAAAATTGCCTTTTTAACCATACTTTAATTTTTTATTTTTAAGAGACGGAGTCTCACTCTGTCATCCAGGCTAGAGTACAGTAGTATAGCCATGGCTCACTGCAGACTCGACCTCCTGGGCTCAAGTGATTCTCCTGCTTCAGCCTCTCAAGTAGCTGGGATGACAGGCGCATGCCACCACGCCCCCACTAATTTTTATATATTTTGTAGATATGGGGTTTTCCTGTGTTGCCCAGGCTGCTCTCAAACTCGTGGGTTCAAGTGATCCACCCACCTCAGCATCCCCAAGTGCTAGGATTATAGGCATGAGCCACTGTGCCTGGCCACTACTATTTCTAAAACTTTTTCATCACCCCAAACAGAAATTCTGTAAACATTAAGCAATATTTCCTCGTTCCTCTTTTCCCCCTAAGCCCTGGTAACCGCTAGTCTACTTTCTGTCTCCATTAGTTTGTCTATTCTATATATTTTATTTTTTTTAATTTTAATTTCTTTTTTTTTTTTTGAGATGGAGTCTCGCTCTGTCGCCCAGGCTGGAGTGCAATGGCACCATCTCGGCTCACTGCAACCTCTGCCTCCCAGGGTCAAGCGATTCTCCTGTCTCAGCCTCCTGAGTAGCTGGGATTATAGGCGTGCATCACCATGCCTGGCTAATTTTTGTATTTTTCATAGGGACAGGGTTTCACCATGTTGGCCAGGCTGGTCTCGAACTCCTGACCTCATGATCTGCCCACCTCGGCCTCCCAAAGTGCTGAGATTACAGGCGTGAGCCACTGCGCCCAGCCTTGTTTTATTTTTATTATTACTATTTTTTGGAGAACAAGTATCCCTCCATTGCCCAGGCTGGAGTGTAATGGTGTGATCTTGGTTTACTGCAACTTCCGCCTACTGGGTTCAAGCAATTCTCCTGCCTCAGCCTCCCTAGTAGCTGGGACTACAGGTGCCTACCAACACACCTGGCTAATTTTTGTATTTTAAGTAGAGATGGATTTTCACCATGTTGGCCAGGCTGGTCTTGAACTCCTGACCTCAGGTGATCCACCTGTCTCGGCCTCCCAAAGTGTTGGAATAACAGGCATGAGCCACTGAGCCTGGCTATTCTGTATATTTTATACAAGTGGATTTATAAATCTGTCCTTTTATGTCTAACTTATTTCACTTAGCATGTTTTCAAGTTTCATCCATGTTGTATGTATCAGAATTTCATGCTTTTTTATGGCTGAATAATATTTTGTTCTATGTACACACTCATTTTGCTTATCAATTCATCTGTTGATGGACACTTACATTGTTTCCACCTTTTGGATATTGTGAATAATGCTGCTATGAACATGGGTGTATGTCTTACTCTGATTCCTGAGGCTGGGTAATTTATAAAGAAAAGAGGTTTATTTGATTCACAGTTCTGCAGGTTGTACAAGAAGCATGCCACTAGCATCTGCTTCTGGTGAGGCCTCAGGCTGCTTCCACTCACTGTGGAAGGTGAAGGGGGGCCAGGGTGTGCAGAGATCACATGACAAGAGGGGAAGCAAGAGAGAGTGAGATGGGAGGGCCAGGCCCTTTTTTTGTTTTTTTCTGAGACAGAGTCTCCCTCTGTCACCCAGGCTGGAGTACAGTAGCGTGATCTTGGCTCACTGCAACCTCCACCTCCTGGGTTCAAGCGATTCTCATGCCTCAGCCTCCCAAGTAGCTGGGACTACATGCACTTGCCACCACACCTGGCTGATTTTTTTAAAATTTATTTTTTTGTATTTTTAGTAGAGATGGGGTTTCACCATGTTGGCCAGGCTGGTCTCGAACTCCTGACCTCAAGTGATCCACCCGCCTCAGCCTCCCAAAGTGCTGGGATTACAGGAGTGAGCCACTGCTCCAGGCCTCCAGGCCCTTTTTAAACAATCAGTTCTCTGGGAACTGATAAAGTAAGAACTCACCACTCCTGCCCACCCAGGGAGGGCATTATGTCTTCATAAGGTTTCTGCCCCCATGACCCAAGCACCTCCCATTAGGCCTAATACTGGGGATCCTATTTCAACATGAGATTTGCAGGGTACAAACATCCAAACTATAGCAGCATACAAATATCTGTTCAAGTCCCTGCTTTTGATTCTTTTGATCTTGTGGATATGAACCCAGGAATGGAATTGCTGGATCATATGATGGTTGTACGTTTAACCTTTTGAGAAACTTCCAAACTATTTTCCACATCAGCTGCACCACCAGCCATTCCCACCAGCAATGCATGAGGGTTCTATTTTCTCCACTTCCTCCCTGACACTGTTATTTTATTTTAAAAAAATTACAGCCATCTCAGTAGATATAAAGTGCTAGCTCATTGTGGTTTTTTATTTGCACTTCCCTACTGATGATGTTGAGCAATTTTTCACATGCTTATTGGCCATTTGTATATTTACTTTGAAGAAATGTCTATTTATTTATTTTTGAGACAGTGTCTCAATCCATCGCCCAGGCTGGAGTGCAGTGATGTGATCGCTGCTCACTGCAACCTCTGCCTCCCGGGTTCAAGCGATTCTCCTGCCTCAGCCTCCTAAGTAGCTGGGACTACAGGCAAGTGCCACCACACCCAGCTAATTTTTGTATTTTTAGTAGATATGGTGTTTCACTATGTTGGCCAGGCTGGTCTTCAGCTCCTGACCTCAGGTGATCTGCCCGCCTTGGCCTCCCAGTGTGCTGGGATTACAGGCATGAGCCACCGTGTCTGGCCTGAAGAAATGTCTACTTAAATCCTTTGCTTGGCCAGGTGTGGTGGCTCATATCTTTAGTCTCAGGAGGCTGAGGTGGGAGGATTGTTTGAGCCCAGGAGTTTGAGGTTACAATGAGCTATGATTGTGCCATCGCACTCTAGCCTGGAGAGCAGAGTGAGACTCTGTCCAAAAAAAAAAAAAAAAAAAGAGGAAGAAGCAAAGTGTAGAAGTGTGTAAATGCTACTCTTTTTCTGTGGGTTTTTTTTGTTTTAGACAAGGTCTCACTCTGTCACCCAGGCTGAGTGCAGTGGCATGGTCACAGCTCAATGCAACCTCTGCCTCCTGAGCTCAAGTGATCCTCCCACCCCAGCCTCTGGAGTAGCTGGGACTACAGGCATGTGCCACCATGCCTGGCTAAATTTTGTATTTTTAGAAGAGACAGGGTTTCGCCATGTTGCCCAGGCTAGTCTCAGACTCCTGGGCTCAAGTGATCTGCTCGCCTCAGCATCCCAAAGTGCAGGGATTACAGGCGTGAGCCACTGTGCCTGTTCCCCTTTGTGTTTTATGTGTCGTATATGCATAAATATTTCTGGAAGTATACACTCTGTAGTGTTAGTGGTGATGCTTTTAGAGGAGGAGACTGGGAAAGTGGTGTGTGTTAGCCACAGTGATGTATCCACACCCATTTCTCTTTTCCAGGGACTATGGAAAGACTACATTTCTCAACCTTCCTAGTAGATGTGATGTCACCAGTCGGAATTGGGCAGAAGAATGTATCACTTCAGTCCAAGGCAATTAAGTGTTAGTGTCAATCTTTTCCCTCTCCCCTACCCCAATCTGAGCAGTTGGAATCAAATAACTGAGATTATGGTGATGTCAGAAGGATTTAAGTCCCTGCTGGGGGAGAACAGCACACCATCATTGTCTAATGTGGGATGAGTAAGAAATAAGCCTTTGTTGTTTTAAGCGACTGAGATTTGGAGTTTTATTTAGTATCCACATGTGGTGGATTAAAGATGGCCAGACTTTTTTGACATTCCTTTTTTAATTTTTTTTTGAGACAGTCTCATTCTGTCACCCAGGCTGGAATGCAATGGCACAATCTCGGCTCACTGCAAACTCCACCTCCTGGGTTCAAGCGATTCTCCTGCCTCAGCCTCCTGAATAGCTGGGATTACAGGCGTGCGCCACCACATCCGGCTAATTTTTGTATTTTTAGTAGAGACGGGGTTTCACCACGTTAGTCAGGCTGGTCTCAAACTCCTGACCTCAGATGATCCGCCCGCCTTGACCTCCCAAAGTGCTGGGATTACAGGTGTGAGCCATCGTGCCTGGCTTGACATTCCTTTCATTGAAGGCTGGGGCCTATGTCCCCTCTCCTTCAATCTGGGCTGGTCCGTGACTGCTTTGGTTAATAGAATGCAGAGGAAGTGATGTGTTCTAATTTCAGGGTCAAACCGTAAGAGACTGGCAGCTTTCATACTGTTGGATGCATGTTTTGGGATGCCTCCCTCTCAGAATCTAGCCACCATGTTCTGAGAAACCTAAGCCATGTGAAGGGGCCACATGTAGGTGCTTTGGTTTGCAGCTCCGACCCTCTAGCCAATAGATGGCATCTCCTGCCAGCCAAATGAGTGAGCCATCAACAGTAACCTGCCCAGCTGAGTCTTCAGGTAACTCCAGTCCTGGTGTGATCGCAGTCACATAAGCCATTCAAAGTAAGAATCACCAGTTGAGTTCAGCCAACAGTCATGGGCAATATTAGAAATCACTGTACTGCCAGGTGCGGTGGCTCACGCCTGTAATCCTAGCACTTTGGGAGGCTGAGGCGAGCAGATTGCCTGAGCTCAGGAGTTTGAGACCAGCCTGGGCAACGTGGTGAAACCCTGTCTCTACTAAAATACAAAAAATTAGCCAGGTGTGGCAGCGTGTGCCTGTAGTCCCAGCTACTCGGGAGGCTGAGGCAGGAGAATTGCTTGAATCTGGGAGGCGGAGGTTGCAGTGAGCCCAGATTGCCAAGATCATGCCACTGCACTCCAGACTGGGAGACAGAGCGAGACTCCATCTCTGGAAGAAAAAAAAAAAAAAAGAAATCACTGTAACCACAGACCAGCCTGTCCTATCCTGATCAATATGAAGGTGTGAGGCAAACAGGCTCACTTTTGTACTATTTCAATTCTTTGCTATGTGCATGTGATTGGTTTTCCAATTTAAAAAATAGCTACTTTTTTTTTTTTTAAACTGAGTCTTGCTCTTTCGCCCAGGCTGGAGTGCAATGGCACGATCTCAGCTCACTGCCACTTCTGCCTCCCAGGTTCAAGTGATTCTCCCCGCTCAGCCTCCCAAGCAGCTAGGATTATAGGCACCTGCCACCACTCCCGGCTAATTTTTGTATTTTTAGTAGAGACGTGGTTTCACTATGTCGGCCAGGCTGGTCTCGAACTCCTGACTTCAGGTGATCCACCGCCTCGGACTCCCAAAGTGCTGGGATTACAGGCGTGAGCCACTATACCCAGCCAAAAAATAGCTACATTTTTTATTTCAAAACTTCTAAGCACTGGACCATGCAAACTTTGGTTTTTTCTTTTTGATACACAGCAACAGCAATTTATTTACGGATTACCTACTCAGTTGGTGCCAAGCCTGGTTCTAGATGCTGAAGACAGAGCCTAGATCAAGATTGACTTGGTCCTGGCTTTCCTGAAGTTCCCAGCCTGGTAGAAGAGACATAATAAACAACTAGCAAACACAGAAATGTGATTCTTTCTGGGAGTATTAGGTGCTCTGAAAGGAAGAACAAGGGTGATGTGATAGACGCTGATTGGGATGGGAGCTTTTTCAGATTGGATGACAGGAAAGGTCTTCTGAAATCTGCCTGGTATGTAGGAGCTAGCCTCTAAAAGTTGTGGAGGAAGAGCACTAGGAGAGGGGTGCAGCCAGGGCAAAGCCTCCAAGGTGGGGCTAAGCTTGGCAGTGGGATTTCAGTGCAGTGAATAAGGCTAAAGAGTAGGAAGAGGTAAGATCAGTGATGTGGGCAGGGGCCAGATCAAGCAGGGCCTTGAAGGCCATGGTAAAGGGTTTGGTATTTGCTTTGACTATGCTGGAGAGCCTTTCAAGGGTTTTAAGCAAGAGGAACTTGAGATGACTTAAGATTTTTGTTTTTGTTTTTGAGACAGTCTTGTTCTGTTGCTCAGGCTGGAGTGCAGTGGCGCAATCTTGGCTCACTGAAACCTCTGCTTCCTGGGTTCAAGTGATTCTCCTGCCTCAGCCTCCCAAGTAGCTGGGATTACAGGCGTGCGCCACCATGCCTGGATAATTTTTGTATTTTTAGTAGAGACGGGGTTTCTCCATGTTGGTCAGGCTGGTCTCAAAGTCCCGACCTCAGGTGATCTGCCCACCGTGGCCTCCCAAAGTGCTGGGATTACAGGTGTGAGACACCGTGCCTGGCCTGATTTAAGTTTTTGAACAATCACTCTGGCTTCTGGGAGATGCCTAACCCAGGTGCACTTTTTTTTTTTTTTTTTTTTTTTTTTTTGAGATGGAGTCTCGCTCTGTCACCAGGCTGGAGTGCAGTGGTGCGATCTCAGCTCATTGCAACCTCTGCCTCCCGGATTCAAGCAATTCTCTGCCTTAGCCTCCTGAGTAGTTGGGATTACAGACGCCCACCACCAAGCCTGGCTTTTTTTTGGGTATTTTTAGTAGAGATGGGGTTTCACTATGCTGGCCAGGCTGGTCTTGAACTCCTGACCTTGTGATCCACCTGCCTTGGCCTCCCAAAGTGCTGGGATTACAGGTGTGAGCCACCGTGTCTGGCCTCCCAGGTGCAAATTTTAAATTACATTTTAAGTACTTTAGGGCCAGGTGCAGTAGCTCATGCCTGTAATGCTAGCACTTGGGATGCCAAGGCAGGAGGATTGCTTGAGCCCAGGAATTAGAGACCAGCCTGGGCAACATAGTGAGACCTTGTCTTTACAAGAAAAATTTAAAATGAGCTGGGCGGCTGGGCACGGTGACTCACACCTGTAGTCCCAGCACTTTGGGAGGCTTGAGGCGGGTGGATCACTTGAGGTCAGGAGCTGGAGATCAGCCTGGCCAACATGGTGAAACCCTGTCTCTACTAAAAGTACAAAAATTAGCTGGGTGTGGTGACGCATGCCTGTAATCCCACCTATTCGGAAGGCGGATGCATGAGAATCGCTTGAACCCGGGAGGAGGCGGTTGCAATGAACCGAGATTGTGCCACTGCACTCCAGCCTGGGTAACAGAGACTCTGTCTCAAAAAACAAAACAAAACAAAACAACAACAAAACCAGCGATAGTGGCATGTGCCTGTAGTCTCAGCTACTCGGGAGACTGAGGTGGAAGAATCATTTAATCCCAGGAGGATGAGGCTGCAGTGAGCCATGATTGGGCCACTGCACTCCAGCCTGGGCAACAGAGAGAGACCCTGTCTCAAAAACAAAACAGAACAAAAAAAGTGAAGTACTTTAGGTCCCCAGATTATGGTATAACATTTTTTTATATTTATTGGTCAAATCATATATCTCTTACATAAATAATTTGAGATACATTAAACAGCAAGTTAAATGTAAAAAGCAGAAATTTGTCTCCATATATTATCTAAAATTTTATTTCAAGTGATCTTTATAATACAATCTTTCATATTCTAAAAATAGAACATGAATATTTTTAGTCAAAATCAATCACTTCTTTATCATATACTACTCAAAAATGACTATTTATTTAACATTTCCTAGGTGTATTTTGTGAGTCAAAAAAGGATTAGGAAACCCCTGCCCCAATATGGCTCCTTACCTGAGAGAAACGGCATCTCTGCACCTCACAGCCAGGCCAAGCCCTGTTAATATACTCTCCCATGCACACAGCCAGAGTTCCTTATTTATATAGTGTCTCCAAGCACCCAAGAGTCCGCCAGTTCTAAAGGGAATTCATCACTGTCATCAGCTGGCCCTGGGTCTCCATGGGTACTGTGCCTGTCTCCTGGGCATGGCTTTTGCTGAACGTTACCACCCATCTTCAACACAAATACTCCTTCAAGAGACAGGTCAGGCCTGGTTTGGGGCTAGAGGTACAGAGACATCTAGGACCCAGGTCCTGCCCTAAGGGGCACCGCACAGATTACAGGATGGTGTGATAACTGGTGACGGTTATAACTCGAACTCAACTGGGGCTGGTGTCTGAGAAGCTTGAACTCAGTGTAGGGGCAGGAAAGTTCTCCTGGAGGAGGTGATGCATGATTAGGAGCCAGGCCCCCTAGAGGCGACGATGTTCCAAACATCAGGCTCGGCCTGTGCAAAGGCCATGGGCGTCTAAGACAATGACATGTGGGGGACTGAGCCCAGCTCACTGGAAGCAGAGCAGGCTACACTGACCTGGGGGCGTCTAGGCCTTCACTGCTTTCTACGTCCTCTGACCCATCCCCATCAGAATCTCAACAGACTCGTCACCTCCAGGGCCTGCACTGCTCTCCCATCGTTGCCCAACTTCTCTCGTTCCCTAGGGATGTTCAAGTCTGCCAACACTCAGAGGGCAGGGCCTGCTGGCATGCCCCAGGGTGAGGCTGTGCCCAGCGAGTCCCTCCTTTCGTGTCTCACAGTAGCCTGAGCCTGCAGAGCTGGCTCTCTAGCATCTAGCTAGAGACGGTTTGACCACAGTTCCCTGCGACCCATGATTCACTTTCGAGGGTACCCACAAGAGATGTGTCTGCTCCTCCAGACGCCGCCCAATGGGGTGAAGCGTCTGGCCCTGAGTCAGGATGCTGGGGTGCTGGCCGTCTCAGCTACCCACTCCTTTGCAACCCCAGGCAAGCAAGCTCGTTCTCTCCTCCCGGCCAGGGGCTTTCTAGATGAAATCAGCTGCACCCCTTTACTCTCAGGGACCTAAAATTTCGGCGACCATGTGGAGCCGTAAACCCTTCTGCCTCCTGTCCTCCCAGCCCCGCACCCACCTGGCGTTTTCGTGTCACGGAACCTCTGCACGTGCTCTTCTCGAGGCCTAGAGTCCCTCTCTCCCTCTGGCCAACTCCTATTTCATCCCTCACAGACCCAACTCGAACGCCATCATCCCCGGAAAGCGGGGATTCCTCCCTTCAGTCTCTGCTTCCTTATCTTGCTGTCCTGCTGCGCCGCGCCCTCAGTGTACGCGCAGAGCCCGGGGCTGAGGGCCTCTGGGTCCCTGGCTGGGTGCGCGGCCAGGAGCGCGACGGCCTGGGAAGCACCAGCGGCTCTCGAACTCGGCCCGGGCGCGGCGGGGTTAAGACACCCGGGCCTTGAGGGCCCCGCCTCCGGAGCGCTCCACCCGCGTGGGGGAAGCCTCCCCGGAGGCTCCGACCTCGCTCCTGCTTATGACCCTCGCAGCCACAGGAGCCCCCACTTAGGTGAACATTTCGGACGGGGCCCCGGCGGTTCAGACCCGGAGGCGGCTCCTCCCGGAGGCAGATCCTCCCGGCGTCGGCCTTCGGTCCTCCCCGCCAAAGCCCTCTTGGGACAAGCCGGGGATTCCCCGCCGCCGCCCGCCCCCTGGCGTCACGGAGTCCCCGCGAGGCCCCGCCCCGGCCTGGCGCCGTCCTGGGCGGGAGGAACGCGCCGCTAGGCGGGAGAGCGCGGCCATGGCGGGGCCGGGCGTCCCCGGTGCCCCCGCAGCGCGCTGGAAACGCCACATCGTGCGGCAGCTGCGGCTTCGGGACCGTACGCAAAAGGCGCTTTTCCTGGAGCTGGTGCCGGCCTGTGAGTGCGCCCCGGTGCTGAGAGGATGGCGGCTGAGGGGACGCGGCTACGGGCGCGGGGAGAGGGTTTGGCTGGCTCCTCCGCCTGTGACCCGAGTGCGCTGTGCCTTATGCCTTGAGCCTGTGCGTTACGCCCATCCCGACTGCCAGGACTCCGCCCCTTGCCATCCAGGCTCTGGTTAGAACCTGGACGAGCCCCTCCTGGTCCCCCTGCCCTCGTCGCCCCTCAGGACGGGCTCTGCCTCCCACAAGCTGGGCTTCCGAGACGCAAGTGCGTCCTCGGGTGTTGGTTTTGCAGGGTCTCTTTTGCCTCCCCACCCGGGCAGTCCCCGGGGTAGGGGCTTGATCAGTGCACTTAGTCTCGGTAGCGCAGTGAAAGAACGCGGGACTTGTCCAGAGCAGCCACTTATTGGCCCATCCGGAGAGGGGCGACACTCGGAACCTCTAAGGAGGAGGCTGTGCATCTCAGGCTCTGCCGCTGACAGGCGACGCTGGCACAGGCTTATGGAACACCTCCCTGTCAGCCTACCCAGCCTGAGGGGGCATCAGGGGGCCCCGGGCTGCTGGTGGATGCTGGCTGAGCCCAGCGAAGTCGGACTCTCAGAATTGTTTCTGGGCAGCTGGTCAGGATAGGGTGTGGCATTTCAAGAGGGGATGAACAGGTGTGCCTGTGTGTCGCACCTCTGGCCGCCTGCGATTGTATGTCTGTGGTTGGAAGTCTAACCACAATCCCTGCGGCTCTCTCACTGGGGCTAATCTTGGCCAAACCCCCACAATCAAATCTGCTCTTAGCCAGGAAAATTTCTCTGCAAGCTTCCAGGCTGCTGGTCCTCTACCTTCAGGGTTGCGAGGCCAGCCCCCACCTCCAGCAGCCACACTTCTCCACTGCTCAGACAGACAGTGGAACCGTCCAGTTTGAGGGAGGGGGTCACCGCCCCCCCAACCCCTGCCCCCCGCCCCGACCCAGGGAGCTGTGAGTCTGAGGGACTAGAGAGATCTGGAGGGCTGAAATCAGACTGAAGGGCCAGTCTTGAAACCTTGGGCAGATCACATCGCTAAGCCTCAGTCTTCTTACTTGTTAATTGGGTATAGAGACCTTCTTTAGGTTTGCTGGGTGCTGCAGTACCCTGGGGGCTGAGGTGGGGTTTTCATGAGAACTAGGCCAGGCCCAGGGCCTCAGTCAAGGTGACAGGGCACTGAGTGTGGGAAGGAAGTTGATGAGGAGGGAGCTAGGCCCGGACTTACCACCCCACCCTCCCCTGGAACTGGTGAGAAAAGAGGAAGTGACTGTTGATGGGGGAGGGTGTTCCAGGGTCAAACCACCAACCTCCAGAATGTCGGCTGGATAATTGCTCAAGGACTTTCTATTCTGGCCTGGGGGTACCTTACACCAGGGCTGGGGAAGTTGGGATTATTTATTTATTTATTTATTTGAGATGGAGTCTTTGCTCTGTTGCCCAGGCTGGAGTGCAGTGGTGTGATCTCCGCTCACTGCAAGCTCTGCCTCCCAAGTTCACGCCTGTCTCCCGTCTCAGCCTCCCGAGTAGCTGGGACTACAGGCGCCTGCCACCACGCCTGGCTAATTTTTTGTATTTTTTAGTAGAGATGGGGGTTTCACCGTGTTAGCCAGGATGGTCTCGATCTCCTGACCTCGTGATCCGCCCGCCTCGGCCTCCCAGAGCGCTGGGAATTCAGGTGTGAGCCACCGCGCCCGGCTGGGGATTATTTTTAAGTGCAGAAAGCTAGAGCCCTTGGAGGGGAAGTGACTTGCCAAAGGCCATTGACAGGTAGAGCTCGGTTTATTTCATCACTTTCTGGGGCTAAGCCTTGCTCTGAGGCAGGGATGAATCAATCCCAGGCCCCTTCCTTCCCTCAGGACCCTCAGCGGGCAGTACCCCGCAGTGGTCATCCTTCTGTCCCTGGGAGAGCAGGTCCTCTTCCACGTGGGCCTGGGGACCGGTGCTATGAGGACACTGCTAGGGCTGAAGGTCCTGTAGAACTGCACAGATGCCCCTCAGGCACAGGGCAGAGGCCAGCCTGCCAGAAGCTTCCCCATCCCTAGCATCTCTGGGCTCCTTCAGCCCTTTTAGCCGGAGATAAATTGCATGCCAGGGGGCTGCTGGGTATCTGTCTCTGCCCCAGGCTCACTCTCTTGCACTCTCCAGATAACCATCTCTTAGAGAAGGCTGAGCTGCTGGACAAGTTCTCAAAGAAGCTGCAGCCGGAGCCAAACAGTGTCACTCCCACCACCCACCAGGGCCCCTGGTAAGTGTATGTGGGTCCGTGGTCACAAAGGGCTGCCTGTGCTGGGGCCCTGCCCCTGCTGCCTGTGCTGGGTTCATTCTCTCCCTAGTGCCTCATCAGCCCTTGGCTGCTGCCCAGGGGTGGTGGGGGTGGTGGAGGTGGTGGGGGTGGTGGGGGAGGCAGGCCCTTGGCCTTCCCACAGGACAGCTGTTTAGAATCTCTTTCCCCTCCACCTTTCTTTGTCCATCTCTCTGCATTTGTCCCATCTCCTTCCCGTCCCACCCCTATACTTATGTCTTTTCCCTTTCTCAGTCTTTTTCCATTTCCCTGTTCCTTGCCTGATGCCTAAAGAAAGGGTCTTGCTACCTGTTGCAAAGAGGGAGTAAAGATGAGAACCAGGAATAGGTTGGGGCTCAGAGTTGGGAGGTGCTTTGCTTTTTTTTTTTTGAGACGGAGTCTGGCTCTGTCACCCAGGCTGGAGTGCAGTGGCGTGATCTCAGCTCACTGCAACCTCTGCCTCCTGGGTTCAAGCAATTCTCCTGCCTCAGCCTCCTGGAACGTGCACCACCACCCCCGGCTAATATTTGTATTTTTAGTAGAGACGGGGTTTCACCATGTTGGCCAGGATGGTCTCGATCTCTTGATCTTGTGATCCTTCCACCTCGGCCTCCCAAAGTGCTGGGATCACAGGTGTGAGCCACCACGCCTGACTGGGAGGTGCTTCTTGAGAAGGGTCCTTGGCCAAGGCCTAGGGGAATCTTAGAGCAGAGGAGTCATGGACAGCTCATTTCTAGAGACTTGCCTTTTCCTTTACTGGCTTGCTGGCTTCCATCTTCCCAGGACGAAGTTAATGGCTCTTGTTTTAGGCTTTTCATGTAGCATCACTTGGGTGCCTTTGGGCACTTGGGTGAACCGGGGGACATTGAGCACCACTCTGATTGGTTGGCAGGGAGGAGTCAGAGCTTGACTCAGACCAAGTCCCATCACTGGTCGCACTGAGGGTGAAGTGGCAGGAGGAGGAGGAGGGGCTCCGGCTGGTCTGTGGTGAGGTAAGTTGGGAAGGGGTCTGAAAATGGGGTAGAGAGATGTGGTCCAAGGGAGCCAGCCAGTGACGGGTACTCCTGTGTTTGCTGAATTCTCCAAGCCCAGTGCTGCAAGCATTGAGTGAGCCCTAGTGTGTGCCAGGCCCTGACCTGAAGCTGAGCAGGGGTCAGAGTGCCCTGGGCAGCCCAGGATGAAGTGGGCTCCAACAGCAGCTGGAGGGAGTTAGGTGTGCAAGGGCCTGGCAGCCCATTTCCCTTCCACATGGTTTAGCCTGCTCTGCTCACTACTCCATGGCTCACCCCTCGCCCAGCCATCCCCAAGGCCTAGCACCAGTTGATGCTCAATATACATTTGCAGACTACAGAAGTTAGGTTCATTTAGCGCATTGGCAGAGTGTGGACGCTCCACCTGACACTACCGCCTTCCCTGCCCCTTTGCAACAGTGTCTCTTGGCTTCTCTTTCACCATGCTCTCCTGGTTTCCCTCTCATTTCTGTGATTGTTGCCTCTGAACTTCCTTCACTGGCTCCTTCCCCTCCTCCCTATTCCTGTCCCTTCAAATGTGGGTGTTCTTGGGGTTCACTGACCCCCGTTTTTTCTGTTTGCCAACTCTCAGTTCTGTCTCTAGCCGAGCCTTCTTTTCTGAGCTTGACTCTCTTGCTCAGCTGCTTTTTGGAGATCACATCTAAAATCAGGCTCACCATCTCCCCCAGAATTTGGCCCACACCGTTTTGAGAGTTGACTCCTTGCAGGCATCGGGCTAAACATTGTCTCAGTTAATCCTTCACAACTTTATGGTTGTAGAGGAGGAAACTGAGGCTTGGAGAGGTAGAGCCAGGATTTGAGCCCTTCTCACACAAATCAACTTCTGTGCTCTCCATTCATTCTCTCAACATCTGTTGACAGTTGCTATATCCAAAGTACGGGGAGTGCAACAATAAACAAGACCTGGCCCCATGGGGCTTCCAGTCCTCTGAAAGAGACTGTGATAGCCCAGGAAATACACATCCAGTCACAGAATGGCAAGTCACCTGCCCAACAGAAATGCGGGCATAGGTACGGACTCATTTGAGAACCTTTCCCTAGAGCTGCTGTTGTAGGTCCAATTTAATATTTGTTTGAGAGGTGATTCTCAAACATCTGACCCCCACACCACCCCCAGCCTCTGGGCTGTGAGCTCCCCAAGCCCTGGGATGTCTTCGTTTGCCTCCGAGGCAAACCTATATCCTTAGGGCCTGTGTCCACAGTCCATTCCATACTAATGACTATTTGTAGACTAAGCGATGAATGAGGTGGGCTGTCCTTCCTGTCTTCCTGTGACTGCCCCCCAGTCGTTCTCACACATGCTGGAAATGCAGGGGCACCTCTGACTCTTCCCAGCCCTCCATCCTGAGCTGGTCACAAGCTCATGTTGACTCTATCTCCAAATCCATCAATGTCTCTCTGTTTCTTGCACCATATCTGACATAGTACAAGTAACTTTCATCCTGCCCTGGAACACTCCTTTAGCACTCCCTGTCCCTTCTCCATACAGCTTTCAGAGTGACATATTTTAATTAAAAAAAAAGAAAGATCTCCATTAAAGACAAGCAATACACAAAACATGCTTGTAAACAAGTCAAGAGAATAGAAGCCATAGAGTAAAAAGTAAAAGCCCGTCTTACTACCTCTGTCCCCATGGTTAGTGCGCTGTAGATCTTCCAAAGCTCCTAGCCTGGCTCCCCCGTCGAGCTCCCCAGGCTCTTGTCGCATTTCCTGCCACGCTCATCTCTGAGCTCCCAGCTCCCTTTGCCTGAGATACTTTCCCTGGCCCCCAGCACTCCTTCCCAGGACACACACCAGCCAGTACCCATTGGATGCGCCAGAGGATGGGGGCAGTGAGGAGGCTTTTTCTTTTCTTTCTTTTTTTTTTTTGAGACGGAGTCTCACTCTGTTGCCCAGGCTGGAGTACAGTCGCGTCATCTCGGCTCGCTGCAACCTCAGCCTCCCGGGTTCACGCCATTCTCCTGCCTCAGCCTCCCGAGTAGCTGGGACTACAGGCGCCCGCCACCATGCCCGGCTAATTTTTTGTATTTTTAGTAGAGATGGGGTTTCACCATGTTAGCTAGGATGGTTTTGATCTCCTGACCTCGTGATCCACCCACCTTGGCCTCCCAAAGTGCTGGGATTACAGGCGTGAGCCACGGCACCCGGCCTTTTCTTTTCTTTTGTAAAAATTTCTCTAGTAGTTCCACACATCACAAGCATTTATCATTATTATTAACTTTTTATTTTAAAATAATTATAGATTCACAGGAAGTTGGAAGGATAGTCCAGAGTTCCTGCATCCCCTTCCCCCAGCATCTCCTGCTGGCTACATCTTACATAACTATAGTACCCACAACCAGGAAACTGGGATTGGTATGAAGTGTGTATATGTCCTTTGTCATTTTATCACGTGTAGATTTGTGTAACCATCAAGATATGGCACTGTTTCACCACTGCAAAGATCTCTTTCTTATTACCCCTTTTTAGTCACATTCACCCCTCTCCCCCCAACCATCCCTAACCCCTGGCAAGTACTAATCTGTTTTCCACTTCTACTACTTGAATTTTGAAAGGCATACAATAAAATATTGAATGGTACAACACAACATAAATGAAAGCAAGTGACAAGTGAGAAAGTGGAGGTGGTGATCAGATTGCTCAGTGGTGAAAAGAATTATGTTATAAATGGGGCCAACTATGAATAAAGGTGCCCCAACCCGCATGTGCAGATTCCTTCTTCGCAGACTCACTCACATAGCGCGTCATGTCAGTGCAGGTGGCAGCGCCAACCGTGCTCCTCAGTCTGTCCTCACCAGGCCCACGTGAGAACACAGGAACAGATTAGCAACAAGAGCCCCCAGCCTTGGCCTGGGCCAGAGGCGCCTCTGGCCCTCATGTTCTCTTGTCACACTGGTGGGAGCTGCCTTGCCTGGGGTCTGTCTCTCCCACCGACCCTGCTTGGCTCTGGGTTGAAGGCATGACGAGTGAGGCGGGAGTGCAGATGAAATGACCCTCACCCACTCTCCTGGGCTGCCAGCGCTGTTCCCATATTGAGTCTGGGCCCTGGCTCCCCGAGTCCATGCCTGATCTTAGCCTTGTGTGCCTCTGCGCAGGGCCTCTCGCTGCTGAGACCTGTGCTTGGGCAGGCCTGGGTTGGGTGAGGCCAGGAAGCCAGCAGGGAGGGGTGGGGAACAGAACTCACATTCCCCTGACCAGCCTGGAGGGTGATGCAGTTAGGTAGGTGGCTTGTGCCCAAATCTCTTAGCTACGTGACTTTGGGCAAGACACTTAAACCTCTCTGTCGGTGTCCTTGTCTGTGAAGTGAGAGTGGCAGTACCAGCCTCCTGGTGTGGTGAGGATGGAAGGAGCGTGTAGCCTGCTGGGAACATCATGGCGCCCGAGGGCCGGATGGGCATTTGGCAGCCTCTGCGCGAGGAGTCCTCGCAGTGGTTATGCATGGTGCTGGGAGCGGAGCGCTGGCTTCCCACTCTTCAGGCGAGGCAGTGGAGCGGGTTGCTCTTGCCAGAGAGGTTCCTAGTAGGGTCGCAGAGAAACGAAGCGGCACGGCGAGGATTGGGACCCAGGGCTGACTCCAGAGCCCGAGGGCCTTCCACTGCTCCACAAACAGCAGCGCGTCCCTGTGCAAGGTCCCAAACCTGTGTGGGGCTCAGCTTGCTTTTCAGGAAGGGGGCGGGCAGGTGAGCAGCCGACTCCCTTAGCGCCTTCGGCCCCGGAGGGACTGGAGGCCTGGAGGGGCCTCAGCGCCGCCGTGCCCACCTGTCCGCCCCCAGATGGCCTACCAGGTGGTGGAGAAGGGCGCGGCCCTGGGCACGCTGGAGTCGGAGCTGCAGCAGAGGCAAAGCAGGTGAGGCGCGGGCGGGGGCGGGAGGGACCGCGCCCACCTCAGGGAGGCCCGGGGCCAACTATACGGGAGGCGGGGGGAATGGCGCGGGCCGAGATCTTTCCCTACGTCCCCCCGACCCCATCGGTTGGTGCCAGAGGACCGAACGGCTGGGCTCTGAGGGCGAAGGCTTGGGGGAGACCTGGCTTAGCCACCCGGCTAGCCGCGTTTGGCATGGGCAGGTCTGTCTCTGCTCCGAGGCATATTCCCACTGGGCAGTGACGGGGGAAGCTTGGGACCCGCTATCCGCTCTTTCCGTCCTCCAGGCTGGCAGCCCTGGAGGCCCGCGTGGCGCAGCTGCGAGAGGCGCGGGCGCAGCAGGCCCAGCAGGTGGAGGAGTGGCGGGCGCAGAATGCGGTGCAGCGGGCAGCCTACGAGGCGCTGCGCGCGCACGTCGGGCTCCGGGAGGCGGCACTGCGCAGGCTCCAGGAAGAGGCGCGCGACCTGCTGGAGAGGCTCGTGCAGCGCAAGGCGCGCGCCGCGGCCGAGCGCAACCTGCGCAACGAGCGCCGGGAGCGGTGAGGGAGCAGGCCCCGCCCCTCCTGAGGAAAGGCCCCGCCCCTGCAGGGAGGAGTCGGGCCTCGCCGGTGTCTGGAAGGGAGGGGGGCAGCAGCCGCCCCCTGGAGGAAGGGACCGGGTCTAGCCCCGCCTGCGTGCGAGGCGCCGCGCCAGGGTCTCAGGATGCTTTTTACCCAACAAGGGCCAAGCAGGCGCGGGTGTCCCAGGAGCTGAAGAAGGCTGCCAAGCGGACCGTGAGCATCAGCGAGTAAGAGTGGGGATGGGCCGGTCCGACCCTTGCGTTCTGCCTCCCGCCCCGCCTGCCTGCGGCGACCCAGGCTGCCGACTGTACTTGTGCACAGCCCCGTCCTGAGGCCCCCATGTGGTCGGAGCCCACGAGACACCTGCAGAGGACCGTGTGGTCGTAGGAGCCTGCATGCGTGACCGCTGCACGTGTACACCCACACAGAACCCTCATCACTGGGAATTCCTGTCTTCAGCGTATCCTGTGCTGGGGTCGGGAGGGGCTGGCTTGGTCCCTTGGCCTTTCTGAACTTCATTACCTCTCCTAGGGGCCCGGACACCCTAGGCGATGGGATGAGGGAGAGAAGGGAGACTCTGGCTCTGGCCCCTGAGCCAGAGCCCCTGGAGAAGGAAGCTTGTGAGAAGTGGAAGAGGCCCTTCAGGTGAGGACCCAGGTGACAGTCTCAGAGCTCTGAGCTGAGCCCCACCCCAGAGGCTGCCAGGGTCTTCCTCTTGGACCTTGGAGCCAGCTCTTGGGTTGGGAGGGGGCTTGAGGAGAGGCCAGAAAGCTCAGATCTCCCAGGGCTAGTCTGACCTCCATTGTCTGGAGCCACTTGGGGTCAGTTCCATCTCACCCCCCCAACCCCTACCCTCAACCCTTTCCCTCCTTCTTGGGATCAGAGCTCTGGGGGTGGGGAGTCAGGCTTCTGAATAGCTGTCACCAGGAGAGAACCTGTGGGCAAAGCCCAGAGCCCAGTCATGCCAGGCATGTGTGCGCAGCCATAGGTGTGCAAGCATGTGCATCCGCAGGGACATGAGGCCACAGGTGTGTACAAGCTTGACTGAGCCCGTCTGTATGTGTGAATATATAAGCATGTGTAGATGTGTGCTCACACTTGTGGGACCTGATTGGGGCTTCAGACCTTGGGTGCCTGTCCGCAGGGTCTCCTCCATCCTTCTTGATTTGCCTGTCATTGAGGCTGCCCGCTCTGGGCGCCATTCCCCAGCCTAACACCTCTTCTCAGTCTTTCCTTGCAGGTCCCTGGTGTCCAGGCCTTGGGGCAGTGAAGAAACCGTGGGGAGGGGCATGAGATGCCAGTCCCCAAAGTCCTTGGGAGCCCTTGTGGGCCAAGTCATTGTAGGACACACCCTCTCCTGGGCATTGCTGAGGTCACCCAGTGAGCCTAGGCTCCCCCCTCCTCCCATCCCCAGCCTGGGGGAACCTTCAGCGTCTCTCCTCCCTGTAGGCCCCGGCTCAGCTTCCCAGGAACTTTTGTTGGTGGGTACTAGTAGGGTAAGGCAGTTCTTCCCATCATGAGGGAGACCTTGGGAGACTTTCATTACCAAATCCATTGCTGCCCCGACCTTCCTGGGACTGATCTGGGTCACCCTGGTCTCCTGATCTTGGAGAAGTCAAGTTCTTATCCCAGACTTGAGAGGTTACAAGCCTCCAGGTCTCTGGCAAAGTGTGGAGATGATGGACAGCCATTTGTACACACACCAGCCAGTCCCTTAGCATATCTCTCTTGGTTTTGTCTCAGGTCTGCCTCAGCCACCTCCCTGACGCTGTCCCACTGTGTGGATGTGGTGAAGGGGCTTCTGGAGTAAGTGTGTGTGTGCCTGTGTGTGCACCCACGTGTGTGTCGGGCTCCCCAGCCCAGGCTTGGTCTGTGTCTGTGCCTCGACCTGTCCATCCCTGTGATGTGCAGCTGTCTGCCTGTGAGTCTGTTGGGCCTTGGAGACAGGAGCCAGGTGAATGGCCTCAGCCCCGGCCCCGGTTCAGCTGTCTTCCAGGTTCTGTCCTCACAAGGGTCTGTCTTCATCCAAGGTCGTCACAGGGGACCAAGAGCTCCAGCCTCAGGCAGGGCAGGAGCTCCTACTCAATTGGGAAAAATGCTCTGAAATGTCAGGGACTCATTCAGAGTCACAGAGCCAAGCAGTGGCAAGACTGGGATTGAAACCCCGGCCCTGAGGTTTCTTTGCACCCACCAACCCTACCCTGCTCCTGTGTCTGCCTCTGTGTGCTCCCCACCCCGTCTCCACACCAACCCCTGGGGTCGAGGCTGGGTTGGGGAATGCTCTCGCTGCTCCTTGGGGCCATGTTCTGCCGCCTGCCATGTCTGCTTCCTATGGTTGATGCCTCAGGGGAGCTGGAGGCTCCCACCTGAGAAGGACTTGCTGAATGCCCTCCTGACCCCAACCCACCTTACCCCAGTTTTAAGAAGAGGAGAGGTCACTCAATTGGGGGAGCCCCTGAGCAGCGATACCAGATCATCCCTGTGTGTGTGGCTGCCCGACTTCCTACCCGGGCTCAGGATGTGCTGGTAAGGGAGGAGCTGAGCCACATGGGTGGGGCAGTGGTGAGAGAGTGCAGGCACAGGGGTGGTCTCGGCACCAGGGGTGGTCCCAAGAGGCCAGGGAAGCAAGGCTGGGCTCCTCAGCAGGAGCAGGAGGCTGCCTCCCACAGCCTGTGGTGGGAGCCACTCAAGCATGTTATGATGTGGGCATAAGCCGGGGAGGGAGAGAGAGGAGGCTGGGAGGCCAGGAGGCCAGGCAGGAGAGTAGAGTAGCATAGCACGGAGGCTGCTGCAGGGGTCCAGGCAGAGGTGAGAACACCTGGTGGGGCCGGGTTTGAAACTCAGAGTGTGGACAGAGAAACTGGGGAGGGAGATACCACGTCTGCAGCAGGCTGTGTCTGCACAGGCACCGGTAAGAGGGCCCGTGAGCACTCACAGAGACATGCGCGGGGAGGGCCGGGGCACCAACCTCCCCTTTCCCCACAGGATGCCCACCTCTCTGAGGTCAATGCTGTTCGTTTTGGCCCCAACAGCAGCCTCCTGGCCACTGGAGGGGCTGACCGCCTGATCCACCTCTGGAATGTTGTGGGAAGTAAGGAGCCCTCCCCTGCCGGCCAACTTGGTGCTTCTCTCCAGACCCTCTCCTCAGCTCACTCCTTGGTGGGCAGAGGTCTTGGATCTCTTTGTGTTTCTCTATCTGGAATATTCTGTGGGCAGTGACTAGACAATGCCTTGGAAAGAGTGAGACTCTGGGCTCACTGTTCTGAAGAAGGGTGGAGCCTCCTGGCTCCTAGGGTCCAGATTTGCAGGATGGGGAGGGCTGAGTTCAGATGGTCCCTGATGGGGATTGGTGGGGGTCCCCTATCATGAGGTCCTACAGGGACAGGCCCTTGAAGAGCAGGTCCCTGAGTCTACCAGGTGACCCTCTTCTAGCATCACTTGAGCTCTCAGAACTCAGGTAAGAGACAAGTATGAACTGTTGGCCTTGTCCCAAGCTCTGTGCTCTGGAGAGGGGGTGTCCTGGGGAGTCAGAGCCGGCTCCTGGGGGCTTCCTAGAAAAGGCAAGTTTCTGGCTGGCCTGATCCTGGCTTGCTGCGTGCTCTACATAGTCCCTTCTCCCTGGTCCTCTCTAGCCTGGTCTGTGAAATGACTAGCTGTCCCTGGGACCCAGTGCCAGCAGTTAGGGGAGGTGTAGTCTCCAGCCCAGGCCCGCAGAACAGACCCAGCGATTCTGTCTTCTAACCTGGGGATGTGTCGGGGGGTGGGGCGGGAACTGATCTTCCGCTCTCAATCCCAATTCCTCCATTTTGTGAGGTTAAGACCTCATTTCAACTGTCCCTTCCCCTGGTCCTCCCAGGTCGCCTGGAGGCCAACCAGACCCTGGAGGGAGCTGGTGGCAGCATCACCAGTGTGGACTTTGACCCCTCGGTGAGGAACTCTGCCCCAGTGGCATGGGATTGTGCCCTCTCTGATCTCCACACTGGGCAGGTGGGGGCTGTGGGACCTGAGGGCGCAACATGGATACCCTAGAACCAGGCCCCTGGGCTCTTACACAGATCCTCCTCCTTGGGCCGGAGGCTCCTTTGCCTGCCTTGGTGACCTGGGCCGTGGGAAACTGTGAGGCAGCCCCTAGCCTCATTCTGTGGCCCGAAGAATGTTGCCTCCGGCTTAGCACCTCTCACTTCCTCTCCCATTTCTCCAGGGCTACCAGGTTTTAGCAGCAACTTACAACCAGGCTGCCCAGCTCTGGAAGGTGGGGGAGGCACA
The DNA here is from genome assembly GCF_000001405.40 of Homo sapiens. NCBI lineage: Eukaryota > Metazoa > Chordata > Mammalia > Primates > Hominidae > Homo > Homo sapiens. The sequence continues at coordinate 72,826,583 of NC_000011.10, forward strand.
GTCCAAGGTGAGGCCTGACTGGGGAGGCTGCCTGGAGGTCAGAGGTCATACCTCAGGACTAGGGGGCCTGTTATGGGGTCTTGGCCAAACTCTTGATCCGTACCTGGGGCCGGGGTACAGGAGACACTGTCTGGACACAAGGATAAGGTGACAGCTGCCAAATTCAAGCTAACGAGGCACCAGGCAGTGACTGGGAGCCGCGACCGGACAGTGAAGGAGTGGGACCTCGGCCGTGCCTATTGTGAGCCCGAGCCCCAGCCCCACCTCTCCTCCCCACCAGCCAGGAGCCCCAGGCCAGGGCACAAGGGACCTCACCTGCTCTCTGGGAGTGGCTCTGAGATTCATAGGCATTTGGGGGTGAAACCTCTCAAGGCCCTCCAATTCCCTAATGGTATCCCCCAGTGGTGTTTTCTGTCTGGTTTCTTGGTGACCTCAGGCTGTGGGTAGGAAAAAGACGTGGGTGAGCCCTGTGCTGGGAAGCGGAAGACCTGGGTTCTAGTCTTGGGAGGACACTGGGTTCTGGGCCTCAGCTTCTCCATATGTCCTGTGGGGTGGCTCCCGACAACCCTCCTCTGAGGCCCTGGGGTCTGCTGCTTGGTCCCCAGGCTCCAGGACCATCAATGTCCTTTCCTACTGTAATGACGTGGTGTGTGGGGACCATATCATCATTAGTGGCCACAATGACCAGAAGATCCGGTTCTGGGACAGCAGGTGACAGGCGCAGGCTGGGGGAGGACTTGGGGAGGGCTGGGGACAGGGCTCCCAAGTTCTTGTTCCTTTCTCTGGCCATGGCAGGAGGAGTCTTGGTGGCACTTTGGGCAGGCAAGGCTGTGGGGCTGGCACTGCCAGCTAGTGCCTCTCGGCTGGGCTCAGCTCCCGCAGGAAGCTGTGCCACTGTCTTCATGGCTCTTGGTCCAATGCTGGACTCCGCCTGGACCTTGCAACCAAGATGGAGATGTACCTTTTTCCATTTAGTTACCACTTTTATATCAAAAGGAAAAAAATTCTTTTAGCTGTTTTTTAAACCAAAGACCCTAACTTTGGGCTTGAATTGTTTGTAAAAGCAAAGCTAGAGGCCAGGCGTGGTGGCTCATACCTGTAATCCCAGCTGTTTGGGAGGCCGAGGCGGGCAGATCACCTGAGGTCAGGAGTTTGAGACCAGCCTAGCCAACATGGCGAAACCCTGTCTCTACTAAAAATATTAGCCGGGTGTGGTGGCAGATGCCTGTAATCGCAGCTACTTGGGAGGCTGAGGCAGGGGAATGGCTTGAACCCGGGAGGCAGAGGTTGCAGTGAGCCCAGATTGCGCCACTGCCGTCCAGCCTGGGCGACAGAGCGAGATGTCTCAAAACAAAAACAAAACCAAAACCAAAAACAAAACAAAACAAAAAAACAAAGCTAGAGCCAGTGCTAGGCCTGCCTCAAGCCTTTACTCACTGATCTCCAGCAATTACTGTTTGCAACCCTTCCTTCTCTCTCTCATATTTTTTAAAGACGAGACTTCATTGCTCAGATGATATGGTTCTTATTTAGTGACCCAAAGGTTTCAAAGGCTCCAGCTTTCAAATCAAAGTCTGTCTAAGTTCCTCGATGGAGGCAGCTGGCTGCAGTGGGGAGAAGGGAGATGAGTCACTCGCAGCCTTTACCCCAGCGATCCAGGGCCCTGGGGTTCCTCCGGACTTGGTTAGCTAGGAAGGCTGCTGCGCCTGGCCCCTTCCTGTCAGGAGTGGCCTGGCTAGGCTGTTCCTCATCCCTGTCTCTGTCCTTGTTCCTCAGGGGGCCCCACTGCACCCAGGTCATCCCTGTGCAGGGCCGGGTCACCTCCCTGAGCCTCAGCCACGACCAACTGCACCTGCTCAGCTGTTCCCGAGACAACACACTCAAGGTCATCGACCTGCGTGTCAGCAACATCCGCCAGGTGTTCAGGTACCAGCCTCATGCCTGCTGACCCTGTGGCCTTTGCTGGGACAGCTGAGCCTCTCTTCTCCTGTAATAGACCCTCTTGGAGCCCTCCCTGGAGGCCCCTCCAGACCAGGTCCTGCTGAGGTACCAAACCCCTCGACAAAGAGGAAGCTCTGGAAGCTCACTGCAGAGGGCAGAGACTAGTGATGACCTCTGTTCTGACCCCAGCCCTGTCTGTCCTCAGGGCCGATGGCTTCAAGTGTGGTTCTGACTGGACCAAAGCTGTGTTCAGGTATGTCCGTGAGAGCATATGCCTGTGTCCAAGTGTGCCCTGCCGGACCCTGTGTGTGCCCTCCCCTCTGACCCCCCGTTTTCTTGCTCTGCTGTGGCCACTACAGCCCGGACAGAAGCTATGCACTGGCAGGCTCCTGTGATGGGGCCCTTTACATCTGGGATGTGGACACCGGGAAACTGGAGAGCAGACTACAGGGACCCCATTGGTGAGCATGGCCTCCACCTGGCCACCTGCCTGGCCCCAGTCCTGCCAGGCTGATTCCAGGTTCTGACATACTGGGACCCTGGAGTCCCCAGCCCTTGTCCCTCCACCTTCCACCCGACCAGAGCCCTTTGCAGTTCACAAGGTACTTTCCACACGCACTTGGTTCCATCCTTTCCACAGCCCTGTGAGCTAACTTGACAGATGAGGAAACAGGCTCAAGAGAGGGCCTCAAACTACCCAGGTCCAGCAGTCGGGGCAGAGCCAGGTTGCAGGCGCAGTTCCTGAAGCCCCCCTGAAGCCTGCCCCTCCCTTTCCCCAGCGCTGCCGTCAACGCCGTGGCCTGGTGCTACTCCGGGAGCCACATGGTGAGCGTGGACCAGGGCAGGAAGGTTGTGCTCTGGCAGTAGGGCCACGACCTGCCTGCCTGGGCTGGAGCTCTTGCCCGAAGCCTGAAGCTTCCTTCGGCGCCATGCAGGGGTTGGGGTTGGGACTGGAGCTGGCCTTGGGATTTAATGGGGAAGAAGGCCTGGCAGGACCTGGCCTGTTTGTTTAAAAATGAAGTATGGGTTGGGGGATTACGCTAGTTTTTCTTTGTATTTTTATCTCTATCTCCTCACTTTTTCTCCCAAAGTAGAAAAAAATGATATCTGAACTGCGTCTGCCTACCTCTTTGCAGCATTCATGGTACAGAGACCTTTGGGCTAGTGGGCTCTGGAAGATCCAGGCTTGGCCCCCTTCCTCCTTCCATACAGAGCTGAGGCAGCCAGCCGAGTCTCTGCCTGCAGAGACAGGTGCTGCTCAAGTCTAACCATGGAAACAGCAGGAAGAAAGGCCCTGAGGCAGCAAAGAGCCATGGATGTGACTCTTGGTCCAACCTGGTCCTGAGGCCAAAGCAACATGTTGGGCCCACCTGCTTCAGGCACTCAGGGTAGACTGAAGCTGAGGAGGGGCTGGGGGAGCTCTGAGGAGAGGGCAGGGAGGCAGCCCAGAGGGGTCCCGGTGGGAAGATCCTAAAAACCCAGGTAGTGATATCAAAGTCCTTGGTCCACAGGGCCTCCCTTAGACTGGGTCCGCGTTCTTCCTCCAGGGGTAGTGCCCAGGGTGGGGCAGAGCAAGGCCTCTGTGTGTCTGTGCCTGGGGGAGGGCAGCTGTGGGCCAGATCTGGGCCTGGGGCTTTGCTTACAAGGCAGAGCCCACAGGGCAGAGTTGGGGCAAACCAACTTCCTTTACCAACCTAGGACTGGGCACAGGCCTGTGGAGACGGTGTTGGTTAAATGGCAACACCTACACTCTGCTGACTCCCAGACCACTCACTACTTTTGGTCTAGCTGCCTCCTGGCCATCATCTCCCCTGCAAGTGACCCGTTCCTCCTGCACCCCATGTCCCTGGGACCTTGTGCTGCTGGTTCTAGTACTCCTCCACCCTCCTGCCACTGTGGGCCACCTTCTAGACCTGCAGTCTCCCCATCCAATCCTTTCCCTTACTATGGCCAGAGTGACTTTTGTTGTTGTTGTTGTTGCTTTTGAGACACACAAAAAACCTTAGTGCAGCCTCAAACTCCTGCAGCCTTAAACCCCTGGGTTTAAGCAATCCTCCCACCTGGTCTTCCCGAAGGGCTGGGATTACAGGTGCACAGCACCATGCTCGGCCCAACAGGGTGACTTTCTAGGGTGTCGTGTTCACAAGTCCAATCCTTTGGAGTTCCCCTGCTGCCTTCAGAGACCACCCGCAACCCCAGCATGAAATCTGGAGCCCTTTGGATGTGACCCTGCTGGCCTCTCAGCTTCATCTTCATTTCCTTGCTATTCATTCATTCATTTACTCATTTAGAGATGATGTCTCACTATGTTGCCCAGGCTGGTCTCAAACTCCTGTGCTCAAGTGGTCCTCCTGCCTTAGCCTCCCCAGTAGCTGGGCCTATAGGTGCATGCCACCGTGCCTGGCTATTTCCTTGCTATCATGAGTGCATCTCAGACATGCTTTTCTTTCTTCCCAGAATGTTCTCCTTCCCTCCCAGCCCCCAGTTCAAATTTTTCTTTCAGGATTCCCCTTCCTTCGCCTGCCAGGCTGGGTAGAGGCCTCCTCTGTCCCTGAGCTCCCCTTTTGTATCTGCCTCCTCCATTTTAAGTCAAGGAACTCTTGGAAGAGGCCAGGATGGGAATAGATTATTTCCTGGGATCAGGCCTGGCACAGAGAATGACTCAGGAAATGTTTATTAAGTGGTTAAATTCTCTTATTCAGGCTGGATGCGGTGGCTCACGCCTGTAATCCCAGCACTTTAGGAGGCCAAGGAGGGCAGATCACCTGAGGTCAAGAGTTCAAGACCAACCTGAGCAACATAGTGAAACCTTGTCTCTACTAAAAATACAAAATTAGTTGGGCATGGTGGCACATGCCTGTAATCCCAGCTACTTGGGAGGCTGAGGCAGGAGAATCACGGAACCCAGGAGGAGGAGGTTGCAGTGAGCTGAGAATGCGCCATTGCACTCTAGCCTGGGCAACGAGAGTGAAACTCCATCTCAACAACAACAAAATTCTCTTATTCAAGGACTCAGCCAGTCTAACGGTCTAAGAGCCTTGGGCTCCAACATTCTTCGATACTCAGCCTTCTACTCTGCCCCAGCCCTCATGCCCTGGCTCCCAGCAGCCACCAGGGGTCACCAGCTGCCTAGTCTACTGAGGCCATTCCCGTTTCCAGGGACACATGGCTGGGGAGACCGACACTCCTGTAGCCACCGTGACTGAGCCCTTAGGAGGTGCCAGGCCCTGCCCTGCACCCTTTCTGCAGCATTATTTGTTCCTCCCAACTACATTGCCATGTAGCTACCATGTTTCCCAGGTGAGAAAACTGAGCTCAGAGAAGCCCTGCAGCTGGACTGTGGCTGCATTACACATACTCTTTTTAAAGCAACGTGTTCAGACTCGCAGTTAGGCAGGGCTGCGGGGCATGCCCCCTCCCCCAGGGTGTGTGTGCCCCCTGCCTGCTACCACGGGGGTAGAGGTGTGATGCTAGCCTTGTGTCTAACCTGACTCCCTCCCTACATCTTCACCCTTTTCTATTCTGGGTCCTGAGCCTGGACGGTTAGTATCCCTTGAAGTGAGGGACATGCAGGGACACAGGAGTGAGGGAACTTGAATCTTGGGAGGCCAGCTGCGCCATTGCGTTTCTCCCTCATTTCACAGGGTTGTAGTGGAGACTGCTTAGAGAGCCCAGAGGAGGTGCTCAGGAAATGGTCTGACTGATCTCTGGGACAGTGAGCCCTTCTCTCCCCCAAAACCTTCCCTTCTACTTTATGGGCGTCAATCTTACCACACACGCTGCTGCCATCGGGTGGAGTTGCCTCTCTCAGGGAGCACATGTTCACCTTAACTTGCTTGGAGGTCCCCCTCCCAGTAGGAGGGGGTGCTTCCTGGAGGAACAAGTCTGTAAGGCCAGAAACAGGCCAAGGAGTTCCCGGGAATGAGGTAGGCAGGAGGAAGAGGAGCTCACAGACTGAGCAGAGGAGTTCAGAGGGGCATGTCAGCGGGAAGGCTGTTCCTCCCTCCAGCCTCTTCAGTCCCGTTCAGCAGAGAGGTGAAAATAGATGTTGACAGCTCCTCCAGGCTCTCAGCAGTCACTGCCCAGGTTTTCAGAACTCTGGTGCTCAGGGGCTGCCTGCCTGAATTCGGGTGCCTAGGTCAAATCTGGAGTGGCCCGCACTCATGGGTATAAAAACTGAGACCCAGAGATGGGGCAGCTCCTTCGGGTCACAGAGCAGAGCTGGGATAAGAACCCAGACCTCTGATTCCTGCTTTTCTAAAAACTGGATTCAGATTCTGCAAAGGGGCTGGCCAGGGCTTCTGGAGGCCTAGTTCTAGGTTCTCCAGTTCTGTCTTCCTGGGAGATCTTGGGCAGGTCACAGTGACTTCCAGGCGCTCATATCCCCACCTGTGAAACTTCCTGCCCCAAGCCTCCCCAAAAGTGACATGGCTCTTCTGCAGAGCTGTTCTGTAGGCATGAGGACCATGGCCTCTGCCTGCCCTGCCCAATCTCAGGCCTTAGTGAGCCTGAGACCCCAGGGAGGGAGAAATGACAGATGCCCCTATCCTGTGCTCCTACTGCCCCTTGGTCATCTCTCAGTCCCTGGCTTCAGTCTGCTGTTGCGCTGAGTGTCTCCCACCAGATGCAAGCCCCTCAGTGACAAGGCTCCAGAGACCTGAACACTACCTGGGGCAGCACATTTGCTGAATTGAATAGAGGTGGTTTCTGGAGAGATCTGACACCATCAGACGTGGACCCATCTGTGAGATTCAGACATATCCATGCCTGGATACAGGCTCTTCCACTGGAGACACATTCACTCATCACAAACATTTTCAGCTTATCTGTACATTACCCTATTTCATCCTCCTGGATCTTAGAAGTTGCACTATCTGCTTGTTCCTACTTTACAGATGAGGAAAGCAGGGTCCAGAAGGTGAAGGGATGAGCCTCAAGTCACAGCTAATCTGAGGTGGCCTGGGGACTGGAATACATTTCCTTTGGCTGTGCTCTTTTCTGTTCCTCACAGGAGCAAGTGGTGAAGAGTGAGTTCTATGCGCAGTGTAGAAGGGCTGTGAGCCCTGTCCCTGGGTTCATTTCTGTCAATGTTTCAGCATAAAACATTCTAGGAAAGGCCGGGCGAGGTGGCTCATGCCTGTAATCCCAGCACTTTTGGAGGCTGGGGCAGGTGGATCACCTGAGGTCAGGAGTTTGAGACCAGCCTGGCCAACATGGTGAAACCCCGTTTCTACTAAAAATACAAAAAAATTAGCCGGGTGTGGTGGCACATGCCTGTAATCCCAGCTACTTGAGAGGCTGAGGCAGGAGAATCGCTTGAACCCAGGAGGCAGAGGTTGCAGTGAGCTGACATAGTGCCATCACACTCCAGCCTGGGTGACGAGCGAAACTCCGTCTCAAAAAAAAAAATTTTTTTTTTTTTCAGGAAAATATTCCCAGACCAGAGCTCTCAGAAACAGACACAGCAAAAGTGTGTTTTTTGGCCTCTGGGACCGAGGGAAAATAGTCTAGGAACAAGATGCTCTTTGGCATTCATTTGGTTCTTGGCAGATCAAGCAGTAACAAGGCAAACACAGGAAGAGTCTAGGAGGAAACTTAAAAGTTGCAGGATTTGGGGATAAATTACAATCCTCCCCCTTCTAACCTAAAATTTCTGTAATTTAGTTATATTTCTGTCATGAAAAACAACTTCACGATGAACAAAATAAATGCGAAGATTCAGAGCAGCTGGATTTCATCCTAAGGCCACTGGGAGAGGGCTGGGCAGTCATTGGCCACAAAACCAAAAGCTGCAGCTGGGTTCTTCAGGCAGTGAGTGGATAGAGCAGCCTGGGATGCAGTTGCAATCTAGAGGATAAAGGTTTGTTTTGTCCCAGGTCCCAGCGGGAGAGTCCAGTGGCTTGCTTTCTTTTCAATTTCTTGCCATCCAAAGAAGTCTGTGTCTTAGTAAGTCTGGTTTCAAATATTGTGACCTTTTTTGTGTGATGTTCTCTGTATCTAGAAACAACTCATCCAGGGCATGAGAGTTAGATAAGCCCTGGGAGATAACCTCATTCCATTCCTTTTTTTTTTTTTTGGAGACAGAGTCTTGCTCTGTCACCCAGTCTGGAGTGCAGTGGCATGATCTTGGCTCACCGCAACCTCTGCCTCCTGGGTTCAAGCAATTCTCCTGCCTCAGTCTCCCGAGTAGCTGGGATTACAGGTACCCACCACCACACCTGGCTAATTTTTGTATTTTTAGTAAGAGACGGGGTTTCCATTATGTTGGTCAGGCTGGTCTCAAACTCCTGATCTCAGGTGATCCACCAGCCTTGGCCTCCCAAAGTGCTGGGATTACAGGCGTAAGCCACCGTGCCCAGCCATCATTCCATTCCTTTACAATTGAGGATGTGGCAGCTAAGAGGGAAAGGTCTTCCATCAAGCAGTGGCAGGGCTAAGGCCAGATGATGCCCTCCCACTGGGTCTCTGGCTTGTGAATGTGGCTGGGGTGGTGGGTCAGAGAGGAAGGGGATCTAGGTGGTGTACTGAGAACCTGTGGGTTGATTGCATCATGCATCAAGTCAGTTCCTGTGATGAAGGAGACCAAAATTTAGCTATGACGCTGGGGTGAGGCAGTTAGCTGAGCTTTGCCCTTGGTCACAGACGGAACCTCCAGTACCGAAAGCAGCTTTCACTGGCAGGGAAGTCAGAAGACGGAAATGACATTTCGTGTCCTGACAGCCCTTCCCACATTTTTGGTAGAGCACTTCACACACATTCTTTCCCTTGGGCCTTATGACAACTCTGTGCGTTACTATGGGCCTGGAAGACTATCAAGGACCCTAGTTCTGGAGGGAAGGACACTGAGAAGAGGCAGGAGAGGTGGTGGTGAGAAAAGGCAGGAGAGGTGGTGGTGAGGAGAGGTGGTGGTGAGGAGAGGTGGTGGTGAGAAGAGTTCGTGGTGACCAGCCTGTGGCACACTTTATATGGCCTTCCTGGAACCACAGTCTTATTCTCAGGTTCCAGATGAGGACACAGGCTCAGTCCCCATGGCTGTCAAGTGGCAGAGCCAGGATTTAACCCAGACCTCCTGGCTCCTAAGTCCATATGCGGTTGGTGGGAGTGTAAATGGATATAGTCCTTATAGGAAGCCAATTTGGCAAAATCTAACAAAATTAAATACATACCTTTTTGACCCTCAAATTCCACACTTAGGAATCTACCCAACATTTATACTGGAACATATTTTTTTTTTTTTTTTTTGAGACAGAGTTTCACTCTTGTTCCCCAGACTGGAGTGTAATGGCACAATCTCAGCTCACCGCAACCTCTGCCTCGCAGGTTCAAGCGATTCTCCTGCCTCAGCCTCCAGAGTAACTGGGATTACAGGCATGAGCTACCATGCCCAGCCAATTTTGTATTTTCGGTAGAGACTGGGTTTCTCCATGTTGGTCAGGCTGGTCTCAAACTCCTGACCTCAAGTGATCTGCCCGCCTCGGCCTCCCAAAGTGCTGGGATTACAGGCATGAGCCACTGCGCCCGGCTGAACACATTTTTATGTAAACAAGCAGTGTGTACACTTAAGAGTCTTATGCACAGGATAATGTCTGGAAAAATGCTTACTGCATGTCCCCAGCTCCAGGAAAGAGGAGAGCTTGTGGGGCCCTTCCCCAAACAGGCTGTGTCCTGGTCCTCAGTGTGGCTGGCTGGAAGCCAGGGGGACTCAGCCTTTGACTAAGAATGCTCCATCCACCCCTGGGACCGAGAAAATCTCCTTTCACACAATTCATTACTCCTTAGGGTGGAGGTTTAGGAAAGGGGAGAGGCATCCAGAATGCCCGCTTCCTGGAAGCCAGTGGTCACATCCGGCAAGGGGACTTCAGTGACCTTCCTCTCACCCCTCCAGCAGCAGAATCAGAGCTCCCTCCTCAGCTGCCTCTATGCTATCTGCCCCTCCCTTCTAGCACATGTCCCACAGTACTGTCCTCACGTATTTCTTTTTTTTCCCATGGGAAAAGCAAAGACCGTAACCTATTTACTGCCATCTCTAGTACCCAGGATATTACACCTAGCACATGGGGGCTTCAGGGACTGTCTGTCTCATAGATGGATTAATTTACTTTCTCCTCTCTCTGTCTGTTAGCTGGTTTAAAGGAGGGCCCAGGAATGTTTTTATAAGAAGCATGGGCCTTTTGGAAAGGTCTGTTTACCCAAACCTTTCTATATTAAAACTTAGAAAACATAATTCCATTTTTTTTATTATTCAACATTTTATACATAATAAATACAAACTTTTTACAGCCACTGTAAAGAAAGCACATCTGCACAGAGGCTCCCTCCGAGCCCTGACCTGTGCACTGTGGTGCTGGATTCCATATCCTGGATGGAGGGGTTATTTTTTAAAAAGGAGGCATGTTTTCACAACTTTGTTTTTTAAAATAAAATTAGCAGCTCTTCCAAAAAATATTTTAAAATACAACAAAAGATTTCAAATAACCCTTTGAGGTTGTGGAAAACCCAAATTCAAGGACAATTTGGCTAGCTAAAGACAGAATACAAGACTGGGTGGCAAGAACTGCTCTATTTAATAAGCATTTGAAGATTTTTAATATGTTAGCAAACTTTAAAATCTTAAAAAAACCACCCTTTTAATTTCTTTTTTAAACTTAAGAATAAGTTTGATAAACACAAAAGACCTCAAATAGATCAACAGGTTAAGAAGTGTAAAAAACAACAACGAAAAAAAACCCCAAATCATGGAGAAGATTCATTAATGGGTATTGTCACTGAAGTGATCAAAGAACTAAAAATTTCTTCAGTTATCACCTTACTTTTGGTCAAAAATCCCATGGGGACATTTGGCGAGCATTTCAAGTTTTTTAAGATTCTTAGGAGGGATGGAGTTTTCAAAGCATAATACAACTTGTAGATTAAATTCTGCAAATTTGATTTCTTAACCAAGGAAAAAAAAAAAAAACAAACCACAACCGGCGAACATCCCTTAGTCCCTAGGTATTGTGCTCCCTACCTTCTACAGGAGCGGACAGCAGACAGTCAGCACCTGACGTGGGGGCACCTGCTGCTGCAGGCTTGCTGGCCTGCAGAGAAGGCCACTCCTGGCTTTCCCTGTGACACACAGAAGACACTTGTCTTTTCCTGGTCAATCTGTACTTGTGCAGGGTGCGCAATCCTTCAGTCCTTTCTCATAGAAAGCTGGTTTCCTCCACGAGCCACCAGGTTCTTCCTTCCACGGAAATGTCAGGGTAGTGGGACCTGGAAGCTGCATTTTCCACCATAGCAGTTGGTCTGGACCAGCCACAGCCTGGCTGTCTGGGCCGGTCTGCTGGCTTGGGAATAAAATAATGCCGGGGCGTCCCCAGTAGAGAAGCTCAACAATGCAGGTATGTGTCCTCAACTTATCTAGACATTTGGATTCTAAGGATACTGGTAAGAAGAGTATATGCTGTAAAAATTAAGATGAAAAATACCCAAATACAAAAGAACATTATATTGGCTAATTTCAGATCCGGAAGTTCCATTTCTGCTTTAGCCACAGCCTCCTTTCTATTAGTCTATGTGATGAACAAGATGTGGCTACTAGTTCAGCCCCTCCATATTAGCTCTGCTAATTCTAAATGAATGGCACAGATATTAATACGAAGGACACTGTTATTTTAAGTCTGTTAGTTGTGGAAGAGATGTGCGTTAATGCAATTGGTGCTAAATTCAGGGCAGTCCAATTTTTCCCAATAAGGTTTCACTTTCTCAGTCTGGGGACTAACCTTGGGGAGGAGCCAGCCTCTCCTGAAATCCCTCCTTCTGTTTCCTTATGTAGCCAACATGATCTGATTAATTCTCAATCAGATGAGCAAAAGCCACTTGAAGAAAGATGAGAATCTTTGCCACATCCTTGTGGTCACAGTAATATACTGTACGAGTGCACATGATCAGTAATTTAGGGACTGTGCCCTGGAATGAGGCCTGTTCTTGAGTCTCATATAAAAACAGACCACTGTTAGGCATGAGGGCTGCCCCCCTCTTTGCTCCTAGGGTCCGCTAGGATTTGTGCTATGGTAGGAGAAATGACATAGAAAATGACAACAAAAAAAAAAGGCACGAAATATTCAAAACGTGGGAGGAGTCTACCAGGCCACCCAGTCACACATAATCCTCCTTGTTTTTTGCTCTGTTCAAGAGTCATCATCATGCAAAGGTGCCTAAAAAACAAGACTGGCCAAACTCCAAGCCTGGCCTTGATTGTAGCAGTAATGGATGGGCAAGCCCATCATCACACCAGTGTGATTTCCACATCTTCAATCTTCTCTGCTGGCCTTCGGTGATTCTGTGTAGGTGGAGGGGGAGCTGCCCGGACCTGAGCAGGAAACAATTACGTAGTTTGTCAGTCAGTTCCTGACTCAGTATCTGAAGCATCCCCAAAACCTAATCACTCATCTGTCCAAGGACATGGGCACCCTAGGGGTCTCAGAAATGTTGTGAGCACGTGCTTTCAACCTAGTCTTCACTATTTCCTACACTGAGAAGCAGTTGTTCTCAATGAAATATCAAGCCCACAAATCAGCTTCTTGCCTAGGCTAAAAACCTCATGGGCACAAGTCCTATGACTAAGATCCTAGCACATCCTCCAAAGCAAAGGTCTGGCTGGAAGCAAGGGAGAGCAATGCTTAGAGAAATGAAACATTTCAGTGTGTCTTGGGTAGAGAGTTACAAAAGAGAAGGCTAGAAAGGTAGGCTAGGGTTAAGTTGTGAAGGGCCTTGTTAAACCATGTTTAAACATCTGCTTTAAGAAGAAAAAAATAAATCTGTGCTTTATTCTGTAGGCAAAAGAGGAGTTTTTGGTGGATTTTAAGCAATATCAGATCTGCGAAAAGATGACTCAGGTAACAACTGGAGAAAGGATCAGAGGCAAGCAAGAGTCCAAGTAAGAAGGCAACTTAGGAGACTTTTGTAATCCTCTGAATGAGAGTTGACAATAGCCCAAACGAGGGTACTGGCAGTAGGGGAAGTAGAGAAGTGGAAAGATTTGCGAGCTCTCTGCAAGGTATACCTGGCAGGATTTGGGAATGACTGTGGGAGGCAGGGGCAGGAGGTATTAAGAATGATGCCAGAACACCAGTAGGATGGGGGTTCCATTTACCAAGATAGGCAATATGGGAGAAGGAACATGTCTGGAAGGGAACATAACTCATTTTTGCTGAGTTTTGGGGATCTGGGATATATAAACTGAGATATCCACACATCTGAAGCTCAAGAGAAGAGATCGGATTGGCAGTTATAAATCTGAGACTTGCTGGCATATAAATGGTTATCATAGCTGTGGAAGTAGATGAGGTCATTCGGCAAGAGTGCGTTCAACAACTTCAAGAGAAGCAGCCCAGTGACAGAACCATGAGAATTATCAGCAGAGACAGGTGGCGGCAAGGCTGCAAAGGTCCACAGAAAGGTAGGACCAGAGAGGAAGAAAGCAAACGAGGCAAATGTAGAGAAGCACATCAGCCCACTGCTCTCTCTTCCCACTCTTACCCACCAGTCCATCTTGCCACCACTTCTTTCTTGGATGCTGCTCCAGCCTCCTAATCGCTCCCTATATCCTTTCTGCCACCCTCCATCCATCCGCCTCTTAGCTGCCATAGCGATGCTTTAAAAATGCACCAGCCACAACACTGTCCAGCTTACCACTTTACAATGGCTTCCTGTCTCATTTGGGATAAAGACTCAAGTCCTTAAGAAGGCACTCAATACATATTTGCTGAATGAATGAAGCCAAAAGAAGCCAGTGGTAAAGGAATGGTATCAAAAGCTAATAGGGGTCAAGGAAAATAAAATTGCAAAGTATCCGACTGGATTACCGTGCAAGTTATGACCTTGGAGTACAGTGGTGGGTGGAATGCAGATGGCAGTAGAGTGAAGGGTGAGGAGAGGTAACTTTGCAATAATATATTCACCCGGAGAATAAACGCTCTTTAAGGCCATGAAGTTAGCTTATTATTTCATCTTGGTATTCCTCAAAGAGGCAAATAGAGGCCTGGAAAATTAAATGCTTACTGAAAAAAGTGTTTCACAATTAGCCCGCTTTAATGCTCATAAAGTTTGTTCTATTCTAAATCACTTTCATAGCCATCATCTTGCAATCTCACTGTGGCTCAGTGAAAAAAGTTCCAGTGTAGATTAAATGTCCCGAGATGAGTTGATTTCTATGGCCTTCCTTTTCAATAGCTCTTTTTACCTTCCCAAACCCAGTTCATCCTTGTTTGGCATAGTCAGTAACAACACAGGGGCCACGGGGAAACATTAATTCCTTACTTTCAATTTGGAAGAACTATGCATTCGATAATCCTGCAAGATCAGAGACTTACAGGTCGCAGTTTGCCATATGAGGTCTCAGGAGTATGCCTTGATGCCTGTGAGAATCCTGGTGACTCAGCATGAAGGCTTTTTTCTAAGGGAGAAAACCAAAGAAGCTCATTTTACTTGAGTTGTTGAGCAATAATGCTGATGCAAGGCTGGCATGGTGGCTTGAGCCTGTAATCCCAGCACTTTGGGATACTGAGGCGGGAGGATTACTTGAGGCCAGAAGTTCAAGGCTGCAGTGAGCTATGATCCCACCACTGCACTCCAGCCTGGGTGACAGAATAATACCCTTTGTCCAGAAAAAATACAAAAATTAGCTGTGTGTGGTGGTGCATGCCTGTATTCCTAGCTACTAGGGAGGCTGAGGCAGGAGGATCACTTGAGCCCAGGAATTGGTTGCTATGAGCCGTGATCATGCCACTGAACTCCAGCCTGGGTGTCCAGCCCAGGTGACAGAGACTCTGTCTCCAAAAAAAAAAAAAAAAAAAAAAAAGCAAATGCAGTTTTTTTTTGCCCTTCAGGCGAATATGTAGGTTTCTGAAGTGAAAATGCATTTAGACCCATGCCCAGGAGAACCCTTACCGTTTGCTGAAGGAGACCGGGGAAAGTACAGGGAGCTCCTCTTATCTGGGCTGGGGTAGGGGCTGCTGGGAGGCTGGTCGTACAACGGCAGTGGAGGCAGGGAGGCGTGTGGCTTGGGGGAAGGAGAGATCTGCAGCAAAGGGAAGCGAGGTTACCCGGTGCTCCCCTCCAGGAAGGAGAGCCTGGCTGCTTCTCTGACTGCTCTGTACTCATGCCTTTTCTCTAAAGCTAAGCTGATTGTTGAAACTTGTCAACCTCATTAGAGGCAACTGAGCATTAAATAACCACCTCAAGCTCCAATTTTGCATTGCACTTCACTTTTTCCTCTTACAGATCTCATCACATTACTGATTTTAGTTTATCTTAAACAGTTATCAAGTGAAGCTACTCTCTAGGGTTCTATTGAAAATGTACCAAATTAGTCAATTCAGTAAACTTAGCAAAGAACAACAACAACAAAAGGAACAAGTTGGATTTTTTGGGGTGAAGATAAAATACTTTGCTGAATTTCTGACTTCCCCAGGTTTTGTGCATGTTAGGCTAAGGGGTCACAATCACCACGCAAACAAGATCGGCAAACACGTTCCTTCTTCCTCTACCTGTCTGGCCTGCAGTGATAGATCCCTGAGGGGACAAACTAAACTCTGACTGAATTAGAGGTTCCTTTAAAGGCTGTTTCCCTGTGATGAACTAAGTCTAGGGTCACTTGAGTGGGGATTAGGGGCTCTGGCAGGCTCATTAATTCTCTGAAATAGACTGGCAGGACCTGGACTAGGCAAGGAGGCTCTGACAGTGAGGGAGAGAGAGAGCCAGCTAAGAGTTTTACTACGTAAATTAACCACAGAGCAACGCCTTCCCTCTTCGGTTTGTTTCTTTCTCTCCACCAAAACGATCTTTGGTATGTCACATATAATTTGGCATTTTGGTTAACCAATTCAAGGAAGAGAGAGAATGTGGGAAGATGGAGGTGTGGGAGGATGGCCACATTCCACAAGGGACTGACTGACAAGTCTCTGGTTTCCCAAATGCAGTTGTGCAGACACTGGCAACCAAGGACCGGTGAGGGTAAGGCAGAGACTGCAGCCCACTTTTGTGTGGATCCACAGACCCTTTGGGAGCAATTTTCTTTAAACATCTTTTAATTCAACTGTCTCCCCTCTCAGGTACCTGAATCTCTCTCATCCATGGAGTGTCACCATTTTCTGAGGCTGAAAGTTCTTCCACTAGCACCGATGGGAAAACTCCAATACGCCCATTGAATTCCCCTTCCCAGAAGCCATCATCATCTTGGTTTTCTTTGTTCAAGATACGGATTATTGCTCCCTCAGGAAAAGATAACTCATCATCTGTCTGGCCCTCATAATCATAAAGTGCTTTCACAAAACATACTAGGGAGCAAGAGAAAAACAAATCTGGTAAGATAATTAACAGCCGGTTGCTTTTGCAACCACCCCTATGCTCACATGACAACTAAAAGAGCATCATACAGAATAGGATTAAAGTTGTAATTTTTTTACTCACTGATGAATGATTAACTTTAGGGTTCTACTGTGCAGGACAAACGTGACCATATAAAGAAAAGCATATTATAGGACAGGAGGAAAGTTGTGCTTTTTATCCTACTGAAGGCTTACTCCAGGGCAATACAGTTTAGGTCAAACGTGACCAAATAAAGAGTGCCTTGTTTCAGTCTTTACCACTGGCATCTCCGTTGAGGCTGCCTGAAACGAGTTCTGCTTCCGTGGAATTGCTGGACGTGTGTGACCGACTGTCCAAAGCGGCCAGGGACTGCAGCATGCTCAGGAGGCTGTTCGAGGTGGGAAACTGTAGGTACTTTTCTGGCACATAACCCACTTGGCCAACTTTATTTCGAGCCTGGGTAAAAGACATGTGACAAAACAAGTTTACACACACAATTTAGACAGGGCACAACAAAGACCAAAACAAACTCCTAAAAATGTCACAAGAAAGGGCGATATGAGCAAAGGAATATACCTTTACCCAGTCTTCCATATCTCCATCTTCAATCACTTCTAACACCTCATGTTCCTCAATGGTCAACTCATCTGGTTGAGAAGCCTGCAGTGTAGGATGGTCATGGACAAAATTAAAAAGGTTAGATAAGGAGCAGATGTGAGCTGATCATGACAAAAACTGGGGATCAAAATATTGAAATGATTTTGAGAAACATGTTGAACATAAAAATTTAAATGCTGTAAAACTTTCATAATGAGGTGAAGTTTTACTTTAAAAAACTAAACAGAATAAAACCATAACAAAAACTCAAGAAACTGAATCCTCAAGAGGCAATGACGTTCAATGAACAGAACATGTAAGCCTGGGCAACACAGCGAGACCCCCATCTCTACCAATAAATAAATAAATAAGTAAATAAATAAATAAAATTAGTCAGGCATGGTGGAACATGCCTGTAGTCCCAACTACTTGGGAGGCTGAGGTGGGAGGATCGCTTGAGCCTGGGAGGTTGAGGCTGCAGTGAGCCATGAGTGAGCCACTGCACTCCAGCCTGGGCAACAGAGCGAGACCCTGTCTCTAAAAAAACAAACAAAAAAAGAGAGCACTTCCTGGAAGTAGAGGACCTGGGTTCCAACTCCAGCTTCTGTATCAAGTTATTCAACTTGATGCCTCCATTTCTTTGAAATGACAATCCTGCCATTTTCTGGAGGATGTGAGTCAATGTGGGATGGATAAGCACAGAACTGTGATGATTTGGGAAGCAAAGGCAAACGAGAAGGCACTGAATTGGAACTGCTACCAGAGGGCTCCCATGGACAAGCATGCAGTGAAAATGCAAAGAACTATGTACGTGAATTTGATGATAGTGGGTGCAGTGCCTAGGATTGATCTGGAATCACTGTAAAGCAGTGGCCAAAAGAAAAAAATTGTAGGAAAGGAAATGATTGAGATCAGTCATGGTTTGGATTTCTTATGCTCCAACTTAACTGTGTGGAGACTGAGCTGATCCATTTGCGTGCTACCGTACAAGCTGCTAACCATAATGGTTTTATTATCCCTGACAGCAGCAATCCACCAGCATCAGCCACCCACATGTTGCCCTTGAGACTGCCAAATCTGTAAACGCTCTGAGGCTCCACAGAGGGGCTGGAAAGTCCGTGTGGCTTTGCTTCCTAACAGTCTTGCCTGTCATGTGTAATAGACAGGGGCCTGCTGGCTTCTGGCTCTCTAGAAAACAGTCTTAAAAGCTTTCCCCAAGTCCCAAGATGGGTTAAAACCATCACCTAAAACCATAAAGTTTTTAAAATCTCACAATCTCAAAATGTAAAATTAACTCCAAGTTACACAAACAAAAATAAGGCAAAAAAGGGGTCATTTTCAAGATCAATTTCCCATTTTATGAACATTAAAACATTTCATCAAAATCCAGATTCTGGATGTTGCCATAGCTCCCTGAGACAGAAAAATAATATTGAGGAAAAAACCCCACTCATTTACCCTTGATAGCTTTTCCAATGGAATTCCTTCACTACTCTGAAACCACACTATGCCTTGAATATGCCAGCAAAAGGCATTTTTGTAATAAAAATGTTTTTCATGGCAAGACCTAAAAAGTATCAACACGACCAGACGTTAATGTATGTGACAGCAAACCAGGGAGGTAGTACACTTTTAAATAAACTGCTGCCCTTATAAAAAGCTATGGAGAGGCTGAGTGAGGTGGCTCACGTCTGTAATCCCAGCACTTTGGGAGGCCAAGGTGGGTGGATCACTTGAGGCCAGCAGTTTGAGACCGGCCTGGGCAACATGGCGAAACCCTGTCTCTATGAAAAATACAAAAAATTGGTGGGTGTGGTGGCACGTGCCTGTAATCCCAGCTACTTGGGAGGCTGAGGTGGGAGGATCACTTGAATCAGGGAGGCAGAGGTTGCAGGGAGGCAGAGGTTGCAGTGAGCCGAGATCACACCACTGCACTCCAGCCTGGGTGACAGAGCAAGACCCTGTCTCAAAAAAAAAAAAAAAAAAAAAAAACAACAACAAACAAACAAAAACCATGGAGGTCCATGCAAGTTTTTCAACACTGCAGCACTAGTTGTCCAATGTAAGCAGACACTAGCTTGATCATCCCATCCTAAAGCAGTGATGACCAATTCTTCCACCTAACAAGGTCAAGTTCTTTGCATGGCTATCAAGACCCTGCAGAGTTTGGTCCCTGTGGGCCTCTTGACGCTTTGGCCCCTGCACACTATTTCTATTCTCTGAGCATACCATGTTCTTCCTTGCCTCTGTGCTTTTATAGGTGTTCTTCCGTCCATCAGGCTCTGTTCCCTCTTTCCTATCTGATGAGCAGACTTAGATTACTGTGGGTTTAAGTCCAGCTTCAGTATATTTTTATGGGCAAGTGACTGTAAGATACCTTTGAACCTCAGTTTTCTTTTTTCGTACTAGAATATAAGCTCAATGAGGGCAAAGATTTTTGTCTGTTTTGATCAATGCTATATCCCAGAGCCTAGAAAAGCCCACAGCACTGATACATGGAAGGTGCTCAAGCACTATTTGTTGAATGAATGGGGTGTTTGATAATATCTTCCTCATAGGGTTATTGAAGGGATTACAAATAAATAGATAGATAGATAGATAGATAGATAGATAGATAGATAGATAAGTAGTTACGATTACTTTTGACTTGAGACTGAGCGCATATGTTTTCCCAGACTACTCATGATGAGTAAGCTGCTCCTCCTTTTGCTCTTTTTTTTTTTTTTTTTGAGACGGAGTCTCACAGTGTTGCCCAGGCTGGAGTGCAGTGGTGCCATCTCGGCTCACTGCAACCTCTGCCTCCCAGGTTCAAGAAATTCTCCTGCCTCAGCCTCCCAAGTAGCTGGGATTACAGGTGCACACCACCATGCCTGGCTAATTTTTTGTATTTTTAGTAGAGACGGGGTTTCACCATGTTGGTCAGGCTGGTCTCGAACTCCTGACCTCGCGATTCGCCCGCCTTGGCCCCGCAACGTGCTGGGATTACAGGCGTGAGCTACCGTGCCCAGCCCCCATTTTGTTCTTAAAAGGCTCTCTGAGCGTCCCCATAACACTGACTACCATGATGCTCTAATGAGTTTGTCCTTGTGAGCTTCCTACTAGAAATAATTAGGGACTACATTTCTTCTCACTTACCCCAACTAAAGACAGTGAGCAGTAAATGGTTATTAAATACACACATACTCTCATACTGTCTCCTTAAGTCCTAGTATCCAGTGACAACCAGAGCTCCGTTTCCACCAGTATCTCTCCAAATTTCCTGTATTTCTTTTAAAACAATATGTTTTTCCTGATTATATCATACATGTTCATCGTAGAAAAGCTGGAAAATATGCATAATTGAGCTCTTACGGTACATACAATTTGGTATCCTACCTTTTAATTTAATATTAGGACATAAGGGTTTCTTCTTATATAGAAAAACTCTTGATGAAAATTTCAGTAAGTTTCATAATATTATATGTTATGGCTATAGTATATGAATGTCTAGTTTAATTATTCTCATTGAACTGCCAAATTTAAATTTTTTTAAAATTTATTTTTTAGAGGCAGGGTCTCACTCTGTCACTCAGGCTGGAGTGCAGTGGTGTAATCATGGCTCACTGCAGCCTCGATCTCCTGGGCTCCAGTGATCCTCCTGCCTGAGCCTCCTGAATAGCTAGGACGATAGGCATGTGCCACCATGCTCAGCTAATTTTAAAATTTTTCTGTAGAGACCAGGTTTTTCTTTGTTGCCCAGGCTGGTCTCAAACTCCCGGCTTCAAGTGATCTTCTCGCTTTGGCCCCACAAAGTGTTGGGATTACAGGCATGAGCCATTGCATCCAGTCATGAGCTCTATTATCCTCACTGATGTCTCTATCAGAATGAGGTCAAGGGAAGGATTCATTTGTTCATGCCTTCCATCATTCAAGTATTCATTCCACAATTATTTACTAATGACCTACTACGTGCTGGGCATTGTCCTAGGGGCTGAAGACACACAGACAAGGTAAACATACAGAGACAAAACTTCTCCCTTCATGGACCTTTAGCGGGGAGTCAAAGAAATATGAAAACTAAGATTAAGTTTGGCTGGGCAGAAGTGCCATACATTATAAAGCAGTACTATATGAAAGGACATTTTTGTGTCCAAAACTTTTCTATATTATGATTTACTTCCTTAGGATGGATGCTAATAGGGTCAAAAGTTATGAACATTCTTAAGGCTTTTGACTCTAACCTTTTTTTTTTTTTTTTTTTTGAGACAGAGTCTCGCTCTGTCACCCAGGCTGGAGCGCAATGGTGCGATCTTGGCTCACTGCAACCTCCTCCTCCTGAGTTCAAGTGATTCTCCTGCCTCAGCCTCCCTAGTAGCTGAGATTACAGGCGCCCGCCACCACGCCCAGCTAATTTTTGTATTTTTAGTAGAGATGGGGTTTCACCATGTTGGTTGGGCCAGTCTTGAACTCCTAACCTCAGTGATCCACCTGCCTCATTTTCCCAAAATGTTGGGATTACAGGCGTGAGCCACCATTCCCGGCCAACTCTAACCATTAAATATAGTTTCTTTGTTCTCACCAGATTATTCGAGGCCTCCTTTTTGGTCTGGACTATAAGAATTATGATTAGGCTTAAAGTCAGTCCCTCTGTATCCTAATCTGTCCTCTAGAATATCTATACCATGACCAGGTTAGCTTCTTAAAAGTCCAATCTGATTTCAGGCCATCTAAGGATCTTCCTAGCCAGGATAAAAACCAAACCTCTAAGTCTGGTACCCAAGGCCCTTTACTATCTGACAACAAACACCTTTATGCACAGCCCCTCTGTTCTCCCACTCCTACACCACTGAATTTAACATTTCCTGAACACCCCACACTCTCATCACACTCTGTCTCTATACCTGCTGTTCTCTTTGCTTAGAAGGCTCTTTCCTCTCCCTACCTTCTCACTGCATCTAGAAAGGTCTTAAATCATGACCTACTTTAAATGCCACCTCATCTGTAAAATTTCTCCCAATGATCCAGGTAGAATTAGTGGCTCTACCTTTACTATAAATCTTTTCACACTTGTTCTATTTTCCAGTTTAATATTTAACCCTTCATAGATTGTCCATTCCTAGAGGGGAGAGATGTCATATTCATTCTGGCATCCCCCCAGTGTATCACATATTGGGCACTCTATATGTTTATTCAATGATTAACTGACTAAATAGATGTTCATAGTCTATTTAACGCAGGGATGTGCCTGGGATATGCCAACAGAGGGAATGTTGAATGAATGTGAACTGTTTAAAATCACTCAGACACTTAGGAATCTCTCTATTTAAGGAACTTAAATTTTAGTTCTGGGACGTTCAAGTAAATATAATGGGAGGTGGTATCAGGAAACAATTCCAATGCTAGTTTTATAATACCCTGTAATACCTTTCCAAGTATCTGAGAAGATGATTTTAAATTTTCAAAAGATTATCAAAACGATTTACATTGGAAAAAAATGCTAACACTTTCAATGAACAGGAAGTATTATGAATTTAAATATAAAATGAAAGGATGTTAAACTCAAAACAAGTCTGGGAATCACTGATATTGAGGTTACCAAACACTGCCACCTTTTGGCTACACAGGGATGTGGCGGAGGAGTGAATCTGGTGCATGACAGGTGGATTCTCTCTCCAGGACCTTCCCTTCTGATAGCCTTCCGCATTGCCCCTTCTCACACATGCCTCCACCAGAACAGGGGCAAGAGAAGATTCATGTATTCACGCCTCCCTTCCAACATTCATGTAGTCATCCCACAATTATCTACTGATGACCCACTATGGCTGGACATCGTCCTCGGGGCTGAAGACACACAGACAAGGTACACATACACAGACAAAATTTCTGCCTTCATGGACCTTTAGTGGAGCATCAAAGAAATATGAAAATAAATAAGATTAAGTTTGGCTGAGCAGAAGTGCTATATAATAAAAGAGGCAATGGGATAACAAGTAGTGACTGAGGAGTTGGTTATTTATTTAGGTGGTTATGGGTGACCTTAAGAAGGAACTATTTGAGCTGAGCTTCAATGAGGAGCAGGGGACAACCAACTGAGATTTGGGGAAAAAAAGAGTTCTAGGCAGACGGAGTAGCAAGTGAAAGACGTCAAGTCAGAGCCTAAACTCATCACCATTCTGTTATGTTGCCCCAATATTAACCTAATAACAATTTTATGCTAAGTACAGCTTGAGAGACTGGATGGATACAGTCATGTGTATCTTCAGAGTTAATCAGAATTTAATAACATTATGTTGGAGAAATACAAACCTTGTAGGAATAAACAACTTTGCAGGTGAGTGGATAATTTCTTAAGGTGCCAGAAGGGCTGGAACTGCTGTCATCGAAAACATCCATGTTATCTTCAAACTCTTCGCCTTCTTCTCTTTCGGTATCTGCATTAAGCTAAGAAAAATTAGAAACCATTGGCTAGTTTCCTTACTTCAAGAAAATGGTTGAAAGCCGGAAAAACACTTAAAACCTGATTGTTTCAAAATGTTAATTTGCCTTTTAACTCTGCATAGAAATGACTATCTTTCGCACTTACATTTTTCATGTTATGAAAGAATAGAGTTTTTTTTTTTTTTTTTTTTTTTGAGATGGAATTTCGCTCTTGTCACCCCGGCTGGACTGCAATGGCGTGATCTTGGCTCACTGCAACCTCGGCCTCCCAGGTTCAAGAATTCTCGTGCCTCAGTCTCCCGAATAGCTGGGATTACAGGCACCCACCACCACACCTGGCTAATTGTTTTGTATTTTTAGTAGAGATGGGGTTTCACCATGTTGGCCAGGCTGGTCTTGAACTCCTGGCCTCAAGTGATCCACTCACTTCGGCTTCCCAAAGTGCTGGTATTACAGGTGTGAGCCACTGCACCAGGCCTAGGACAGAGATTTTTTTTTATTTTATTTTTGAGACGGAGTCTCGCTCTGTTGCCAGGCTTGAGTGTAGTGGCGTGATCTCGGCTCACTGCAAGCTCTGCCTCCTCAGCCTCCCGAGTAGCTGGGACTACAGGTGCCCACCACCACGCCCGGCTAATTTTTTGTATTTTTAGTAGAGATGGGGTTTCACTGTGTTAGCCACGATGGTCTCGATCTCCTGACCTTGTGATCCACCCACCTCAGCCTCCCAAAGTGCTGGGATTACAGGTGTGAGCCACCGTGCCTGGCCAGGACAGAGATTTTTTTTAAATCAAGAAGGAAGTTTCTGTCAAATATGTAAGAAATATTTATCAGTATCCTTTCACTTTTCACTGTTAAGTACTGACTGACAAGGGCCTCTAAATTTTAACTGATCCTGTTAGTGAACATTAAAAAGGTTTCAGGCCAGGTGTGTGGTGGCTCACGCCTGTAATCCAAGCACTTTGGGAGGCCAAGGTAGGTGGATCACTTGAGGTCAGGAGTTTGAGACCAGCCTGGCCAACATGGTGAAACCTAACCCCATCTCTATTAAAAATAGAAAAAAAATATAGCCAGGCATGGTGGTGCATGCCTGAAGTCCCAGCTACTGCGAAGGCTGAGGCAAGAGAATTTCTTGAACCCAGGAGGTGGAGACTAAGTGAGCCAAGAAAGATTGCACCACTGCACTACAGCTGGGGCGACACAGCGTGACTCTGTCTCAAAAAAAAAAAAAAAAAAAAAAAGGTTGCTAAGTGCTACCAAGGATGTGGAGAACAGGATTTCATCTATGGCTGGTAGAAATGTGAATTCATACATCCTTTTGAAAAAACAACCTGTTCACTGAAATTAAAAACTAAACATACCATTGATCTAGCAATTCCGCTTTTATGAATACATCATGGGGAAATAAAAGCACCAAGGTGTAAGACTATGTATTTTAAGATGTTTACTGCAACACTGCCTGTAGTGACAAACGCCTCGACACAATCTATATGTCCATCAACAGGGGAATGTTTGAATGCACTCTGATGTATCCATATTATAGATTAATAACACTCATTAAAAATAAAGGTTGCCGGCCGGGTGAGGTGGCTCATTCCTGTAATCCCAGCACTTTGGGAGGCCGAGGTGGGCGGATCACAAGGACAGGAGATCGAGATCATCCTGGCTAACACGGTGAAACCCCATCTCTATTAACAAAAAAACAAAAAATTAGCCGGGCATGGTGGCATGCGCCTGTAGTCCCAGCTACTTGGGAGGCTGAGGCAGGAGAATTGCTTGAACCTGGGAGGCAGAGGTTGCAGTGAGCCGAGATTGTGCCACTGCACTCCGGCCTGGTGACAGAGCGAGACTCTGTCTCAAAACAAAACAAAAAATAGAAAACAAAACAAGAAAAAAAATAAAGTTCGTGAAGTATGTGAAAAAACACTCAATATCACTAAAGAAATGCAAATCAAAACCACAATGAGATACCATCTCACATCAGTCAGAGTGGCTTTTTTTTTTTTTTTTTGAGATAGGGTCTTGCTCTGTTATCCAGGCTGGAATGCAGTGACACAATCACGGTTCATTGCAGTGTCAACCTCCTGGGCTCAAGCAATCTTCCTGCCTCAGCCTCCCAAATAGATGGGACTATAGGTGTGCACCACCACACCTGGCTAATTTTTGTTTTTGGTGTTTTTTTTTTGGTAGATAAGGGGTTTCACCACGTTGCTTAGGCTGGTCTTGAACTCCTGGGTTCAAGTGATCCTCCCGCCTTGGCCTCCCAAATTGCTAAGATTATAGGAGTGAGCCATCATGCCTGGCTGAGAATGGCTATTATTTAAAAAGTCAAAAAATAACAGATGCTGGTGACGTTATGGAAAAAAGGGACGCTTATACACTGCTGGTGGGAGTATAAATTAGTTCAGCCACTGTGGAAAGCAGTGTGGCAATTCCTCAAAGAGCTAAAAACAGGACTACCATTCAACCCAGCAATCCCATTACTGGACACATACCCAAAGGTACATAAATCATTCTACTATAAAGACACATGGGCAGGAGTGGTGGCTCATGCCTGTAATCCCAGCACTTTGGAAGGCTAAAGTGGGTGGTGCCAAAATGGCGAAACCTTGTCTCTACTAAAAATACAAAAATTAGCCAGGCGTGGTGGTATGCCTATAATCCCAGCTATTCAGGAGGCTGAGGCACGAGAATTGCTTGAACCTGGGAGGTGAAGGTTGCAGTGAGTCAAGATTGTGCCAGTGCATTGCAGCCTGGGCAACAGAGCAAGATTGTCTTAAAAAAAAAAAAGACACATGCACACATGCACGTGTATATTCATTGCAGCACTATTTATACTAGCGAAGACATGAAATCAACCTAAATACTAATCAATGACAAGTTGAATAAAGAAAATGTGGTACATATATACCATGAAATACTAGGCAGCCACAAAAAAGAATGATGTCTTCTGTAGGAACATGGATGGAACTGGAGCCCATTATCCTTAACAAACTAATACAGGAAGAGAAAACCAAATACTGCATGTTCTCACTAATAAGTGGGAGCTAAATGATGAGCACTCATGGACACAAAGAGGGGAACAACAGACACTGGGGCCTACTTGAAGGCAGAAGGTGGGAGGAGGGAGAGGATTAGAAAAAATAACTATTGGGTACTAGGCTTAGTACCTGGGTAGTGAAACAATTTGTAAAACAAACCCCCATGACACGAGTTTACCTATATAACAAACCTGCACATGTACTCTTGCACTTAAAAGTTTTTTTAAAAATTGAGTTCGAGACTAGAAAGCCCAGAAATAAACCTTCACATACATGATTAAATGATTTTCAACAAGGATGCCAAGACCACTCAGTGGAGGAAAGGACAGTTTTTCAACAAATGTTGCTGGAAAAATTGGATACCCATATGCAAAAGAATGACATTGAAATCTCACCTTATACGATACACAGAAAAAATTAAATGGATCAAATACCTAAGCCTATGAAACTTTAAAAGAAAACACAGGGGAAACACTTTATGACACTGGATTTGGCAATGATTTTTTTGGAGACAGAGTCTCGCTCTGTTGCCCAGGCTGGAGTGTAGTGGCGCAATCTTGACTCACTGCAACCTCCGCCTGCCAGGTTCAAGCAATTCTCCTGCCTCAGCCTCCCAAGTAGCTGGGACTACAGGTGCATGCCACCACACCCGGCTAATCTTTTGTATTTTAGTAGAGATGGGGTTTTACCGTGTTGCCCAGGCTGGTCTCGAACTCCTGAGCTCAGGCAATCCCCCCACCTCAATGAGTTTTTTAAATATGATACCAAGAGCATAGGCAACAAAAGAAAAAAACAGATAAATTGAACCTTATCAAAATAAAAAATATGTATGCATCAAAGAACAATAGAGTGAAAAGACAACCCACAGAATGGGATAAGGTATTTGCAAGTTATGTATCTTAAAAGGGACTAATATCCAGAATATATAAAGAATCCCTAAAACTGACCATCAACAACAAATAATCCAATTAAAAATGGGCAAAAGATTTGAAGAGATATCTTTCCAAATAATTTATGTAAATAGCCAATAACCACATGAAAATATGCTCAACATCACTAATGATTAGGGAAATGCAAATCAAAACCACAATGAGATACCATTTCACACCCATTAGGATGCTGTTATATATATTTTTAAAAACCCAGAAAATAACAAGTGTTGACAAGGATGTGGAAAAATTGGAACTTTTATACACTGCTGGTAGGAATGTAAAATGGTACAGCTGCTATGGAAAAACAGTAACATGTTTCTTCAATAAATTAAACACAGAATTACCACATAATTCAGCAATGCCATTTTGGGTATATACCCAAAAGAACTGAAAGCACAGACTTGAACAGATATTTGTAAACAAATGTTCACAGCCACATTATTCACAAAAGGTAGAAGCAACTCAAATGTCCATTGAGAGATGAATGGATAAGTAAAATGTATGTATATACCACAAACCAAATAAAAATGTGGTATACATACATACGATGGAATATTATTCTCTGTCTGTCTACCTATCTGTCTATCTGGTTAGAGACAGGGTCTCGCTCTGCTGCCCAAGCTGGAGTGCAATGGTGCGATCATAGCTC
The DNA here is from genome assembly GCF_000001405.40 of Homo sapiens. Classification (NCBI taxonomy): domain Eukaryota; kingdom Metazoa; phylum Chordata; class Mammalia; order Primates; family Hominidae; genus Homo; species Homo sapiens. The sequence continues at coordinate 72,854,506 of NC_000011.10, forward strand.
ATTGCAGCTTTGAACTCCTGGATGCAAGGGATCCTCCTACTTCAGCCCCCCGAGTAGCCGGGACTACAGGAACATGCCACCATGCCCAGTTTATTCAGTCTTAAAAAGGAGGGAAATTTTGACACATGCTACATATGACATGGGTGATCTTTGAGGCCATTATGCTAAGTGGAATAACCCAGTCACAAAAAGATAAAATACTCTGATTCTACTTATTTGAGGTATGCAGAGTAGTCAAATTCATAGAGACAGAAAGCAGAATGGTGATTGTCAGAGGCTGCATGATGGGGAGTTATTGCTTAATGGCCAGAAAGTTTTACTTTTGCTAGATGAAAAGAATACTAGAAATGGGCCAGGCACGGTGGCTCATGCCTGTAATCCCAGCACTTTGGGAGGCCGAGGCAGGCAGATCACGTAAGGTCAGGAGTTCGAGACCAGCCTGGCCAACATGGTGAAACCCTATCTCTACTAAAAATACAAAAATTAGGCCAGGCACGGTGGCTCACACCTGTAATCCCTGCACTTTGGGAGGCCGAGGCAGGCAGTTCACCTGAGGTCGGGAGTTCGAAACCAGTCTGACCAACATGGAGAAACCCTGTCTCTACTAAAAATACAAAATTAGCCGGGTGTGGTGGCGCATGCCTATAACCCCAGCTACTCAGGAGGCTGAGTCAGGAGAATCGCTTGAACCTGGGAGGCGGAGGTTGCTGTGAGCTGAGATCGTGCCATTGTACTCCAGCTTGCCTGGGCAACAAGAGCAAAACTCCGTCTCAAAAACAAACAAACAAACAAACAAACAAACAAACAAAAAAGACCAAAAAGTTGCTGGGTGTGGTGGCAGGTGCCTGTAATCCCAGCTGCTCAGGAGGCTGAGGCAGGAGAATCACTTGAACCCGGGAGGCGGAGGTTGCAGTGAGCCAAGATCATGCCACTGTACTCCAGCCTGGGTGACAGAGTGAGACTCCATCTCAAAAAAAAAAGAGTTCTGGAGATGGATGGATGGTGGGGATGGTTCCACAATGATGTGAATGTACTTAATGCCACTAAACTTACACTTAAAGTGGTAAATTTGTATATTTTACCATACACACGAACAAACGTGAAAAGCACACTCTCTTCTGAAATGTAACACAAGGAGAATAATTTTTTAACCCAGTTTCAAGGTATATTACCCATCATAGCTAAAAGGCATTTATTAATTGAAATGGCATTGAGTGTAAAAAATGAGTTAGATCCACAGGCACTTACCTAGAGCACTGTCCGTGATATAGTGAATATAAATAATATTTATATGAGCATACGTATCTGACAGGGGAAGGCAGAATGAGAAGAATAAAGACTGGAGAATAGAGGAAATGACTGACTTGCTTTTTATATACATCTATACTCTTTGAACTATTAGAATATGCACGTTTTACTTTTTAAATTAAAAACCTAATAAAGAAGAGACAAACAGCCTCAAATATTTGTTTCTTGCCCGCTACACCCAAGCACTTATTTGGCTGCTTTTTCCCATATTCAAACATACAAAAGCACCAATGTTTACACATTTAAGGTTACAAAGAATGGACAGGCAGGATTGGCCTTCATAGGAGAGCCATTACATTAATTAATTAAAGTATCAAATATCTACTGTATGTAGAAAACTACGCTAGCCTCTTTGATGGATAGAAAACGAAGGACACAGTGTCTCCTTCCAGTGGTTCACAATCTAGAGTGAAGGATACTAAAAGGAGAGGCCAAGTGCATGGCCCTGGGAATGCGGAAGAGGCCACTGGAGAGAAGTCAGGATATGATGAGTCCAAAAGTACAGGCTGCCTAGCTGTCAAGTTCTACTTTTTCATGAATTAAATGGCTTTCTCTTGAGTAATTATCACTGAAGTTTTAAAACTGACTCTCCTCTTAACCACTGTTTGCCTAATACAATTCTATAGCACTGTATACATGTATCAAAATGTCCTTCTGTATCCCATAAATATGTATAAATATTATGTGTCAAATAAAAATAAAAGGGAAAAGATTACACAGAATTGTGGAGAGTTCCAGAATAATAAATTATATATTTTTCCTGACATATTTATTGCCACCATTTCAAAGCTGCTGAAATATTCTCATTGATAACTTTACTGAAAATTCTCCACAGCTGAGTGAGGAAATCCTGTGCTATCTCTTACAAATTATTCATCTATCATCAGTCAGTTCGGTGGCAAAACAGTCTCACATGATACTGAGTCTTTTGCCACTCACTAGTTAGGAGCATAATATTCAGAATCACAGACTTATGATTCTATTGTTTTCCAACAGGGCATTGTGCCACATAAAAGAATCATGCTAGAAATTGCCATAAAATTAACTTGAAATGTATTATATATACTTAGAAGACATTGCCTTCATATTCTAGGAAAGTTTACAGGCATTTAAAAAAACAGTGGGTATTACAAAAATCAAAACAAAACACAACACCCATACATTTATAAAAATGTGGGTAGAACAAGTTTCCAAAAATATACATGTACTGTGCTTTGACACTGGGAATCAATCCAAAACATTTTATCTTGGCAACCCGGTTGATACTAAACATTCCTTTTTTCCTCCTTTATTTGGAGTTGATTTTTGGATTCCCATGGAAGGCAGTAAGAAGGCTGCAGTGCCAGCAATAGCGGTCACTGTCATATGCTTCTGCATTGCTCTAGCTGCTTTCCAAAGCATGTCATCTCAGAATAATTTCTTCCTTTTTCCTCTTCCACTCTCTTAACTGAACTGTTACACTGTTTTCTTGACCCAGCATTTCTAAAATCACATGCTTCCTCTGTCTCTTAAGGACTGCTCTCTCCTTTTCTTCTTGTCACTTGACAGAACTTCAATCAAAACTATTCTTTCTAGCCATACTAACGTTTACCCTTTCTTAGATGTTGTAAAATGCTTACTCCTTTTTTTTTTTTTTTTTTTTGAGATGGAGTTTCACTCTTGTCGCCCAGGCTGGAGTGCAATGGTGTGATCTCGGCTCATTGCAACCTCTGCCTCTTGGGTTCAAGCGATTCTCCTGCCTCAGCCTCCGGAGTAGCTGGGACTACAGGTGTGTGCCACCATGCCCAGCTAATTTTTGTATTTTTTTTTTTTTTTAGTAGAGACGGGGGTTTCACTATGTTGGCCAGGCTGGTCTTGAACTCGTGACCTCAGATGATCCACCTGCCTCGGCCTTCCAAAGTGCTTGGATTACAGGCATGAGCCACCGCGCCCGGCCAAAATGCTTACTCTTATTGCAGAGGCAGGAAAGATGATCTTTTTGAGTTGGTTTTGGGAGCCATCTTCTTGTACTCATTAAAAACACCTCTGAGGGGCTCAGCTTCATGGCACAATCATGAGGTAGAAAGCAGGGTCTTGGGGTCTGGCCAACTTGGGTTTGAATGTTGACTATGTCACTTACTTGTTGTGTGACCTTGGGCAAATTAACTCCTCAATTTCAATGACCTCGTCTCTCTAATGAAGACAGTTACTTCTTCACAGGGTTAGCATAAAGATTAAATGAAGTAAAATATTTAAAACCCCTAACACATGTTTGGTGCATAGGAGGTACTTAATAAAGCATTAGCTTTTGTTTTTACGAGGAAGGGAGAATCCAGATAAAGAATCTGGTAATACCTAATACAGAGGAAGACAGCTCCTCAATATTTACTAATAGAATCTCTCAACTCCACTGGACAGAGAAGTAATCACAGTGGACATCACTCCAAATACAACATGAGTAAGTTATCAAAGATGATGTTAACCAAAGGAATATAAATCATTCTATTATAAAGACACATGCACATGCATGTTCATTGCAGCACTATTCACAATAGCAAAGAAATGAAATAAACCTAAATGCCCATCAATGGTAGACTGGATAAAGAAAATGTGGTACATATACACCATGGAATACTATGCAGCCATAAAGAAGAATGAGATCATGTCCTTTGGAGGGACATGGATAGAGCTGGAGGCCATTATCCTTAGCAAACTAACACAGGAACAGAAGACCAAATACCGCAAATTCTCATTTGTAAGTGGAAGCTAAATGATTAGAACATGGACACATAGAGGGGATCAACAGACACTGGGGCCTTTCGGAGGGTAGAGGGTGGAAGGAGGGAGAGGATCAGGAAAAATAACTAATGGGTATGAGGCTTAACACCTGGGTGATGAAATAATCTGTACAACCCCCCCATGACACAAGTTTACCTATGTAACAAACCTGCAATTATATCCCTGAACTTAAAATAAAAGTTAAGAAAAAGATGATGCTAAAAATATCAGGAAAATGGATTTGTGCTTCCAGGCAAGATGGAGTATCAGGGATCAGATTTAACCTCCTGTCAGAAACAACTGAAAAACTGTTCAAAATATATGAAAGAACAGTTTTCAAGACACTGGGCATCACTCATGAAGGACAGTGATCCCTGGGGGATGGGAAACAAACAAACTCCTACAACATACTGTATGAAGAAAGTTTTTAGGTTATGACATAGGGAGAAGAAACCCAGGCACATGATGGTGACCTCCCTGAACAGAGGAGATGAAACTGGGAATTTAGTAAAGCCAAAGTGGAGAGAGCTCAGGATGCGGAGTATAGCAGTCTCCCCTTATGTGTGGTTTGGCTTTCCATGGTGCCAGTTACCCAGTCAACCATGATCTGAAAATATTAAGTGGAAAGTTCCAGAAATAAACAATTCATAAGTTTTAAATTGTGTGCCATTCTGAGTAGCCTGATGACATTTTAGTGTTTCAGTCTGTCTCCCCAGATGTGAATCACCCCTTTGTCGAGTATATGCAAGCTATGTAAGCTACTTGTCCATTAGTCATTTAGTGGCCATCTCGGTTATCCCAATTGACTGTCACCATATCACGGTGCTTGTGTTCAAGTAGCCCTTATTTTACTTAATACTGGCCCCAAAGCACTACAGTAGTGCTGCTGGCCTATTGTTATAGTATTCTATTTTATTACTAGTTAGTGTTGTTAATCTCTTACTGTGCCTCATATATAAATTAGCTTTATGATAGATATGTATGTATAGGGAAAAACACAGTATACATAAGGTTCGGTACTATCTGTGACTTCAGGCATGCACTGGAGGTCTTGAAATATATCCCCCACAGATAAGGGGGGACTGTAATGAAGAAGAGAGAGATGCGCAGAACTTAGGAAATCTGCAGAGGGTCCTCCTCAAGACTTTGGCTGAGTATTGGTCAGTACATATATGTGAAGAAATTACCCAAAGCTAGGGCTAGAAGCACTAAAAAGGATTAGGAAAAATAATCCTCAGAACTCACACAGGTCTGAGAATAACTCCTGCTCCCTCCTAAAAGAGTAAAAACTTCATAAGGCACAGGGCACCCAGTAGAGTATTAACATTAGTAAGGATACAGAACAGCTGTCCCCAATCTTTTAGGCACCAGGAACCAGTTTCATGGAAGACAATTTTTCCATGGACTGGACCCTTGGGGTACCATGAGGGAAGGTTTCAGGATGAAACTGTTCCATCTCAGATCATCAGGTATTAGATTCTCATAAGGAGGGTCCAACCTAGATCCCTTACATGTGAAGTTCACAATAGGGTTTATGCTTCTCTGAGAATCTAATGCTGCCTGCTGGTCTGACAGGACGCAGAGCTCAAGCAGTAATGCTCCCTCTCTGGCCACTCACCTCCTGCTGTGTGGCTCAGTTCCTAACAGGCCATGGACCGGTAAAAGGTTCGTTCCAGTCTAGAAGACTAGAACAATACTATAACCAACCTGACTTAATTGACATTTATAGAACATAACCCCTAACAATAGCAAAATATACATTCTTTTTTTTAAGAACACATGTAACAGTTACCAAGATATACGTTTATACTGGGTTACAAAACAAAGCTCAAAAAGTTTAAAAGGGTTCAAGTATGTTATTTGACTACAATGGAAATAAACTAGAAATAAAAAACAAAAAGCTATCTGGAAAAATCTCCAAATATTTGGAAATTCAGTAACACACTTTTAATTACCCATCAGTCAAAAGAAGAAATTAAAACATAAATTAGAGGCCAGGTGCAGTGGCTCACTCCTATAATCCTACCACTTTGGGAGGCTGAGGTGGGTGAATCGCTAGAGCTCAGGAGTTCTAGACCAGCGTGGGCAACATAGTGAGACCCCATCTCTACTAAATATACAAAATTTAGCTGGGCGTGGTGGTGCTGGGAGGCTGAGGCATAAGAATCACCTGGGAGGAGGAGGTTGCCGTCAGCTGAGATTGCATCACTGCACTCCAGCCTGAGTGACAGAGCAAGACTCTGTTTGAAAAAAAAAAAAATGTAAATTAGAAAATATTTTGAACTGGATAAAAATGATGACACAACATACCAGAATTTGTGCAATGGACCTAAAGCAATACTTACAGGGAAATGTTTAGCACTTAATGCCAATATTCAAAAAGAAGAAAACTCTCAAATCAATGACCTCAGTTTCTATCTTACAAATTAGAAAGGAGAAAATTAAATCCAAATTGAACAGAAGAAAAGAAATAATAAAATCCTGAGTAGAAATCAAGAAAATAGAAAAGAGAAAAACGAGGGAAAAATCAATAAAATCAAAAGCTGATTCTTCATAGAGATCCATATAATTAATAAACCTCTAGCAGAATGATCAGAAGAGAGGAGACATGACCAATATCAGGAATGAGGTGATATCTCTACTAATTTTCCAGATAATCAAAGGATAAAGGAATATTATAAACAACTTTGTGCCAATAAATCTGACAACTTAGATGGAATGGACAAATTCCTTAAAAGAGACAACTTACCAAAGTTCACTCAGAAGAATAACCTTAATAACCCTGTATCTACTAAAGAAATGGAGTCTATTATTTAAAAACTTCCAAAAAAAAAAAAAAACTCCAGGACCAGATAACAGCCCTGGTAAATTCCACTAAACATTTCAGGAAGACGAAATTCCATACAATTCTACACAAGGCTTCCAGAAACTTGAAGAGGAGAGGATACTTTTCAAATCATTTGGAGACAAGCATTGTAACAAAACCAGACAAGAATACTACAAGGAAATGAATGGAGATGGAAGCATGCTTATCAGAGTCCTAGCAAACCAGTTCCAATCAATATATAGAAAGGATAGGCCGGGCGCGCTGGCTCATGCCTGTAATCCCAGCACTCTGGGAGGCTGAGGCGGGTGGAGCAACTGAGGTCGGGAGTTCAAGACCAACCTGACCGACATAGAGAAACCCTATCTCTACTAAAAAAATATAAAATTAGCCAGGCATGGTGGCATATGCCTATAATCCCAGCTACTTGGGAGGCTGAAGCAGAAGAATCGCTTGAACCTGGGAGGTGGAGGTTGCGGTGAGCTGAGATCATGCCATTGCACTCCAGCCTGGGCAACAAAAGCGAAACGCCGTCTCAAAAAAAAAAAAAAAAAAGATAATATATCATTACCCAAGTGGGGTTTACCAGGAATGTGAAGCTGGTTTAATATCTGAATAATCATCAATGCAATTACACCATATTAGCAGACTAAAAAAGAACCATTTGACAAGATCCAACATCCATTTCTATTAGCAAACAAAATAGAAACAGAAGAAACTTCTTTAACATGATAAAGGGCATCTACAAAAACCCTACTGCTAACTTCATACTTAATGGTGAAAGACTGAATGCATTCTTGCTAAAAGTTCAAGAACAAGGCAAGGATTTCTGTTGACTCTCACCACTTCTATTCAGCAATTTTATAGTAAGAAGGAAAAAGGAATCCAAATAGGAAAGGAATAAGTAAAACTGTCTTTATTTGCAGGTGACACGGTTATATAGAAAATCCTATGGATTTACAAAAAAGCTACTAGAACTAATAAGTGAGTTTAGCAAGATTGCAGGATATAAGATCAATATACAACAATCAACTGTATTTTTATGGATCAGCAATGAACAATTGGAAACTGAAATTTAAAAAATCATTTACAATAGCACCAAAATTATGAAATAGGGGTAAGTCTGACAAAGGATATGCAAGATCTATCTACTGAAAACTACAAAACATTGCTGAGAGAAATTAAAGTCCTAAATAAATGGAGAAGTATATTATGTTCATGGATTGGAAAACTGAATATTGTTAACATGGCAATGTTATCTTCCAGTTGATCTATGCAGTCATCATAATCCTAATAAAAATCCTGATAGGCTTTTTGGGGTAGAAAACCAATTTTAAATTCATATGGACATGCAAAGGACCTAGAATACCCAAAACAACTTTGATAAAGAAGAAAGTTGGAGGACTTACACTACCTGAAGTCATGACTTATTATAAAATTACAGTAATTAAGTCAGTGCAATACCGGCATCAAGCTGGACAAACAGATCAATAGAACAGAACAAAATGTCAAGAAACAGACCCATACATATATGATTAATTTTTTTTTTAAAGAGACTTGCTCTGTTTCCCAGGTTGGAGTGCAGTAGCACAATCATAGTTCGCTGTAACCTTGAACTTCTGGGTTCAAGATACCTTCTTGCTTTAGCCTCCTGAGTAGCTAGGACCGCAGGAATGTACCACAATGCCTGGCTAGTTGAAATTTTTTTTTTTCTTTTTTTAGAGACAGGGTCTACTATGTTGCTCAGGCTGGTCTCAAACTCCTGGCCAGAAGTGATCCTCCCACTCAGCCCAATGTGTTGGGATTACAGGCATAAGCCACTGTGGCAGGCCTGAATAACTGATTTTTGACAATGATGCAAAGGCAATTCAGTGGCGAAAGGACAGTTAAAAAAAAAAGTTCAAAAAAGGGACAAAGAACTCTGACTTATTCTGTTTACCATAATAAAAGATAAGCTCATGCTGAATTACAGATTTAAATGTAAAACCTAAAACTATAAAACTTCCAGAAGAAAACCTAGGAGAAAATCTTTATGACCTTGGTTTTAGGCAAAGATTTCTTAGCTACCACACCAAAAATATGATCCATAAAAGAAAAATTGGTAGGTTGGACTTCATTAAAATTAAAAATTTGTGCTCTTTGAAAGGTATTAAGGAAATAAAAAAATAAGCCACAGACTAGAAGAAAATTGCATAAATCAAATATCTGATAAAGGATTTGTATTCAGAGTATAAACTCTTAAAATGCAATAAAAATAAAACAAACCCAATAAAAATTAAACAAAGATTTGAACAGACACTTCACCAAAGAAAATATACAGATGCAAATAAACATATGAAAAGATGATCAACATTATCAGAGAAATGGAAATTAAAATGACAATGATTTACAACATCACACCTATTAGAATGTCTAAAGTTAAAAAGACTGACTATAGTAAGTACTGATAAGGTTGTGGAACAACTGAAACACTAGTACCCCGTTGATGTAATTGTAAAATGGTATAACCACTTTGGAAAACAGTTTGTCAGTTTCTTAAAATGTTAAATATATACCTATTATATGACCCAGCCAAAGCATATGATCTTAGCAGTTTTAGAAACTCCTTATCTTACCCTTATCTCCAACATCATTATTAAGCATGGTTCTCACAACAACCAAAGTCAGAATTTATTTATATGCAACTCTGCAGATGTTCATACTCTAAGTGAGGCTGTACAACAGAGTAGACTGGCAGTTTGCCCTTGCACATTAGTTGGGGAAAGTGGCTGAAAACGGGGAAGTGATGTTAACATTGTGGGCTATAGTTTGAAAATGTAAGCAATAAAAGAACAGGGTGGGCATAGTGGCTCATAAATAAAAGATTAGAAAAAATAAAAATATGGACTGGGTGTGGTGGCTCATGCCTGTAATCCCAGCACTTTGGGAGGCCAACGTGGGCGGACTGCTTGATCCTAGGAGTTTGAGACTAGCCTGGGCAACATGGTGAAAAATACAAAAATTAGCTGGGCATGGGGGCATGAGCCTGTAGTCCCAGCTACTCAGGAGGCTGAGGCAGGAGGATCCATTGAGCCCCAAAGGTTGAGACTGCAGTGAGCCATCAACAGCACCACTGCACTCCAGCCTGGGCGATAGAGGGAGACCATCTCCAAACAAACAAAAATACACATTATGTTGTACACCATAAATATATACAATTGTTTGTCAATTAAAAAATAAATAAATAAGAGTAAGGAAATACACCAAATTGCTAGCTGTGCTATTATAAGGATGGAGCTATTAATCATTTTCTTCTGTATTGTATTTTCCAATTTTTTGGTAATCTGCTTATATAACTTCTTCTATTGCAGAATTAATATAATATCAAAAGTCAGGTTGTCATCTTGGTATGGCTTTTGAATAAGAGAAGCAGGATGATAAGAGAAGGGAGGCTGAGTGACACAGGCTGATGGGGTTGCTGGCAGCAATCTAACAGGGGAAGCTGCATGCAGGCTCCAGACACCTGCAACTGAGTAACTGTGTCAGTGGACTGTTCTCCTTTAAAAACAACGTTGCTATACTCTGGGATTCCTTTTTTCCAATCTTACATTCTGTACTATAGCATGATACAGAAGGCAGAGTTAATACCCAAGTAAGTATAGTTCCTTCCTTATTCTATAAGGGAGTAGTCTGTGTCTTTTTAAAACATTTATCTTCCACAAGGCACTTTTCAGTTGCACTATTAATGTCTAACAGTAGTATTAATCATGTTTTCCAGATGACGAATGCTTTTGTTGGCAGCTGTAATGGAAGAAATAATTTAGCCTCTAGAATGTGCATTTCTGCTTCATGTTCCTCAGCCAGCTAGCTGTCAGTATGAAGAGATACAACCCCCTCTAAATAATTTCAGTGCTGTTACTTAAAAGCAGATTAAATAAATATAGGTCCTCATTAAGCTATTTTGTGCCTATGTCTCTCCTTTATTTATATTATTAGATCTTCCACAAAATGTAATCTCTCAGTTGAAAGATGCAGGCTCCATAAGAGTGATGAGGGGGAAGAAAAACGTCGGATGGAATTGCAAAATGCTCCCTTCACAGAGGATATGTATGTCTCTAGAGGAGTGATTTCTCTGGACAGGTCTCAAAAATACTCATTTATTCAATGCTTACTACTACTGTACTAGGCACAGCTCCTTCATTCCCTTCCTTCACAACGAGAACAGCCCTTCTTCTTTATCTCCTGTTAAAATTCTTCAAAGACTATCTCAAATGACATATCCTCCATGGGGCACACTTTCTTCCCTATTCTTCTAGCTGATATTGAGCTTTTCTGATAGTATTTCAAAGAATCATGAGATTCTGGAGTTGGTGGGGGTGGGGAGTGGGAATCTCAGAGTCTTTTAATCTTTCTTTCAGAAACCCAAGAGAAGTGACTTTTTCCAAGGTGTGCAGATGAGTTAGAAGTAAGCAATCTCAAGTGTGCTACACAGTAGTCCAGTCATACACTGCCATGTATCATTAAGATCTATGAAGATCTGTCTGGTCTCCTAGCTTGTAAATTCTATGAGGAGGGAGACCAAGTTTTGTTCATCTTCAGTTTGCCCAGGAAGTAAGTACAAAGTTAGATGGTATGTGCCTGCTCAGTTCAAAGTCAGATGGTATATGGCCCCTCAATTGATTTGGTTAGAAAAGGTGCTAGCTGAAGGAAAATCATGGGTTTGATTGGTTGGAAACAGTCCTGCTGTAGAAGCCCAAATCAAGTGGGCCTGGAATTTGCTGTCATCAAAAACTCTACAACAGTCTGAAGTAGATGAGCATTATGACTTTTAGAAAGTGCAATAGTAGGAGATATTCCATGAGATGGAGCAACTCTGTTCTGTTTTTTGTTTTGTTTTGTTTTTTTTGTTTTTTGAGACAGAGTTTCACTCTTGTCACCCAGGCTGGAGTGCAATGGCATGATTTTGGCTCCCTGCAACCTCTGCCTCCCGGGTTCAAGCGATTCTTCTGTCTCAGTCTCCTGAGTAGCTGGGATTATGGGCGTCTGCCACCATGCCTGGCTAATTTTTGTATTTTTAGTAGAGACAGCGTTTCACCATGTTGGCCAGGCTGGTCTCGAACTCCTGACCTCAGGTGATCCATCTGCCTTGGCCTCCCAAAGTGCTGGGATTACAGGTGTGAATCACCATGCACGGCCAGAGCAACTCTGTTCTAATAACAACTGGGGAAGTGCTTACAACCCCAAAGTCAAGTGGGTGATGTTTCTTTTTCCCTCTAGCTGGATTAACATTAATAGTTAAATGAAAATAAAGCTTCAATAGATTGTTTTTCCTTAAAATGTAGACCCACACACAACCCTTTTTAAATGTGCAAGTGTATTCTCATTAGAAAATTAGAATGCTATGTGAAAAAATTGACAAAACTTCCAAGAATGTTGAAAAATTTTCGTCAGTTTCGCTAGCAAGCCTGCCTGATATCTGAAGAGCACAAGCATTTAAAGAGGCACTATGAAGACAGTGGGAAGTTGGGAGGTTAGAGTTTTAGCTTTTAGTTTGCCACTATTCCAACTAGCCACTCACCCATCCAACCATTCACTCCTTCCTTCAAAAATATTTAAGTACCAACTATGTGTCAGGCACTTTGCTGTGCAGAGCAGAGAACCAGGAAGATATGGCAATTACATTCTAGAGAGGAAGACAACAATAAACAAAAGAAAACAAATAAAGAAGGCAAGTTCAAACTGTAATAAATACCATTGAGGAAATAAACAGGATGACAGAGAGTAATGGGTGGGGAGGTGACAGTAGGAATTACATTAGTCTGACTAGCAAGGCATCACATATCCAGCTATGTAATATCAGGCAAATCAACCGAATTTTTCTGGTACTTAGATCTCCAACATGAAAAACTAAGGTTGAACCAGATGACATCAGAGTAGAAAAAGCCCTGGACTTGAAGTAAGGAGACTTAAGCTGTGTCCTGGCCTTGTCTGTAAAACTCACCTACACTCTCTCTATGTGAGGAGAATATGAAAGCTGTCAAGAATTGAAGTCACCTTCAGACTAAGCCCACGTACTAAGAAGAACATTCCTTTCACTTAAGATTTTGTGCAAATCTCTGGATGTTTATTTTCATTTTCACTAAAGAAGACCTCTGAGAACTTCAGAGACACTAGATTGTTTTCTATTCTATTACTTCCAGACACGAAGCATATTTACTCTATGAATGGGATGAGTTTGGTAGATAGGCATCGATAACCCAAATAGTGATAACATATTCTTCATCATACATTAAAAAAAACACTCATTTTTTCCTCTCTTTCACTTCCCGCAATAATTTTAAATCAATTAGTGATAGGCTGAAGAATAAAACCTAAATCACTAGCAAACTATTATCTTTTTAAAAAATTTTGGCTATTATTAAGTTTGACTACAGAGTCAAAGCATGCTTCAGTGAAAATCAACTTGTCATATCCAAGAAAAGAAATCGTACCGAGTGTAAAGTGCCATTACTGGTCACTGCAGGAGGGCGGGCCCATCGCTCATTTTCCAGTTCTTCCATTACTTGGTTCATGGCACTCTTTAGCCATGTGTCCACAGAAACACCAATCTGCTTTAGCAGGTCCAACCGGGCTTCAGCTTTCAATTTAATTATCTAGAGAACCAAGAAAATGGTCGGAAATCAAGGCTTTTATTATTCACAATAGCAAAGATAAGGAATCAACCCAAATGCCCATCAATGATCGACTGGATAAAGAAAATGTGGTACATATACACCATGGAATACTATGCAGCCATAAAAAGGACAGAGATCATATCCTTTGCAGGGACATGAATGCAGCTGCAAGCCATTATCCTCAGCAAACTAAGGCAGGAACAGAAAACCAAACACTCCATGTTCTCACTTGTAAGTGGGAGCTGAACAATGAGAACATACGGACACATGAGTGGGGGAGAACAACACACACTGGGGCCTGTCAGAGGGCGATGGGTGGGGAAGGAGAGCATTAAAAAGAATAGCTAATGGAGCTGGGCTTAATAGCTAGGTGATGGGTTGATCTGTGCAGCAAACCACCATGGCACACATACCAGGATTACTTTTGCACCACCCTAATAACAAACCCGCACATCCTGCACACGTATCCGGGAACTTAAAAGTTGAAAAAAAAATTAGCTAGGCATGGTATCATGGGCCTGTAGTCCCAGCTACTTGGGAGCCTAAGGTGGGAGGATCACTTGAACCCAGGAAGGGGAAGTTGCAGTGAGGGGAGATCGCACCACTACACTCCCGCCTGGGTGACAGAGCAAGACTCTGTTAAAAACAAACAAACAAACAAACAAACAAACAAACCAAGAAACTATATAACCGTCATGAAAGGAAATTACTTAAAAGGAAAAAAAATCATACATGATCCTATCAGTCTTACATGGCAAATATTCTCAAGGCTTTGTCCACATGCAGACATATTTTTGCACAACTGTATTCTTGGTGGCAATGCAGCTTAGCTTTTACTTTTTAAGTTACCTTTTTTTTTTAAATTTTTTATTTTTTTGAGATGGAGTCTCACTCTGTCACCCAGGCTGGAGTGCAGTGGTATGATCTTGGCTCACTGCAACCTTCACCTCCTGGGTTCAAGCAATTCTCCTGCCTCAGCCTCCCAAGTAGCTGGGATTACAGGTGTGTACCACCACACCCGGCTAATTTTTGTATTTTTAGTAGAGGCGGGGTTTTGCCAAGTTGGCCAGGCTGGTGTCGAACTCCTGACCTCAGGTGATCCACCTGCTTCAGCCTCCCAAAGTGCTGGGATTACAGGCATGAGCCACCTCACCCAGCCAAGTTACCATTTATTATAAACTTCTTGTTTATATCCCTATCAAAAAAAGGAAATCAAGGCTTTTTTCCCTCAAATTAATTAAGTTCTTCCTAATCGATTAATTACAACAATCTTGATATTCACTAGCAATTCTTCCCTGGCACAGATGCTAATTTTTCACTTGAAGCAGGGCAAGAGAAGGGGAAAGGGAGGGGAGATAGTGAAGAAGGGAAAGAGAGGGTTGGGGGGAGGGAAGAAGAGAGAGAGAGAGACAGAGGCAGAGAGACAGAGAACATGAACAAAAGAAAGGAATCAGGGTCTCCTAACAATGGAATACTTGCTTTTTTTTTTTTTTAATAAAAGTATGGAATGCTTCACGAATTTGTGTGTCATCCTTGCATAGGGGCCATGCTAATCTTCTCTGCATCATTTCAATTTTAGTATATGTGATGCTGAAGTGAGCACATACTTGCATTTTGACAAGGGCATGGTATTGATGATAGATCAAATATAACTTGTGAAGAGGAAGAGATCAAGAGTGATAAAGTCTGTTTCCTTTTCCTGTTCATAATGCTATGCCTCAGAACACCCTGAAATCCAGCATTTTCAGTAGCCTTCTAACCCATTTCCTGGACTTTTTCTCCTCTGTAATCCATCTTTTACAGTCTGTGAATGACCTCATCATGTTGCTCCCCAGTTTAAAAACTTTCATAACTCCTGACTGTCTACTGAGTAAAGAATTAACTAATTCTTAACTAGGAATAAAAAATATCTTTCACAGTTTGGCTGAGTTATTTCCTTCTACTGTTTCTTTCCACACCCCCCTATGCTCCCACCCCACTGTCCCACTTGCTGTTCCTCTGATCCATCATGTGCTTGCGTGCCTGTGTGCGTGCCAGTCCCTCTGTAAAGGCCTTCTCATTGCTTTTTGATGCCTGGTGAGTGCTTATCTTTTGACGGTCCGTTCAAATATTACCCTTTCCACAAAGATTTTTCTAAGTATTTCTCAACCTTCCTTAGGCAGTTAATAATTCCTTTTTCTCTGCTCCTAAAGCACTCTATATAGATCTAATTACAATGTGATAGGCACGAAATTATACTTAGCTATTTAACTAAGTATGCCTGTTTGATATAATTGGGGGCTCCTTTAAGACTCGAGCATTGACATTCAGCGTTATTCTCCTGTTATGTGTTCAGTAACCTTTTTTGAATAAATATCCTATATAACTGTGCTTCTACTTTTCCAAGAAAAGACTGAATAGGCTCTACCAATTCTTTCAAGATTGGCTCTACCAATCTTGAAAGACTGCCATTCAATGATATTGAGTTATAAACTACTGTGTCTCTTTAATAATAATAATTTTTAATATAAAAGAACTTCTCTCTAACAATTCTAACATTCTTCAGCACAAGCTTAAAGAATTCCCCCTTTGGGCCAGGTGCGGTGGCTCACGCCTGTAATCCCAGCACTTTGGGAAGCCGAGGGGGGCAGATCACGAGGTCAGGAGATCGATACCATCCTGGTTAACACAGTGAAACCCTGTCTCTACTAAAAATACAAAAAATTAGCTGGGCGTGGTGGCGGGTGCCTGTAGTCCCAGCTACTCGGGAGGCTGAGGCAGGAGAATGGCGTGAACCCAGGAGGCGGAGCTTTCAGTGAGCCGAGATTGCGCCACTGCACTACAGCCTGGGTGACAGTGCGAGACTCCGTCTCAAAAAAAAAAAAAAAAAAAAAAGAATTCCCCCTTTGACTTGGCTGCCTTTATTGACTAACTTGTTTGTTGACTAACAGTAATGTCTTTGCTTTTAAACTACATTTATGATGTGGCTGGCAGAAATAGCAGAGATTGAGAATAAAAAGTTCCTATTCTCCAAATTCAAGAAAGGGAATAACTGCTTATTCTTTAGCCCTTGTTCCATAAACCATAAACAAGTAACCACAGAACTAGTTTTAAACCCCTCCCGATCAGAAAGTAACTGCTGCTTTGCTCCAACAGCCATGCCTCTGAAAGTCAGCTAATCTGTGACAGCTTCTGCTTCTACTAGTCCTCCAAACTCTAAAAACCAAGGCTGAAAGTGAGCCAACCCCTTAAACATTCCTAGTTTTGAAAATCTGCCAATCCCTGACATTCAAGCTTCTCAAAACCCTATATATCAACTCTTGCTTTGTTCAGAGTCAATGTGTTTTGTGTCATTCTCTTTTGCTTAGCAAGTAAAACATTCAGCCTCTTTTGCTTAGCAAGTAATGCATTCAGCTTCATTGTTTCACATATGCAAGTGGTGATCTCTTCCTTAACATTTAAGGTTCCACTAAGCTAATTTTAGGTTAAGTAAGGTTCCACTTACTTAACCTAAGTAAAGTTCCACTCTCACTTGGTGGCTTTCTGTGGGACTCTTGGACAAACAAGTTGGAGCTGGTGCAGTGGCTTGTACCTGGAGTCCAAGCTACTCAGGAGACTGAGGAGGCAGGCTCACTTGAGTCCAGGAGTTTGAGGCTGCAGTGAGCTATGATCATGCCTGTGAATAGATAGCCACTGCACTCCAGTGACAAATACCTTTGGTACATAATTTTTTTTTTTTTTTTTTTTAGAGCCAGAGTGGTTGCTCTTTTGCCCAGGCTGCTCTTGAACTCCTGAGCTCAAGCAATCCTCCTATCTTGGCCTGCAAAAGTGTTGGGATTACAGGTGTGAACTGCTGTGCCCAACAGGTACATAATTTTGATTTCCCTCCGAATTCTCTGCTTGGGGAGTTGATATCAAAAACAATTTATGTTCTGACTTGTATCACTGGGCTTTCTTTGCTGAATTAATTTTTTTTATATTAACGTTTTTAAGCAAATAGATTTTTATAAAAATTGAGGTAAAACATTACATAAAATTTACTATCTGCACCATTTTAAAGTATACAATACAATGGTTTGGGGTATCATATACGTCTTTATATAAGACAATTGGAATTTTTGGCTTAGAGGCACTCCAATTGGTAAATACTCTTGCAAAAATCTGCTTATTCTTTTCATAATTTCTTTTTTTGGTAAAACTTTATTGACATATAGCTCAGGTGACAAAGACCTTTTGGCACACAACTTTTTTTTTCTTTTCTTTTTTTTTTTTTTTTTTAGAACCACACAATTCACTCATTTCAAGTCTGAAATTCAGTGGCTTACAGTATATTCATAGTACATGCAACCATCACCACAGTCAAATTTAGAATATTTTATCACCTCCAAAAGAAACCATGTACCATTTACCTATTGTTCTCCAGCCCCCTATTCCCTGCAGTCTTGACAATCACTATTCTACTTTCTGTCTATAAAGATTTGCCTATTCCAGACATTTAACACATATGAAACAATATAATACATGGTCTTTTATGACTAACTTCTCTCACTTTGCATAATATTTTCAAGATTCATCTATGTTGTAACATGTATCAGTATTTCATTTTTTTAATGGCCAAATAACATTCTATTGTATGGATATACATTAGAATGTTTATCCATTTGTCAGTTGGGAGTCATTTAGGTTGTTTCTATTTCTTGGCTATTATGAATAATATTGCTATAAACGTGTGTGTATAAATTTTAGTGTGGACATGTTTTCACTTCTTTTGGGTTTATATGTAGGGCTGGCATTGCTGGATCATGAAGTAATGCTAAGTTTAACCATCTGGGGAAATACTAGACTGTTTTTCAACGTGGCTTTATCATTTGATCCCACCAGTAGGGTGATGAGGGTTTCTCCACATCCTGGCAAATGCTTGTTAATGTCTGTCTTTTGACTCTAGCCATGCTAGTGGATATAAAGTGGTATCTTACTGTTGTTTGCATTTTCCTGGATAACTATTAATGTTACAAATCTTAGGCCAGGCACGGTGGCTCATGCCTATAATCCCAGCACTTCGGGAGGCTGAGGCGGGCAGATCACCAGGTCAGGAGTTTGAGACCAGCCTGGCCAACACAGTGAAACCCCATCTCTACTAAAAATACAAAAAATTAGCCGGACACGGTGGCGGGTGCCTGTAATCCCAGCTACTCAGGAGGCTGAGGCAGGAGAATCGCTTGAACCTGGGAGGTGGAGGCTGCAGTGAACCGAGATCGCGCCACTGCACTCCAGCCCAGGCAATGGTGTGAGACTCTGTTTCAAAAAAAAAAAAAAATGAATCTTTTCATGTGCTTATTTATGGGTCATTCATACATCTTCTTTGGAGAAATGTCTATTCAGACCCTTTTCCCATTTTTAAGTTGAGTATTTTTGCCTTTTTATTATTATGAGTTTTAATATATTCTAGAAGTAAGTTTCTATCAGATACATGATTTGCAAATATTTTCCCCCATTCTGTGGGCTGTCTTTCATTTTCTTGATAGTGTCATTTGAAACATGAAAGTTTTAAATTTTGATGATGTCTAATTTATCTAGTTTTTCTTTTGCTGCTTAGGCTTTGGTGTTATATCTAAGAAACTAATCCAAGGCCACAAAGACTTACCCCTGTGGTTTTTTTTGTAAGTTTATTAGCTTTCGCTGTTACATTTAGGTATTCATTTTGAGTTAGTTTGTATATATGATGTAAAGTGGGGTTGTTAAGATAATTAACTGGAAGGTCATTAAACTGAGGCAGCTCCAGCATCCCGGGTTCCTACGTAAGCAAACCAAAACTCAACTCAGTATAAATGGTAAAACAAAACTGAAGCTT